>NC_000001.11:40159895-40462925 GCF_000001405.40 Homo sapiens
GTTAGCCAGGATAGTCCTGATCTCCTGACCTCGTGATCTGCCCGCCTCGGCCTCCCAAAGTGCTGGGATTACAGGCGTGAGCCACCTCGCCCAGCCCGGGAACTGTTTTGGATACTAATCAAAACAATGGTTATGGCTGGGCGCGGTGGCTCACGCCTGTAATCCCAGCACTTTGGAAGGCCAAGGCGGGCGGATCACTTGAGGCCAGGAGTTCGAGATCAGCCTGGCCAACACAGTGAAACCCCGCCTCTACTAAAAATACAAACATTAGCCAGGCATGGTGGCGGACGCTTATAGTGCCAGCTACTTTGGGAGGCTGAAGCACGAGAATCACTTAAACCTGAGAGGCAGAGGTTGCAGTGAGCCTAGATCGTGCCACTGCACTCCAGGCTGGGTGACAGAGTGAGACCCTGTCTCAAAAAACAACAACAATAAACAATGGTTATATATATGGGGAATATCATTTAGTCTGTGGCTTGTCTTTGTGTGCTTTTTCAACTTGTTATACGGAAGTAACACATTTTAATACAGTCAAATCTAAATATTTTCCCTTATGGTTTGTGCTTTTCCGGTCTTATTAAGAAATTCTTAGCCGGGCGCGGTGGCTCACGCCTCTAATCCCAGCACTTTGGGAGGCTGAGGCGGGCGGATCACCTGAGGTCAGGAGTTCGAGACCAGCCTGACCAACATGGAGAAACCCCATCTCTACTAAAAATACAAAATTAGCCAGGTATGGTGGCGCATGCATGTAATCCCAGCTGCTCCGGAAGCTGAGGCAGGAGAATGTTTGAACCAAGGAGGCGGAGGTTGCGGTGAGCTGAGATAGCACTGTTGCACTCCAGCCTGGGCAACAAGGGTGAGACTCCGTCTAAAAAAAAAAAAAAAAATTCTTCCCTATTTTTGACATTATAAAGCTATTTTTATTTTCTGAAAAATGTTTGCAGGTCTTTAATCCATCTCGGCCTTATTTTTGGAAATGGTTTGAGGTAGAAATCTAATCATTTATTTCCCTTTTGGAAAAAATGTCTCATCGCCATTTATTGAAGAGTCTGTCCTTTCGCCCACTGACTTGTAATGCCGTCTGTATCATAAACCAAGTTCCCTTGATGTTACTCTTCATTTCGGCCTCACAATCTTTGCTTATTTTCCTTCTACCAGGGATGCTTTTCGCTATGTTCCTTTCAGGGCTACCTTCCTCTTGTCCCTTCAGATCGCAGTTCAAATGTCATCCCCCTCAAATCTAGATTGCTCTACAGGCATTTCTGGCTCCGTGATCCCATGACCTCAAAGGGGTCTAGGTGGGCATAGCCTCTAGCCAGTTGTTGCTAGGCTGTTGTCAGGACTGGCGATGCGTAGGCCACTGAGAGCACCCGGAGTCCGAGTGACGGAATCAGGCGGGCGCCCGCGTCGCTAAGGAGTGCGTCACAGTGCGCGGGCGGCCGGGGGCAGGGCCAGGGCTGAGTCACGTGGCTTGGTTGCCTACGCGCTGGTGGGCCGTGGGAAGATGGCGGACGGAAAGGGAGACGCCGCCGCTGTCGCCGGGGCTGGGGCTGAGGCTCCGGCGGTAGCGGGAGCCGGAGATGGAGTCGAGACTGAGTCCATGGTTCGGGGTCATCGCCCCGTATCTCCAGCGCCGGGAGCCTCGGGACTGCGGCCGTGTCTGTGGCAGCTGGAGACAGAGCTGAGGGAGCAAGAGGTGTCGGAGGTCTCATCTTTGAACTACTGCCGGAGCTTCTGCCAGGTGAGGGGCTGACTGGCTGGCTGAGGGCGGCGGGGCGGGGAAGTCAGGGAAGGAGGCCCTGGATCCTCTGTAAGCAGCCGGGTCCAAACTGAAAGGCGCCACCTCCGTGACTCGCCGCGCCCCCGGGCCGGGAAGGCCCAGCTCGGAAGCTCGACCGCTGGCCCCCCTGCGCCACTGCCCGACTTTGGCCACCGCTGGGTCGTTTTGCTCTGAGCCTTACTGAGATCCCGGAGGGCCCTGGCGGGTCCCTGGAAGGGCTGTGCCCTGTCGCCGTTGCCTGTGTCCTGGCCGGGTGGTTGGAGCGCCACTGCCCCCTGAGGGATTGATTGCTTGTCCCTGCCGGGAGATCCTTTTTTGAGTGGAGTGCAGATCTCCGAACTGGTAAACCCGGGTTTTTCTGAATAATCCAGAGAGGTGTGTTGGGGCCAGAGACTTATTTTTGGAGTTAACATCTTCTGGGCTCCTAAAAGGTATGACAGTTGGCTTCGAAAGGCGTCTAGAGCTTTCTGATTAGGGATTGCGGAGCCGGTTGGTTGTTTGGTTTTTGCTTTTTTTTTTTTTACGTTTAAGCCGTTCTTTCGTCTTTTCTGTATTTCTTTGAGAGGATTGTGCTACCGAGAATAAGGCTGACTCTTTGAGTAGAAGAGGATGGGAAGAGGGATGTAGAGTGTGGCCTCTTTTGGCAGTCGTATGATCATTTCTGTGCCTTGGTGGGTCCTAACCTATGATTACATATTTATGGGTGTGTTTAGTTTAGTCTCCATGACCACTCCGAGATTTTTCTGTATGTTTTCAAGTCTTTTACAAATACAAATATTGGCCATTATTATTTCTGCTTCCAATGTTTGTTCTGTCAGGTTTCAGAGGCACCCATCAGCTCCTTATCTGTTGTACCTTAGAAAATGCAAAATAATCGTGGCATGTTGGTACTTGGAGTCTAATAAGTAGTCCAGTATGCTGAATAAATTGCGGCGTTCTAAAATAATAATTTTGGGGGGCAATTTGCTCTGTTGGTCCGGAGTAGAATAAAAGTTAGCTTGCTTGATTGCTTTTCTTCCCTCTCTCTGCCGAGGCAGAAGCACCTCATCTCTCTGAATGGAATTTTGTCCTTACTAATCTTTTCCGTGGATTGTACCACTCCAATTTTTGTGTGTACAACCTGCAACATTGCCCTGTACTATTAAATGTTAACGTGTTGTTGTTCTCTGCTTCCTTAGTAGTAGTCATCCCTGTTTAGTAAGCTCATTTATTTTACAGATTTTTACTGACTTCATAGGATAGTGCCAGGGACTTTACCAAGTGCTGGGGAAACATGAGTAAGACAGCACTTAGCCTTGATGAACTTACAGTTGGTGGGAGGTGGTAGGAATGACAGTATTTCCAGTGCGGTTTTGGTAATGATGGAAAAGGAGGTGTTGTAGAGACAATGGTGAGGAGAGAGCCTTCATGGGATATCCTGATGGGAAAGACAATTAACTAGAAAAATAAGTAAAAAGGTTAATTATAAATTGTAGTATGTGCTTAGAAAGAAGTAACTGGGAGAGGCCACTTTAGTTAGTAAGACCCTATGGGCTGCAAGGATGAAAATGAGTCACGTGAAGGTCTGGGGTGGGGAAAGCATCCCAGTGCCAAAGGTAGAGATTGGTAAGGACCCAGAATGCTATGGGAGGAGGGGAAACTAATGGAAGGAGAGGGGTGGTGCAGGAAAACAACTGTGGGTTTTGGGTAAGGCTTCTAAGCTTGAGTTGTCTCCCTGGAAAGATGACAAGAATGAATGTAACCAGTCACATTGAAGCTTGTCAAAGGATCACATATATATGTATTCTGCTTTATGTCTAGTGCTTGCAACTGCAGTTTTGTTTAAGGTAATGTTTTAATGTCTTGAGTCTTGGTGACACCAGAGATGTGATGGCCCAGAAGAATTTTTAAAAGAAAGCATGTGTAATTTGTCTTTTCTATGAAGTTTTTTTTAACCTAAAATTTTCCCAAAAAATGTTTTTTAGACTAATAAATGAAACAAGAACAAGTATTCCTGTAACACTGTATTGTAATAGAAAGCACATGGGATTGGGAGTTAAGTTGGGTCTTGACTGTGACTTTACCACTGCTTAGCTAATAACCTTGGGTAACCATGTCTGCAAAACTATCTTATTTTCTGACCTTTATCTCCTTATAATGCTTTATACAATCAGAATAGAAAATTTGTGTACAAGTCTTCACAAAATTTATCATATTTTTGACACATTTTCCCCTGTAGTCCAGATAAGATCAACTGTGTCCTTGATGACCAGATAGAGAAAAAGTAAAAATTGTATGAAGAAGCAGGAAAATTTTCACCATCAGTAAATTTTGTTGAATAGCTCTTGGTTTCACATTTGAAAAGAAGAATAAGATATATTCATTTACTTAAGGAACACTGATTGTGTGACAGTTCTGAAGGTGGGAGCCTAGTTAAGACAGTTTTCTCGGACTCTAGGAGAGGAGCACATAATATATAAAGATAGATTGTAGGCATTTTTACATTATAAAGGTCTGACCCCTGCTTATGGGATGCTTAATACTACAAATGTATTTTCATCAGTTATTTAGTTAGAAATGTCCTAGAGACTTAGATTGTACCAAGTAATCCCTTTTGCAACATCCTGGGACCATATTCTCTCCAACTCTTGCAGCACTTAAAAGAAATGGCTCTATCTTTGGGATTGCACCAAATCAAGAAATAAACTAACATATGAGTGAATAGAGAAGCTTGTCTCATTCTGGGCATATTTTCAATTTTCATAAGTTTGTGAAGATGATAAAATGAAACACTGAAAGTAATACTTACTAAGAAAATGATACTTAGGTCAAACTGTATTCAGTGAAAATTGGTATTAAGTGACTATGGGATGTGGTTTGTTTTCCTCTTTCCTTCAGTTCCTTTTCTGAAACCACTGCCAGACAGTGTGGATAAGATTAACTTTAGAAAACAGTCTTTCTTTGTTTTCTTGAAAAATTGATGATGTCTTCTCAAGTTTTTCCTGTATTTTGGGGACCAGGATTCCTTAAGTTTTACAATTGGTGTCTCTATTTGTAACACAAATTTTGAAGACTTTTTTTTTAGTAAACTTCATTATCAAAATTGAAATTATTGAGTGATTATGTGATTACACTTTGAGAATACTGGGCAAAGTAATTTTATGAGTAAACCACGTTTATATGAGACACTTTTAGGTTCAAGACTAACAGTGACTTCGTAGATTTTTGATGGCTAAAATAAGTAAGTACTCCATTAAAATTTCCATTTTTCCTAGATTAGTGATGGGGAGTACAAGGGCTCTGAGTCAGATAGCCTATGTACTGGCTTCACTATTGAAATAGTTGTGTGACCTTGGGCATGTTATTTTCCTTAAACGTTAATTCTTTTGCAAATGGATAATAGTACTTAAGTTTTGTAAGCAAATTCATTGTTGTAAGGACTTAATAAGAAAATATCTATTTTTAAAAATGCCTTCAGAATTGTCTGTGTTATCCAGATTTCTTAGCTTTGTAATAAAAAGTTTTCACAACCTTGGTCTCAGCATGCTTTTCAGCCCTCCCCTTGTCAGTCCCATCACCTGAATCCAACTTGTTTACTCCTATTCAGGAGTTCTTTACTTGGAGTCAGTCCATGGACCAACATGTGATTGCAGTTATTCCTGTGATTAAAATTTTGTCTGTAAGTTTCCAAGCACATAATTTTGGGAAAGATGATTTTAATTTTCATTTGACTTCTCAAGATCCAATAAACGTATTAACTACGTTAACGAGATCTCAGGCCGTGTCTTTCCCTTTCATTGTGTGGTTCTCTCATTTTCTGCATGGGAGATTTTTCTTCTTTAGGGCCCAGTATAAATGTCATCCCTTCTGTGAAGCTTTTCCTGATTTACCAGATAGGTTTCCTCTTATTTGTTTGGGATTTTTTTGGGGGGACACTGTACATACCTGTAGTTTTAACTCTTAATTTTATTGCTGTCACTGTCTTCATTCAGGCTTTCTCCTGTTGCAGCAACCTCTTCACTAATCTCTTGTTTTCTGACTGACATCTGCAGTTCATCTTTGTGTTCTTTCTAAATTATAAATATAATCTTGTTCGTCACTTTATTCCCTAAAATACCTCAATTCCTCCCCCCCCTCCGCCAAAGGAAAGATAAAGTTCAAACTTATTAGCTTGGTATACAAAGCCTTTTAGAATCCAGACCACCAACTCCCATTTTCCCAGCCTCATTAAAAAAGTTGGTTTGATCCCACCTTCACCACTGTGTCCATTTCTCACTCTGCCTAAATAACCCGGGGTCTTCCTTTCCCCATCTACCTATTTATCCTTTAAGACCTGGCTCTAATATTATGGTCTTTCAGCTTTTTCTGATTTCAGCAGGCAGAATTAGGTGGTTCTTTCTCCAATGCATTCTATTAGCTTCCAGTACATAAACGTGGTGCCTACATAATTTGTTTCCATGTTTGTCTTTTGTATTGACTTGTAAATCAACAAGAGCAGGGGTCTTGTTTATTCTTTTTTGTATACTTAGTACCTAGCAATTAGTATGATGCCTGGCACACAAAACTAATTTGTTAAATCAATTGTAGGGACTTCATGATACACACATGAGATAGACACTTAAAACAGTACTTTAGGGGGAACCTCTAATGTAAAATCTAGTATGTAAAAAGCAAATTAACCATAAGAAATTACTATAAAGGGAGAGGTTGTGGAGAAATAGGAACACTTTTACACTGTTGGTGGGACCGTAAACTAGTTCAACCATTGTGGAAGACAGTGTGGCGATTCCTCAAGGATCTAGAACTAGAAATATAGAAATACCATTTGACCCAGCCATCCCATTACTGGGTATATACCCAAAGGATTATAAATCATGCTGCTTTAAGGACACAGGCACACGTATGTTTATTGCAGCACTATTCACAATAGCAAAGACTTGGAACCAACCCAGATGTCCATCAATGATAGACT
This sequence comes from Homo sapiens, assembly GCF_000001405.40. Lineage (NCBI taxonomy): Eukaryota > Metazoa > Chordata > Mammalia > Primates > Hominidae > Homo > Homo sapiens. The sequence goes on from NC_000001.11 coordinate 40,166,627, forward strand.
GGATTAAGAAAATGTGGCACATGTACACCATGGAATACCGTGCAGCCATAAAAAAGGATGAGTTCATGTCCTTTGTAGGGACATGGATGAAGCTGGAAACCATCATTCTGAGCAAACTATTGCAAGGACAGAAAACCAAACACCGCACGTTCTCACTCATAGGTGGGAATTGAACAGTGAGAACACTTGGACGCAGGGTGGGGAACATCACACACCGGGGCCTGTTGTGGGGTGGGGGGAGGGGGGCGGGATAGCATTAGGAGATATACCTAATGTAAATGACGAGTTAATGGGTACAGCACACCAACATGGCACATGTGTGCATGTGTAACAAACCTGCATGTTGTGCACATGTACCCTAGAACTTAAAGTATAATTTTAAAAAAAAAGAAATTACTATAAAGGAACAGGATAGGAGCTTTTGGCCATTTCTTGGAGACATTATTTATCAATCTAAGCCTACATTCATATAATAATGTATACATTTACACGTGTGCAGTGAGGAATAGCATTGATGGAGAGAGAAAATGAGAGGCCTAGTATTGAGGAAGAGTAGTCACCTAATAGGACAATAGTTTGGAGATGCCAAGATGGGTATAATCAGTCCCCTTACCTTGAGGTTGATGGCCATGAAGGCTCTTGAGCCTTACCTCTTTCATATATTTCAAGAAGTTTTTAATGCATTAGCTTCTCTTCTTGCGCTGCCTTCTTTTTAGCGATATCTAAATAGAAACTACATGACAAGTAGTTATCATAGCAAAAGCTAGCTTTGTAATGCACATGACAAAAACATAGTATAAATGTGACCCGTGAAGCAGTGAAAACTTTGGGTGCTGTCATTTACTGTGGTACCATCTTGTCTCTTACTGTGTACTGTGACCTCTAGTGGTTTCTGTTTCTTCCATGGATCATACTCTTCTGAATAGTGTTGACAAAAACTTACTGCAAGACTGCAAAGACTAAAACGTGTTTTATTTTCATTCAGATCTAGATACTTGTCACCTTTCCCAGTGACCTTCCTTGACTGTCTTATCTAAAATAGCACTTCCCTATTGCCTTTCACCTCTTTAAGTACTGCTTTATTTTTCTTCAAATCACTACTAATCTTGTATGTCCGTCTCCCCAACTGGGATGTAAGTGCCATGAAGGTGTTGGCTTTTATTTACCTAGTGCCTAGTCTCTAAAACTTAATGGGTACTCACTAAATGCTTGTTGATCTTGATCTCCTCCCTTTCCTGTATCTCCCACTTGAATTTTTGAGAGTAATAAGCAAGTCTTAACTGTCTTTATCAAGAAATAGGGACATTTGGCCAGCTGTGATGGCTCATGCCTGTAATCCCAGCCAGCACTTTGGGAGACCAAGACGAGAGGATCCCCTGAGCCCAGGAGTTCAAGACCAGCCTGGGCAACTCTACAAAAAAAAAAAAATTAAAAATTAGCCAGGTGTGGTAATATTAGCACACCTGTGATCCCAGCTACTCAGGAGGCTGAGGCAGGAGGATCACTTGCGCTCAGGAGGTTGAGGCTGCAGTAAGCCATATTCGTGCCACTGTACTCCAGCTTGGGCAACAGAGTGAGACCTTGTCTCAATAAATAAATAAATAGAAAGATACTTTTTGTTTGTTTGTTTGTTTGTTTTTGAGACAGAGTCTTTCTCTGTTGCCCAGGCTGGAGTGCAATGGTAAGATAGCCCACTGCAACTTCCGCCTCCTGGGTTCAAGCGATTCTCGTGCCTCAGCCTCTAGAGTGGCTGGGACTACAGGTGTGTGCCACCACGCCCAGCTAATTTTTATATTTTTAGTAGAGATGGGGTTTCGCCATGTTGGCCAGGCTGGTCTCGAACTTCTGGCCTCAAGTGATCTGCCCACAGCTTCCCAAAGTGCTGGGATTACAGGCGTGAGCCATTGCACCCGGCCAAGAAAGAAAGAGACATTTTTTTGTCAACCAGTTTATCCTGCTTCCCAGCAGGGATCACACCTTATTGTTCTTTGTATCTTGATCACCTAAGAGTAGAACCTCATTTTTATTACATAGTAAAATGTTTCATATAAAATGCATTAAATTTTATATAAATAATATGTTTTGGCCGTGCACGGTGGCTCTCCCCTGTAATACCAGCACTTTGGAGGCCAAGGCGGGTGGATCACCTGAGGTCAGGAGTTCGAGACCAGCCTGGCCAACATGGTGAAACCCCATCTCTACTAAAAATACAAAAAATTAGCCAGGTGTTATGGCAGGCACCTGTAACCCTAGCTACTCAGGAGGCTGAGGCAGGAGAATCACTTGAACCTGGGAGGCAGAGGTTGCAGTGGGCAGAAATCATGCCGTTGCACTCCATCCTGGGCAACAAGAGCAAAACTCCGTCTCAAAAAAAATAATAATATGTTTTAACATAAATAAACATTTATATAATAAAACTCATTGCTGTCACAAGGCCAACATACAATCCATTATATGAAAAATTTGAGGGACTGAATAATTTATTGAGGATCTTTTTGTGTGCCAAGCCCTCAGGTGGGTAGTGTGATTTTTCATTTTACAGACAGAAAACTGAGGTCCAGAGACGTTAAGTAACTTTCCCAGGATCACACAGCTGGCAAGTGGTGGTGAGTTCTTTAGACTGTAGAGCCTATGTTCTTTTTTCTTATATCAGAATTTCCTAAACTGTGTTTCACTCCGTATGATATATTTATTAATAAGTGCTTCTCGGCCGGGCGCGGTGGCTCACGCCTGTAGTCCCAGCACTTTGGGAGGCCGAGGCGGGTGGATCATGAGGTCAGGAGATCGAGACCATCCTGGCTAACAGGGTGAAACCCCGTCTCTACTAAAAATACAAAAAATTAGCCGGGCGCGGTGGCGGGCGCCTGTGGTCCCAGCTACTCGGGAGGCTGAGGCAGGAGAATGGCGTGAACCCGGGAGGCGGAGCTTGCAGTGAGCCGAGATTGCGCCACTGCAGTCCGCAGTCCAGCCTGGGCGACAGAGCGAGACTCCGTCTCAAAAAAAAAAAAAAAAAAAAAAATAAGTGCTTCTTGAAATAAGGGTTCTATGTTCATATAAGTTGGGATAAGCTTTTTTTTTTTTTTGAGATGAAGTTTCGCTTTTGTTGCCCAGGCTGGAGTGCAGTGACGTGATCTCGGCTCACTGCAACCTCCGCCTCCCGGGTTCAAGTGATTCTCCTGCCTCAGCCTCCCAAGTAGCTGGGATTACAGGTGCTCATCACCACACCCGGCTATTTGTATTTTTAGTAGAGATGGGGCTTCATCATGTTGGCTAGGCTGGTCTTGAACTCCTGACCTCAGGTGATCCACCCACCTCACCCTCCCAAAGTGCTGGGATTACAGGCGTGAGCCACCACACGTGGCCATGGGATAAACATTTTAAATGTTAAAATACGTTGTGAATTTCCAAGAGAGACATTACGTATTGTGCAGCATTTGCCAAACTTACCAGGTCTAGAACATTTTGCCATATTCTAAAGCCTTTATCAGCTCAAGAGTCACATTGCTTTTTTTTTCCACTACAATAAAGCAAAGTGCAGAGGTGAAGAGGTGATTGCCTTGTCTTTCTGCCTGCCACTAGTTTTAATTATTTAGTTTTAGCCTAAAACATAATTCTGAGCTTTTTTTTGTTTTTTGGTTTTTTTTTGAGACAGGGTCTTGCTGTGTCGCTCAGGCTGGAGTGCGGTGGTGCAATCACAGCTCACTGTAGCCTTGTTAGCCTCAACCTCCCAGGCTTAGGCAGTTGTCCCAACCCAGCCTCTCTAGTAGCTGGGACCACAGGCGCGTGCCACCACGCCCTGCTAATTTTTGTATTTTGTAGAGATAGGGTTTCGCCACGTTGTCCAAGCTGGTTTCAAACTGCTGAGCTCAAGTGAGCCTCCCAAAGTGCTGGGATTACAGGTGAGTGCCAACTTGCCCGGCCTCCTTTCATTCTTTAGGCATGTTTCCTTCAGTTCTTTGAATATACAGTTGGTTCTCGCTATTTGCAGATACTGTATTTGTGCATTAGCCTACTTGCTAAAATTTATTTGTAAAACCAGCTGACTCTGACTGAGCTTTTTATGAAAAAATTTCACCTCCAAAGGTTTTGCAGGGATTAAATTATGTGTATTTGTTACATATGAAAAATATTTTAGTGTATTATAATTTGGGGAAAGTAGAGAATGAGTTATATTTCAGACGTATCTTGAGTCAAGATTTATTCTTATAGGTTTACCTATATTGCTGCAACATAGGTAGGCCGGGATTACTAATGTATTTGTTTATTTCTCGCCACTTGTGCTAAGTCTGATTACTGTCTTTTTGAGTGCTATTGTTATTATTATTAGTAGTAGTAGTATTTGGATCTAGCAGCTTATGGTGCTGACATTTGATTTGATAGTGTTTTTGTTTGTTTGTTTGTTTGTTTGTTTTAATTTAGAGACAGGATCGTACTCCCTTGCTCAGGCTAGAATGCAGTGGTACAATCTTAGCTTACAGTAACCTCAAACTCTTAGGCTCAAGTGATCCTCCCACCCCAGCCTCTCAAATATCTAGGACTACAGGTGCATGCCACAGTGCCCAGCTAATTGAAAAATAATTTTTGTAGAGACAGGGTCTCACTGTATTGCCCAGGCTGGTCTTCAACTTGAGGCCTTAAGTGATCCTCCCACCTCAGCCTCCCAAGGCACTGGGATTAGAGGCGTGAGCCACCACTCCCAGCCTGATTTCTCAGTATTCTTACTCCCAAGGAAATAACCTGAATGTGTCACGTTAGCCAGCACAATTTCTTATTAATGTGGACATTTGTTATAAGAATTGTTATTGTATATGATAAAATGTATATCCTTGCTTGGGAATTGCATTTTTATGATATATAATTTTATAAAATAGGCATATTTTTGTGATTCTGTTGTCTTTGCTTTTTTCAGGTATATGTTTAAAATATATAAAGTATCCTAAAGTAATAAAGCAGATGTAAACATTTTAGTTTTTGTGACTCAAAACTAGTGGATGCTCATTCTAGAAACTTAAAACAAGATTTACAAATAGATGAATTAGATAGTGAAAGTACCATATAAACTCACTTTTAATAGCTTGGTGTATTTATCAGATTTTTGGAAAAATACATATAGAATGTGTGTTTATATAAATATTACAATTTCTAATTGTGCAAACAACTCATGCATACATTCTAATTGTTAAAAATTAGAACAGTATAAAAGGGGAGAATAAGAAGTAAAAGCTCCTGTCATATACACTCTTATGTATTCCAGTACTACCTTTTCCTAGGTAGACCATTGTTAACAGTTTAGGAATGCATATCTATAGAATTTTTCTGTATGATGTGTACATATATATGTACTATTTTTAGAAAAGGTTTCAAGCTTATATACTAAAACCTGCTTATTATTGTAGACATCTTTTCACGTAGAATATGTGTAGACTTACTGTATTTAAGAAATAAATGCATGGTATTCCATCAGAAATTGCATTGATTTTAAATTCTACAGGTAGCAACACCTTCAACACTCTTAACTAAAAAAAAATTTTTTTTAAACTATAAAAGCACTTCTTGTGGCAAAAAATACAGTACAGAGGGTTTAAGGAAAAGTAAAAGCCTCTTTCCTTCTGCCCTCAATCTTTCCAGTCACTTCCCAGAGGAAATTACTGTTAACAGTCTTGTGTGTCCTTAAAAACACAAGTACTCATCCTTTTGCAATTTACTTTTTAATTTGATATGTTGACCCTTTATGAGTACATTTGGAGCATGCACCATAATTTAAACATTTGTGTTATTTTGTTATTATAAACAGTGTCCCATGAACTTCCTTAAATATTAAGTGCTGGTTATTTCTATCTATAATATAAATTCCTGGAATTGAAATTATAGGATTAGGCCGGGTGCGGCGGCTCACACCTGTAATCCCAGCACTTTGGGAGGCTGAGGCGGGTGGATCACCTGAGGTCAGGAGTTCGAGACCAGCCTGGCCAACATGGTGAAACTCTGTCTCTACTAAAAATACAAAAATCAGCAGGTAGTCCCAGCTACTCTGGAGGCTGAGGCAAGAGAATTGGTTGAACCCAGGAGGCAGAGGTTACAGTGAGCTGAGATTGCGTCACTGCACTCTATCCTGGGCAACAGAGTGAGATGCCAACTCAAAAACAAAAATGACTGGATTAAAGAGGATGTTTAAGTTTTGATGGATACTTGCCTGTACTCTATCCTGGGCAACAGAGCGAGACACTGACTCAAAAAAAGAAATTACTGGATTGAGAGAATGTTTAAGTTTTGATGGATACTTGCCTACAAAAAGTTGAATATGTACTTCCGCCAATAGTGTTTGGGAGTCCCCGTTTTACTAAATCCTTGCCAATGCTTGTATTATTAAACTTATTAATATTTGACAATCTGATAGGAAAGAATTATCAGATTGTTACACTAATTTGCATTTTAGTAACATTCAGGTTTTTTTTTTTTTTTTTTGTGAGGCAGAGTTTTGCTCTTATTGCCCAGGCTGGAGTGCAATGGTGCGATCTCGGCTCCCCGCAATATCTGCCTCCCGGGTTCAAGCGATTCTCCTGCCTCAGCCTCTTGAGTAGCTGGGATTACAGGCATGCGCCACCACGCCCAGATAATTTTGTATTTTTAGTAGAGATAGGGTTTCTTCATGTTGGTCAGGCTGATCTTGAACTCCTGACCTCAGGTGATCCTCCCGCCTTGGCCTCCCAAAGCTCTGGGATTACAGGTATGAGCCACCACGCCTGGCCTACATTCAGGTATTTTTATATGTATCAGACATTTACATTTTTTTTTGTGAGGTTTACCTTTTTCATATATTATGACTATTTAAAAATGTTGTTAAAAGTCATTAAAACTAGATTTTGTCCAATCATTATGATCATGTAATTTTTTTTTTTTTTTTTAAGACAGAGCCTTGCTCTGTTGCTTAGGCTGTAGTGCAGTGTTACAATCTCAGCTCACTGCAACCTCTGCTTCCTGGATTCAGGTGATTTTCATGCCTCAGCTTCCTGAGTAGCTGGGATTACAGGTGTGTGTCATCACACCCAGCTAATTTTTTGTATTTTTAGTAGAGACGAGGTTTTGCCATGTTGGCCAGGCTGGTCTCAAACTTCTGGCCTCAAGTGATCCGCCCACCTTGGCCTTCCGAAGTGCTGGGATTATAGCCGTGAGCCACCGTGCCAGGCTGATCATGTAATCTTGAGATTTTAGGTCTCTTTGAAGTTCTCATGAAGCGGAACATGTCCAAAGAATTATAATTAGAGCTATAGCCTAACCTGAAGCCATTGGGATGTGTGATACACTTTTGTGATTGATGGTGGCTCTGTGAGAGGTTTGTCAGTGTAGTCATTTATTGATCTCTTATAATCAATTCTTCTAAACTCTGGAAGACTAAGTCATAGCTGAGTAACTGGAAAGACTGTAGTGCTTTCCATTAGCTAACTTTAAAAAATGTTGTGACCTGGCCGGGCACGATGGCTCACGCCTGTAATCCCAGCACTTTGGGAGGCTGAGGCGGGTGGATCATGAGGTCAGGAGTTTAAGACCAGCCTGGCCAAGATGGTAAAACCCTGTCTCTACTAAAACTACAAAAATCAGCTAGGCGCAGTGGCAGGCGCCTGTAATCCCAGCTACTCGGGAGGCTGAGGCAGGAGAATCGCTTGAACCCTGGTGACAGAGGTGGCAGTGAGCCAAGATTGCACCACTGCACTCCAACATGGGTAACAGAGTGAGACTCTGTCTCAAAAAAAAAAAAAAGTGACCTTTATATGTTTTCAAATAGAGTGCCACCAAATGGGTATATGACCTTGGGGCAAGTCAGCTTGTTATTTGGGTGCCTCATATTGCTCCCTAAATGAGATGCTCTTTAAGGTTTGATTCTGCTCCAAAATTATATAACTCTATTGAAAAATGTTTGCTATATAAGATTCATTTTCTAAGTCATCTCCAAATATTTGTCTTGTCTATTCTTATCAAAATAAATTAATCTTTTAAAAGTATGTTTTATTTGTACCATACCTATATATTGTATAAAACAGACACAGAAATACATAAAAGGGGTGAGATTTTTAAAAACTCATTTGAATATAAGTATTAATATTATATTCCTTCTCCCTGATGGATTATTATTTGCCCCTGTAGAATAAGTGCCCATGCCAGTGGAAACTACTGATTAGAACTGAAAGTATTTGCGTTAGTTATGCTCACTCTCTTTATTTGGTTTTTTCTTCATAGTGAAATCTTGATTTCAGTCTTTAAAGGACATTGTCAATGAAAATGTTAAATCAAAGGGCCAAGCACAGTGGCTCACACCTGTAATCCCAGTGCTTTGGGAGACCAAGGCGGGAGGATCTCTTGAAGCCAGGAGTTCAAGACCAAGACTGGGCAACGTAGTGAGACCCTGTCTCTACAAAAACTTTTTAAAAGTTAGTTGGGCATTTTGGTGTCTTAGCTATTTGGGAGGCTGAGGCAGGAAATCCCTGAAGCTGAAGAGTTTGAGGTTACAGTGAGCTGTGTTTGTGCCACTGCATTCCAGCCTGAGCAGGAGAACCAAGACTCTGTTCTGTTATGGTGGGGGTGGGGGGGGGAGTTAAATCTAGACCAGACGTTCCCATAAAGTTCTAACAGTAAATGTGCATAAAACATCACATTTGGATCAATCTTGTGTTTTATTGTCACGTGAAATGGAGAACATATATGTATATTTGAACCTAACAAGATTTCACTTAAAATTCTCATTCTGGCCAGGCACGGTGGCTCACATCTGTAATCCCAGCACTTTGGGAGGCCTAGGCAGGCGGATCATGAGGTCAGGAGTTCGAGACCAGCCTGGCCAGTATGGTGAAACCCTGTCTCTACCAAAAATACAAAAATTAGCTGGGCGTGGTGGCAGGTGCCTGTAATCCCGGCTACTTGGGAGACTGAGGCAGGAGAATTGCTTGAACCCGGGAGGCGGAGGTTGCAGTGAGCTGAGATCGAGCCATTGCACTCCAGCCTGGGCGACAGAGTGAGACTCCGACTCAAAAAAATAATAATAATTCTCATTCTATTCGGGAGGCTGAGGCAGGAGAATCTCTTGAACCCGGGAAGTGGAGGTTGCAGTGAGCAGAATTGTGCCACTGCACTCCAGCCTGGGTGACAGAACAAGACTCCATCTCAAAAAAAAAAAAAAAAAAGTACAATTTGGTGCACTTTGGCATATCTTAATATCCATGAAACCATCAAGATTATGATTATATCCATCATCCCTAGAAGTTTCTTCCTACTGCTTTGTATTCCCTTTCTTACCCTCCTCTTGTATACATACCCTCCCATCCCCACTTAACTACTGATTTGCTGTCTCTATAAATTAGATTGCATTTTTAAGAATTTTATATAAATACTATAATCATATAGTCTCTCTTTTTTGGTGTCTCTGTATAATTATTGAAATTCATTCATCTTGTATATATCAGTAGTTTATTTTATTGATGAGTATTCATTATATGGATATATCATGATTTGTTTATTTACCTATTGATAGACATTTGAATTGTTTCCAGTTTTTGACTACTACAAATCAAGCTGTTAGGAACATTTTGTGTGGAAGTCTTTGTATGGACAGATGCTTTTTCTTTTCTTTTGGGTAAACACCTAGGTGGAATGGCTGGGTCAGATGACAGGTTTTCCAGAGTAGTTGTATTTTACATTCACATCAGCGCTGTATGAGAGTTCTAGTTTTCTATCTCCTCACTAACACTTGGTGTGGCCAGTGTTTTTCATTTTAGCCACTCTAAAATTGCTGTTAGTTCATTGTGATTCTAATTTGCATTTCCCTAATGGCTTTTTAAAATTTTGAGATAGGGTCTTACTCTGTCACCCAGGCTGCAGTGGTGTGATCTTGGCTCACTGCAGCCTCTGCCTCCCAGGCTCAGGTGATTCTCCCACGACAGCCTCCCAAATAGCTGGGACCACAGGCTTGTGTCACCACACCTGGCTAATTTTTTTGTATTTTTTTATAATGGCGGGATTTTGCCACATTGCCCAGATTGGTCTCAAACTTTTGGTCTCAAACGATCCTCCCGCCTTGGCCTTCCAAAATGCTGGGGTTACAGGCGTGAGCCAGTGTGCCTGGCCCTAATGACTTATGTCAAGTGTCTTTTCATATGTTTGTTTGCCATCCTTATATCTTCTTTGACGAAGTGTCCAAATCTTTGCCATTGAAAAATAATTGTTTTCTTATTGTTGAATTTTGAGAGGTGTTGTGTTTATGTTTCTGATATATGCTTTGCAAAGATTTTCTCCCTAGGTTGTGCCTTCTCTCTTTTTATTATTCTCTTAACAGTATATTTCTTTCTTTTTTATTTATTTCTTTTTTTAATTAATTAATTTTTTTTTTTGAGACCGAGTCTCACTTTGTCGTCCAGGCAGGAGTGCAATGGCGCGACCTTGACTCACTGCAACCTCCGCCTCACAGGTTCAAGCGATTCTCCTGCCTCAGACTCCTGAGTAGCTGGGAACAGGCGCCCACCACCACACCCGGCTAATTTCTGTATTTTTAGATGAGACAGGGTTTCGCCATGTTGGCCAGGCTGGTCTTGAACTTCCGACCTCAAGTGATCTGCCCGTGCTGGGATTATCAGCATGAGCCACCACAACCGGCCTTAACAGTGTATTTCTTTCTTTCTTTTTTTTTTTTTGGGAGGCGGAGTCTTGCTCTGTCACCCAGGCTGGAGTGCAGTGGTGTGATCTCAGCTCACTGCAAGCTCCGCCTCCCGGGGTCACACCATTCTCCTGCCTCAGCTTCCCAAGTAGCTGGGACTACAGGCGCCCGCCACCACGCCTGGCTAATTTTTTTTTTGTATTTTTAGTAGAGACGGGGTTTCATGGTGTTAGCCAGGATGGGGTCTATCTCCTGACCTCGTGATCTGCCCGCCCCCACCTCCCAAAGTGCTGGGATTACAGGCGTGAGCCACTGCACCGGCCAACAGTGTATTTCTAAGAACGTAAATTCTTAATATTGATAAATTGTGTTTTTCCCATTATATCTAAGAAATCTGTCTAATCCGAGACCACAGAGATGTTCTGCTATTTTCTTCTGGAGATTGTATAGTTTTAGGTTTTACATTTAAGTCTATGATTCATTTGGAGTTAATTTTTATATACGGTGTGAGGGATGGATGGAAAGTTCTTTAGATATAGATATAGGTATATCTAAACTTTAAAAAAAATCACTCGTGCTTGCTTCAGCAGCACATACATTAAAATTGGAACAATATGGAGAAGATTAGCCTGGCCCCTGTGCAAAGATGACCTGCAAATTTTTGAAGTGTTCTATATTTTTCAGGGAGTCTCAGGCCAAGGATGTCGTCGAAGAGTACTTCAAATGCAGTAAATGAACAGATAAATCTTTGGCTCACAAAAATCTTTGGCTCACAAAAAAATAAAAAACATATATATATATAGATAGGTATATAGATATATCTATAGATATATATGAGTGTTATATAAATATATCTATAGCTATGTATATGAGTGATTTTTTTTAAAGTTGCAGCACCATTTGTTGAAAACCTATCCTTTCTCCACTGAATTGCCTTTGCACCTTATTGAAAATTAGCCATACATGTGTGTCTCATTCTGGATTCTATTCTGTTTCATTGATCTGTTTGTCTACTCTGATGCCAATACCACACTCTTATGTTGCATTTTCAAACAAAATATAATATACTATAAAAGCTATATAGCACATAGAGACAGGAAATAGAATAGTGGTTGCCAAGGGCTAGAAGGAGGGGAGAATGGAGAGTTGTTTTTTAATGAGTTCAGAGTTTCAGCTTTGTAAGATGACAGGAGTTCAGTGGGTAGACGTTCGAGTGGCAGCACAACAATGTAACAATGTGAATACTTAATACCACAGAAATATATACTTAAAAATTGTTCAGATGGTAAATTTTATATGTATTTTACCACCATTTTGAAAAAATAGTTTGAACCCAAAGCTGTCTTTGGTGTTTTTTTTTTTTGTTTTTTTTTTTTTTTTGGAGAGATGGGATCTTGCTATGGTCTTTTTTGTTTTGTGTTTTTTTTTTTTTCCCCAGAGATGAGGGCTTGATATAGTTAGCCCAGGCTGGTCTCAAACTCCTGAGCTCAAGCAGTCCTCCCGCCTTGGCCTCCCAAAGTGCTGGGATTACAGGCATGAGCCACTGGTATCCCGCCTTATCACCATTTTTTATTTTTATTTTTTGAGATGGAGCCTCGCTGTGTCACCCAGGCTGGAGAGCATTGGTGCGATCTCAGCTCACTGCAGCCTCCACATCCCGGGTTCAAGTGATTCTCCTGCCTCAGCTTCCTCAGTAGTTGGGACTACAGGCCTGTGCCACCACGCCCGGCTAATTTTTGTATTTTTAATAGAGACAGCATTTCGCCGTGTTGGCCAGGCTGGTCTGGAACTTCCAGTCTCAGGTGATCCACCTGCCCAGGCCTCCCAAAATGCTGGGATTACAGGCATGCGCCACCACACCCAGCCTTTACCACCATATTTAAAAAAGCTATTTTGTAGGATGCTGGTACAAAATGGGTAGTCAATTTCAGTTGACTGATTTCAGAAAATGAGACCCAGAGAGGTTATCTGGTAATTGATGGGGCAGAGATTTGAAACTGTAGCCAGAATGCCTGTTATTTCCCTCTGTTGTTACACAACTACCTCAGAATTGTAATACTTTTACCCAGCATGATAAAGTTTGAACTTTACAATCTCCAGATTTAAGAAGTATTGTAAGTCAGTCCTTTTAGTAATAATGGCTCGCTAATGCAGAAATGGAGGATGGTTTGAATTTATCCTCCCTGCCCCCAGCCCCCGTCGTCTTCCTTTTGCATGATCATCCACTTCAGTTTCTTGAAAATTTCTAATCCAAAGTCTCTAGACTTAAAGTTAACTCTTTTTTTTTTTTTTGGTACTTTTATTGTGGTAAAGTATACGTAACATAGAATTTGCCATCTTAACCATTTTTGAGAGTACAACTTAGTGGCATTAAGTACATTCACATTGTTGTGCAACCATTACCTCCATCCATCCATCCATCTCCAGAACTTTGTCATCTTCCCAAAGTGAAAGTATGTACCCATTAAATACTAACTCCCCATTCCCTTTTTTCTTCACCTTCTGGCAACCATCATTCTACTATCTGTCTCTATGAATTTGACTACTCTTAGGTACCTCATATAAGTGAAATTGTACAGTATTTGTCTTGTTGTGACTGCCATATTTCACTTAATATAGTGTCCTCAAGATATATCATGTTGTATCATGTCAGAATTTTCTTCCCCTTTAAGACTGAATAATACTCCATTTTATGGATATATCACTTTTGTTCATCTGTTCATGAACACTTGGATTTCTTCCTCCTTTTGGCTATTGTAAATAATGCTGCTGTGAACACGCGTGTACAAATACCTCTTCAAGATCTGCTGTCACTTCTTTGGGATGTGTACACTGAAATGAAATTGTTGGATCATATGGTATTTCTGTTTAATTTTTGGAGGAACCACCATACCATTTTCCAAACCACTGCAGCATTTTACATTTCTACCAGCAATGCACAGGGGTTCCTATTTCTCCACACCCTTGCTAACACTTTTTCTGTTCTTTACTTTTCTTTTCTTTTTTTTGAGACAGGGTCTTGCTTTGTCACCCAGGCTGGAGTGCAGTCACATGATCTTGACTCATTGTAACCTCTGCCTCCTGGAATCAAGTGATTCTCCTGCCTCAGCCTCCTGAGTGGCTGGGATTATAGGCGCCCGCCACCACGCCTAGCTAATTTTTGTATTTTTTTCAGTAGAGACAGGGTTTCACCATGTTGGCCAGGCTGGTCTCGAACTCCTGACCACAAGTGATCAACCTGCCTTGGCTTCCCAACGTGCTGAGATTACAGGTGTGAGCCACTTGGTCTGACCTCTTTTATTTTACATGATAGTCAATCCTAATGGGTGCGAAGTCGTATCTCATTGTGGTTTTCATTTGGATTTCCCTAATTAGTGGTGTTTCATATCTTTTCATGTGCTTATTGGCCATTTGTATGTCTTCCTTGGAGAAATGTCTTTTCAAGTCTTCTGCCCAATTTTTAATTGGCTTGTTTGTTTTGTGTTGTTGAGTTTTAGGAGGTCTTTATGTGTTTAGATATTAATCCATCAACAGATATAAGATTTGCTGTATTTTCTCCCATTTTATGGGTTTCCTTTTTACTCTCTTGATAGTGTCCTTTGATGCACAGAAGTTTTTAATTTTGATGAAGTCCAGTTTATATATTTTTGTGTTGCTTGTGCTTTTGGTATCATAGTCAAAAAATAGTTGCCAAATCCAATGTAATGAAGCTATTTATCTATGTTTTCTCCTGAAGTTTTATCATTTTAGTTCATATGTTTAGATCTTTGATCCATTTCAAGTTGGTTTATGTATATGGTGTAAGGTAAGGTCCAGCTTCAGTCTATTGTATGTGAATATTTGGTTTTCCTAACATTGTTGAATGAAAAGGCTGTCTTTGGCCAGCTGCAGTGGCTCATGCCTGTAATCCCAGCACTTTGGGAGGCCAAGGTGGATGGATTACTTGAGGTCAGGAGTTTGAGACCAGCCTGGCCAATATGGCGAAACCCCATCTCTACTAAAAATACAAAAATTAGCCAGGTGTGGTGGCTCATGCCTGTAGTCCCAGGTACTTGGGAGAACGAGACAGGAGAATCGCTTGAACCTGGGAGGTGGAGGTTGCATTGAGCCGAGATGGCACCACCGCACTCCAGCCTGGGCAGCAGAGCGAGACTCCATCTCAAAAAGAAAAGAAAAGAAAAGAAAATGCTGTCTTTTTCCCTTTGAATGGTCTTGGCATCCTAGGTGAAAATCATTTTCATTTGACCACATATACAAGGATTTATTTCTTGGCTTTCTGTTAGATTCCATTGTTCTGTGTGTCTTTTATGGATAACTCTGTAGTAATTAGGTGTTTAGATTATTAAAGGAATATATGAAAAATTTTCTTGAACTGCAACAGTGATTAAAAGAATGTAAATTGAATAAACAAAGTATTTCTTCTATTAAGCTGATCCTCACAAGTTATATTAAAATTATAATATCTAATAATTGTTACAGCTCCTCAGTCTGTCACCCTGTAACACCAATAATAGGAATGTACATTGGAACAAATTTTCCGGAGCAGAATTTGACACTGTGTAAAGCCTTAAAAATTATCCACCCAGCAATTCCATTTATAGGACATTATTATAAGAAAATTGTCATGGATACATGGGAAAAGTTAGATAAGGGGTGCTCATTTTAGTGTTAGAGGGGTGTTCATCTTAATATTTTATATATAATACTGCAAAGTTAGAAGACATTATGTCCATAAATAAATAATTGGGTAATAAATTGTATCCACACAAAGTTGTGCAGCCATAAAAACACTGACATTGAAGAAAACTTTACAATAAATGGAAAGACGTTATAGCATGATTCTATTAAAATGTTCGGTTTAGGCATTTAAAAAAACCCTCAAGCGGCCGGCATGGTGGCTCATGCCTGTAATTCCAGCACTTTGGGAGCCCGAGGTGAGCAGATCACGAGGTCAAGAGATCGAGACCATCCTGGCCAACATGGTGAAACCCCCGTCTCTACTAAAAATACAAAAAATTAGCCAGGCATGGTGGCGGGCGCCTGTAATCCCAGCTACTTAGGAGGCTGAGGCAGGAGAGTCTCTTGAACCTGGGAGGGGGAGGTTGCAGTGAGCGCAGATTGCGCCACTGCACTCCAGCCTGGTGACAGAGGGAGACTCCGTCTCTAAAAAAAAAGAAAAGAAAAGTAAAGGAAAACCCCTCAAGCTTAATGTATTGCCTGTTAATAGTGGTCTGTTTCTGGGTGGTGGTATTATGGGTTATTAAATTTTTATTTTTGCATATGTATGTAACAATGTTATGTTACTTTTATGACAAGACAGTAAAAGGCATTTTTGAAAATTGAAAATGAAATAAAACTAGAAAGCATAGTTAAATCCTGTGGCAGAATCGGTATCTAAAAATAATCTTAGTAGGCTGAGATTGATGGACTGAATCCAGTGAAGTTTAATCAGGATGGATGAAAAAAGTATAGACAGATAGATAGGTAGATAGATAGATAGATAGATAGATAGATAGATAGATAGAGTAATAAGTTAGTCATATCACTGGCTTTAAGAAAACCACCTATAACCAATATAGAAAATGAGGCAGGGGGCATAGTGGCAGCATATGTTAAAGACTTAGGGGGTTTAATTTACTCTAGCCACTTAACTTTCTGGTTGTAAGCAGCCAGCTGTTCTCTCCCCATTTCATTTCATCTCACTCTCAGCTTAGTCTCTTGATGGCAAACCTCCATCAAGAGGTGGTGCTTCCTCATGCTGACATTTAAGTCTCTTCAGCATTTACTCTGATCTGTTCTAGCCATCTAGTTGTCTATTCATCTTTTCTGACTTTTTTCAAGTTCTTTCTTTGGAGTCCTCCTGTTCCCCTCACTTTTGCTCGTACTTCAGAGATCCATCTCAAGTGCTGCCCTCTCCTGGAAGTCTACCTCTTGTAGTGCAGTCACATTTTACTGAAATGTATAATTCTGGGAATTTCACATGCTGAGAAATTTAAATAAAAGTTTCTTGCTTTATGTGCAAAATTTGAAATAATCCAAACCCCTCTCTATTAGAAAACACATAACTTCCTATTGCCATAGAACATACAGCTTTAAAAAGAAACACTAGCTATCTTTTGTCAGTTTTTTGTGACCCACCAGCATTCTGAAGTACAGGATATCTGTCAGTGCCATTGCTTGAAAACATTCCCCAGAAGCATTCACTTTAGAATGGAAGTTAGATGTTGTAAACTCGGGAAGAAGGCCAAATGATGACCATGACACAACTTGCTACAAAATATTAAAGCTGATGCTGGGGGTGAGGGGGCAGAATTTAAAAGCACACTTAAAATAGTTGAATTGTGAAAAGGCATAAAGAAAGCGTGGTGATTAAGTGTGGGCTGAGGAGCCAGATGGCTCTAGTTCAAATCCTGAATCTAACACCTATTGGATGACTTTGCCCAAATAATTCAATCTCTCATGTTTCCTCATTTAAAAAAAAAAAAAATTCCCAAAAGACAACTTGACAGTGGCTCCTCATTTTTGAAATGGGCTGATAATAACTCCTAGCTCATGGAGTTGTGCATATTAAATAAGTTTAGTGGCCGTAAAGCTCTTAGGAAGTGCCTAACCCATACTATGTGCTCAGTAAATATAATTATTTCATTAGGAAAGTTAATCCTGAACTATGTGAAATTTAAATTGGAATGTATTCTTTAAACATTAAATGTGACCATCCTGAAAGAAATTCTCCTTTCTTGATAGTTTCAAGGAATAGTCAGAATGCTGCCAAGCTCCTTGAAACCATGTAGTGAGAAATGTAGAGAGAATTAAGGGTGAGGGGAGATTTTTTTTGCTTTGAAAATGTAGTCATGCTTATTAAAGAAAATTTGAGAAGTTTAGAAAAGTATAAAGATGACAAAAATTGCTCATATTCCTGCTACCTCAGTGCTAACCATGTAAGCATTTTAGTTAATTTCTTCTAGTCATTTTCCCCTTGGACATTAATTTTTTCAATGTACAGACATACGTGATTATAACACATATACAGAACTAGAGGTTATTTAGCCTAGAGAAGTGAACCAATGTAGCAGTCTAGATGAGGGATATTGGGGGCCTGGTTTAGGTGAATGGCTACAGAGATAAAGCATAGGGACAGGAGACAAAGATATTTCTGAGATAGAATCAACAAACTTTGGTGTGGTGGTTTCAAAGATAGTTTTTTAGCTCTGGCTCCTGAAAGGAGGCAGATGGAACATAGGAGGAAGAGCATATTTGCTGGGGAAGATGTTTGGTTTTGGACATGCTGAGTTTGAGATTTGAATAGGACATCCAGATGGAAATATGTAATAGGCAGTTGAGGTATATAGCAAGGACTTGAGAGAGTAATTTGAGGGTAATCTGCTTGGGATGTGAATGAGAGCACCGAATAGTCAAATATGGTGCGTAAGTGAGCTAATTTTTTACTTATATATCTGACCCCTTAGTATATATCATAGCCTTTCAAGGGCAGGAATAGAGTCTCCATCCTTACTTCCCAGCACAGTACAAAATAGTAGGTATTTGTGGAATGAGTTTACTGAAACAAAAGAGAGAGGTCATTAATTTGGTCACTGTAGAATGAACTTTAGGAGGTCATCTTTATCATTTATTGCCCCTTTTCTCTTCAGTTGTGATTTCAGTTCCTAAAGAAAAATAAGAGACCGTGGCTGGGTACAGTGGCTCACACCTGTAATCCCAGCACTTTGAGAGGCCAAGGTGGGAGGACCACTTGAGGCCCAGGAATTTGAGACCAGACTGGGCAGCAAAGAGACCCTGTCCCTACAAAAAAAAAGTTTTTTTTAATTGGCTGGGCATGGTGATGCACTTCTCCAGTCCTAGCTACTCAGGAGGCTGAGGTGGGTGGGAGAGAGGATCACTTGAGCCTAGGAGTTTGAGGTTATAGTGAGCTGTGATTGAACCACTGAACTCTAGCCGGGTTCAAGCAATTCTCCAGCCTCAGCCTCCCAAGTAGCTGGGACTAGAGGCATGCGCCACCACGCCCGGCTACTTTCTGTATTTTTAGTAGAGACAGGGTTTCACCATGTTGGCCAGGCTGGTCTGAACTCCTGACCTCAAGTGATACACCTGCCTCGGCCTCCCAAAGTGCTGGGATTACAGGCGTGAGCCACCTTGCCTAGTCCAGTTTTTTAAATGCAAGATTAGGTTGAAAGGATTACAGCCATCCTGTTATTTGGATGGCTGTAATCCTTTCAACCTAATCTTGCATTAAAAAAAAAAAAAAAAAAAAAAAAAAGCCGGGCGCAGTGGCTCCCAGCACTTTGGGAGGCCGAGGCGGGCAGGTCACGAGGTCAGGAGCTCGAGACCATCCTGGCTAACACGGTGAAACCCCGTCTCTACTAAAAATACAAAAAAAAAAAAAAAAAAAAAATTAGCCGGGCATGGTGGCGGGTGCCTGTAGTCCCAGCTACTTGGGAGGCTGAGGCAGGAGAATGGCGTGAACCTGGGAGGTGGAGCTTGCAGTGAGCCAAGATCGTGCCACTGCACTCTAGCCTGGGCTGACAGAGTGAGACTGTCTCAAAAAAAAAAAAAAAGCAAAAAAAAAAAAAAAAAAAAAACCACAAAGGCTGGATGCGAGGTGGCTTTTGCCTGTAATCCCAGCACTTGGGGAGGCCAAGGCAGGCGGATCACTTGAGGTCAAGAGTTCGAGACCAGCCTGGCCAAAATGGTGAAACCCCATCTCTACTAAAAACAGGAAAATTAACCGAGCCTGGTGGCGCACAGTTGTAATCCCAGCTACTCAGGAGCCTGAGGTGAAAGGATCCACTTGAATCTGGGAGGTGAAGGTTGCAGTGAGCCGAGATTTCACCACCGCACCCCAACCTGGGTGACAGAGTGAGACTTGATTAAAAAAACAAAAAGAAAGAAAGAAAATGCCTGGCTAGCCACAGTGGTTCATGCCTGTAGTCCCAGCTACTTGGGAGGCTGAAGTGGGAGGATCACCAGCAGTGATAGAATGAGACTCTATCTCAATTTAAAAAAAAAGTGATAATGAAGAAGATTGATTATTCCAGCCATTCTTCACATACCCAGAGTATGCTTATAGTGGGTATAAGAGATCTCACTACTTAATTTGAACCAACACATGAGGGGGTAAAGATTTAGGAATATAAAAAGTATAAATTAGTATAGAGCAAACTGGAAGTTCCTCAAGAGTATTGAATCTTTGAAATTGTGTAGCTTACAGAAGTCCTGGTGGAATGTCTGTCAGAAGCTATTAGATTGGTGGCAAGAGCGTTCTAAGTGGACAGGTGGATTGTGGAAAGACTAACCCCATCTGTATGCACTCTGTCCTTCTCTTTGCATACTTTAGTTAGCAGTTGGTTAATTTGCATGTGTGGTTTCAGCCATCATGTTGTATTGACTCATTCTGAAAGCTCTGTGAGGATAGGCCACATGTCTGCCCGCCCCCACTGCATCTAGCACTTTATGTGTGATAATCTATTGAAAAATATTTGTCAAATGAATAAAATGGTGAATGTATTCAGCAGACATTTAGTGAGACTTGAGAATGTCCTGTGGGGGTGGAAGTGGGTAGAGGAGTGGTAGGCCTATAAGGATTGATGAGACATAATGTCTGACTTTAAGGAACATAAATCTGGCACTAAATATAAATTTTTGAAACTCCTTAATTCTTAGATTAGCCAATGCAGACAGTAAGTAACTTACTGACCTAAACCAGAATTTTTTTGTAACATAGATTTTAATAAATTTCTTTGTTTTTTGTTTTTTGGTTTTTTTTTTTGAGACAGTCTTGCTGTGTCGCCAGGCTGGAGTGCAGTGGCGCAATCTTGGCTCACTGCAACCTCCGCCTCCCAGGTTCAAGCGATTTTCCTGCCTCAGCCTCCTGAGCAGCTGGGACTACAAGCGCGCGCCACCACGCCCATCTCTAATATTTGTATTTTTAGAGACGGGGTTTCACCCATGTTGGCCAGGATGGTCTCGATCTCTTGACTTTGTGATCCGTCCGCCTCGGCCTCCCAAAGTGCTGGGATTACAGGCGTGAGCCACAGCACCTGGCTGATTTTAATAAATTAGGTGAAATCTTAGTTATGTAACAGACACCCATTCTGCATTCTTTCTCTACTAATTCAGCTGGGAAGCAGGATTGCTTAGGGGTCAGTTTTATAATGTTACTCAGTTTTTTTATTTTATTAAAATTAGGGATTTGATTAAGTGGTGACATGTTGCTTTTCTGAAATTACAGAAGGGCATTTATCTAAAGTGACTGTGACCAAGTAGCAAGATACTTAATTGAGTAGGTCGGTATACTAAAAATAGCTCAACTGACTGTAATGATTCAGGTATGCAAAGATCAGATAATGCAATATATTAGTTAAGGGAACTTTTACTGTATATGGTATAATGGTCTATGGTATATTTCCTTGTAAGTTGTTTCTCTCTCTCTCTTTTTTTAAATGTTAAAGTAATCAAGATGATGCTAACAGTCAGTTACCAGAACTCATACAGGGACCATTTGTGTGGAAACTAAAGCTGCAGAAAATCCAGCAGAATCCTGCGCTACTATTGTAGTTATTTGTAGTTGTTTAGGCAGAAAAATCAAAGACAGGAAGTTAGGAATGTTTGAAGACATTATTCTAGGGTAATGAATTCAGATAAGATGTATTTCACTCATGTTAAAGCTATCCTCTGAAAATAAGACTTGCCTATAGAAGTATCCCCAACCAAAAGCCTATTAGGAACTCCCTAGCCCAGTCAGACAGAATGTGTATTCCAGGGAGAAGGCTGTATCCTGCTTATGTTAGACTGTACTACATACTTCACGTCTTAACTAGATATACCAATTAAGAATAGGCAAAACCTAATCAGTTGTCAGAAGGAAGATATATATGAACAAGAGAGAAAACAACTCCATGGAACTCAGAAGGAGAGTCCCCAAACATGAATTTGGCAGTGATTTTTCAACACTGTCCAGGGAGAACATAAGCCAGCTTTCCACCATCATTTGGACAAATTTTTAGTGATAGGACACATATAATTTATCAGGCTTTATTGTGGTTTCATTTTCTTTTGGTTTAGATTCAATACTCACCAGATAACTTCTCAGATGCCACAGTATGAGGAATAGGGTACCCTGTGTGGTAAGAGGACTATTCCCCCCATTGTAACCAAATAAACTGGCATTTGGCCTATATGGTAATTTTCTTCATAAACTTTATAAAAAATAAATATATATTTTGTTGAGGATACAGGGCTAGTGAAAAATAAAAATATCAATATAACATTAACCTTTTAGAAATTAGTTAGCATAAATTAACCCTTGGAAGCCTAATCAATTCCATGTGTCCAGAAAAAAAAAAAAGGATTTTATGGTGCTGTAGAACTGAGAGTCATATTCAGGAATAATTCATCTCTTGTTGTAGAAGGCAGGGATCATAGTCTTATTCTTATGTACCCAGTGCTTGGCACATGGTTGAAAACTCATTATTGAATTATAGAGATGGCAACTCCAGACCTATAGTGAGAACAACTAGACATTTTATGGCTCTACTCTTAGAATTATTCTGACATCAAAAGAGTAGTTCTGCCATTTCTTTAACTCAGCAGAAATCATTCATTAAGTGATGAAAATAGAAGCTTCTAAACAAACCAGAGCCTTAAAAGGCAAATAAAAGGTATATGCATCTGTTAGAAAAAAAATGGGAGAGCTATGTGGTGTGTTTGAGGACAAAGACAATCTGTTTCATTATTTTTATTTGTAAATAATTTTTAATTTTATTTTGTAGACCTTATTGCAATATGCAAGCAACAAGAATGCATCAGAACATATTGTGTATCTTCTGGAGGTATATCGACTTGCCATCCAAAGCTTTGCCAGTGCACGTCCATACTTAACTACTGAATGTGAAGATGTCCTCTTAGTGCTTGGCAGATTAGTACTGTAAGTTTGAGAACTTAAATCACTCTTAAAATTGAGTACCATTGGTCGTGTTGTTTGCCTGGTTTCTCTTTACAGTGGCATCACATTTATTCTTCAGAGCACCATTAGAGTCATACCATTGAATGAAATTTCCTTCCTACTCACGTTCCCAGGAGATATAGTCCAAGTGAAGCTCCAGCCAAGCAACATCATCTTTAACTTGCCTCTAGAGTCTCTTTTCCTATTCAGGCTTGGAATCTGAGAATGATATATTTCTATCCCTTAGGTATAGATTGATTTAAATGACAGAATACCTGGAAACTGGTAGTCCTTGAAGAACATCTTGGCAAAAACAACATGAAATTCTGCAATTTGATTATATTTGAACTAAGAATAATTTTATTAGCAAAAAATATCAGGGTACAGTATAAGATTACCATCCTAAGAAAGAGATCATGATTTAGCGCGGGCATGGTGGCGCACGCCTGTAATCCCAGCACTTTGGGAAGAGGCTGAGGCACGAGAATCGCTTGAACCTGGGAGGTGGAGGTTGCAGTGAGCCAAGATGGCGCCACTGCACTCCAGCCTGGGTGGTGGAGTGGAGACTGTCTCAACAACAAAAAAAAAAGAACGTGATTTAGCTGTTATTTTAATATTTAGCTGCATAGTAGCAGACAAAATTACACCTTTATTGTAATTTTCATCTGCAAATTGAAAAGATACAACAGCCAATCAGTTTTAGCTGGGCATCACCTTGTTCAACTTACAGATTGTTTAGTGAGATGACTTCTAGTCTAGATGGTTTATTTTATTTTTTTTCTAGCCTCACCTGTTTTCCTTCCTATTTTCCAGTGGCCCTTTATGGAAGACCAGCATTCCTGGTTTTATGATCATATTTTTCCTTCTACCAAGTCCTAGTTTCTGTTTTACCTATTGTAATCCCTAAGGGGTAAAGGATTATTCTGTAGGGTTTTAGAGAGATGTTGATTCATTGGTATTTTGAGTTGCTCATTATTCAAGTTGTAGTGCATTTCTTTTTTCAAAAAAATCTTCCTGTTATTTCTTTTCTGTGTCTTCTGGATAATAGTCAGAAAAAGGAAACTCTTTTGCTTGGTTTTTTTTACAGGTAAAGAAACGACTTTGCCAGTCTTCCTGCTTCCTCTGCAAGTGACAGAAACCTATAGATAACAGTTACATATATTTATCATTTATCATTTTATCAGCTGAATTGACAGTAGTATGAGCTCCCATTTTTGTCTACTGGAATTAGAATTGTCCTATATGGGTGCCTCTTCACACCCAAATAAACAAAATAAAACTGCTTGGAATGTGATTTCTAAAGAGCTTATTATATTCTTACCAAATGTACTAAAGCAACAATGTAAATATAAAGCCTTGTGGTCTTTCTTTTTTTCCTCCTTTTTAAATTGAACAGTCAATATAACAACTCTGAAGCAAATTTTGAAGAGTAAAAACATTTAAAATAGCCTAAACAAATGTAAAATAGATTTTTAGTATTGCTGTCATACTCTACTTAATTATTACTATAACCACCTTTATATACTTACTCATTTTTATTGTAGGAGTTGTTTCGAATTACTGCTTTCAGTGTCTGAAAGTGAACTGCCATGTGAAGTCTGGCTACCATTCCTTCAGTCTCTACAGGTGAGTTGATTTTAACTCAGAAAAGTTTTCTGTATCCAAGACACCTAATTAATTACTCCCAGCAAACTAAAATTGGAACCTTAGAACAAAAACAAGTTTATTATATATTGATATTAGGTCATGAAATGATAAAAAGGCCCTTCACATGAAGGGGATGTATTAAAAATGGGTTTTTTAAATTTGGTTTTGTTTGCCTCTACATAGTTAGAAATCAACAAAAAAGTTTCATTATTCAAACATAAAGTTTAGACAGCATAAAGCTATCAAAATCATACATGATTATAAAGTAACAGTATTTGGATCCTTCATAGCATACTTATTGGTAACCTTCAATATACAAAACACTATTTCATTACATCTAAGGTTCACCTTTTTCTTCCTAACACTTTAAGAATTGTACCTGGCTGGGTGTAGTAGCTCACGGCTGTAATCCCAACACTTTGTGAGGCCAAGGCAAGTGGATCACCTGAGGTCAGGAGTTCGAGACCAGCTTGGCCAACATGCCGAAACCCTGTCTCTACTAAAAATACAAATATTAGCCGGGCATGGTGGCGGACACCTGTAATCCCAGTTACTTGGGAGGCTCAGGCAGGATAATCGCTTGAACCCAGAAGGCAGAGGTTGCAGTGAGCCAAGATCGCACCACTGCACTCCAGCCTGAGCAACAGAGTGAGACTCTGTCTCGGAAAAAAAAAAAAAAGACATAATAAATAATAGACCGGGCATGGTGGTACATACCTATAGTCCCAGCTACTCAGGAGGCTGAGGCAAGAGAATCTCTTAAGCCCAAGAGTCCGAGGCTGCAGTGAGATATGATCACACCACTGCACTCCAGCCTGGGTGACAGGGCTCATCCCTAAAATAATAGGACTCGTCTCTAAAAATAAATGCATGCAGTCATTCATTTATTGATCACTAATTATGTACCAATCACTGCTTTACACTACATTTTACTTGTTTTATATCTTCTAATCAAATTACAAACCTTATAGTGTGAGAATTATTTGAATCTCCATTTACAAATGGGGAGACAGGTGAAGAGAGGTTAATTAGCTTGGACAAAGTTACACACAGATTTCAAACCCTGAGCTTACTTTGCTAACTACTTCCTTGAGGACACAGCTTAGACCTGTTTCATGGAGGCACAAATAAAGACATGCATATTAACAGACACACTTCATTATCTGAACATTTCTTTCCTCTGGAATACATAACCCAAAATGAAATGATATAATGTTCTCTTTAGTGAGAAGAGGATTCTTTGTCATGTTCTTGGCCTATTTAAAGCCCTGTAATGCAGTCCTAATATCTCACATATCCGTACAGCTGCTAAAATCATCTTTCATGCGTAGCACTTTGATTTTTGTCACTCTGTGTTCTGAAGCCTGCCAGTCGTTTTGTTCTGGCATATGGCATCCTAGAAGGGCAAATCCTAATTAGGACTATTACTACTATATTAATACTGTTTGAGTATCCCATATCTCAAATGCTTAGGAGTAGTTTGGATTTTGGAATATTTGCATTACACTTAGTAGTTCAGCATCCCTAATCTGAAAATCCGAAATGCTCCAGTGAGCATTTCTTTTGAGTATCGTGTTGATGCTTACAAAGTTTTGGATTTGAGGAACATTTTGGATTTCAGATTTTTGGATTAGGGACACTCAACCTCTATCCTTTTTAGAGGGAAATCTCTCATATTTCTTTATTATTTTCTTAGCTTGCTTGAATAAAATAGTTGCCTCTTTTTCCACTTGCATAAGCTTTTTCAGGTTTATCAGATGTGTAGGATATATTTTTTAACATGTGTTCAGTAAATAAATGTAGTAGGGGTACAAATAAATGTTAAGACATGATCCCTGTTGAAATCCAAAAGATAAAAAGCCCTTAAGTTTTCTTATTTTATATTATAAATGGACAAGGCAGCAAATGGTATTAAGGATACTTTTGGTAAGAGAATAGTTTTTATCAGAGCAGGCTGCAGGTAGAATATTTCTCAATTACTATTTACAGCTGAGTAACTTTTTTCCTATGGACATAAAAATATACACTCTGCAAATGATTTTTTAATGAAAAATGACAGCCTATTTTCTGCAACTTGGTTTTTTACATAATAATCATGGACATACATCTAAGATTGCATATGTAGATCTCCTGTTTTGATGATCACCTAGAATTCTGTTTTGTGGTTGTGCCTTTAATTGACCAATGTCTTGCTATTTACTGTAAATGGTGCAAGAGTGAACATCTTGAAAAGGGCGGCAGAGTGGTCTTAGCAAAAAAAAAAAAAAAAAAAGAGCATCTTGTGCTATTATTTCTGTATTGTAGATTTCAAGAACTGGGCTAGGATATTTCCACCTTAAAAAGAAACAAATTGAAGTTTTAAAATTATTCTTGAAATGCTACCATAGTTTTTGTAGTTTTATAGATTTAACATTATTTTTAAAAAATAACTTTGCTATATTAGATGTCTATTGGTAACAAAGGATTACATACCATTCTTATTCTGAGTAAACTGTATTTTGAACTTTAACAAATGAGAAAGTAGAGAACTTTTAAAAAGAAACTCAAACTGTGGTTTTTATTTCAGTTGCTGCATATCATGGTGGGTGGTAGTATTTTCTGCTAAAGTGTAATGGTACAGGTCAGTTAGACATTATAAATATGATAAACCTGACACCTCAAATTTTTAACTTTTCACATGGACTTTTTCTCCTCACTCCAAAGTAAACGCGAGTCATTCTAAGTTAAGAAGAAAGAAGCCTGAGGACAAGTCAAGCTGTTAAAGCAAAATTGCAGCATTTGTTAAATATTGCTATTGGTGAACTAATAATTAGAAATATTACTTTCTGTATCAATTCCATATTTTAAGTCCTTTCTCAGTGGAAAATAATGCAACATATTGGGTGGGTGTGTGGGTGGGTGTATATGTGTAGTAAAAGCCTATTTTAACATGAAGGTTAAGGGATGGGGGAGACTTTATATCTTGTAGTTTTCACTTGAGTGAATACTAAACTATATTCTTATGCCTGTGAACATTTTTGGCTTATATTTTCCAAAGAAATGTTGACGTAAATGGAAGCTTATGTTCCTAGAGAATTTCAGGAGTTTAAAATAAGGGAAACAAATTAGAATTTTAGAACATGGGAACAAGCTCACCATAATCAATAATACTCAGTAGTAATAGAGGACAGTGAAACATATACGTAATCATTTATACTGAATTACATTTCTGACTCCTTTTCCCTCACCCTTGAATATAAGAACTTTAATGAACAAACTATTGGTAAATACAT
Organism: Homo sapiens; assembly: GCF_000001405.40. NCBI lineage: Eukaryota > Metazoa > Chordata > Mammalia > Primates > Hominidae > Homo > Homo sapiens. The sequence goes on from NC_000001.11 coordinate 40,194,147, forward strand.
TTTGTTTGCTGAGTTAATAGACTTTTCAGGACATTTTATATAGAGCCACCTGTCATTTAAATAGCAATTTTTTAGACGAATTTAAACAATTATATAATGATTTGTGTCACTAAGTAATACTCCTGTAATTCCTGTTAGAGGAACAGGCAGCCTGTGTGAATACTGCAGAATTCTTTAAAAGAAAGCGGCACCAATGGCTTTCAAATAATTAAATGGGCACAGTGGCTCATGCCTTTAATCTCAACACTTTGGGAGGCTGAGGCAGGTGGATCACCTGAGGTCAGGAGTTCGAGACCAGCCAGGACCAACGTGGCAAAACCCCGTCTCTACTAAAAATACAAAAATTAGCCAGGCGTGGTGGCAGGCGCCTGTAATCCCAGCTACTTGGGAGATTGAGGCAGGAGAATCGCTTGAACCAACAAGAGCAAAACTCCATCTCCAAAAAAAAAAAACCAACAAAACAAAAAAAATAAATCAGCCTCCACCAGGGCTATCATTCAAGTCTTCAGAGTCTGCTAGTAACATGAGTGATCCTAATAGTAGGGCACTCCAAATATCCAACAGTAATGCAAGGACCTAACTTGAATTGTGATAATTTTACCAGGGAGGAATTCAGGAAAACGTTTTAAAGGCACTCTTTTACTTAGTGAAAACATCCTAGTTATTTATTTATTTATTTATTTATTTATTTATTTATTTATTTATGAGACGGAGTCTTGTTCTGTCACCCAGGCTGGAGCGCAGTGGCACAATCATGGCTCACTGCAACCTCTGCCTCCCAGGCTCAAGTGATTCTCCTGCCTCAGCCTCCCGAGTAGCTGGAACTATAGGTGGGTGCCACCACGCCCGGCTAATTTTTTGTATTTTTGGTAGAGACAGAGTTTTGTCATTTTGGCCACGCTGGTCTTGAACTCCTGACCTCAGATGGTCCACCCGTCTCAGCCTCCCAAAGTGCTGAGATCACAGGCATGAGCCACTGTGCCTGGCCCCATCCTAGTTTTTTTCTAAAAACAGCAACAGAGGCTGGACGCGATGGCTCAACACCTATAATCCCAGCACTTTGGGAGGCCGAGGCGGGTGGATCACGAGGTCAGGAGTTCAAGACCAGCCTGGCCAAGATGGTGAAACCCTGTCTCTACTAAAAATACAAAAATTAGCTGGGCGCGGTGACAGACGCCTGTAATTCCAGCTACTCAGGAGGCTGAGGCAGGATAATTGCTTGAACCCAGGGGTTGGAGGTTGCAGTGAGCTGAGATCGCGCCACTGCACTCCAGTCTGGGTGACAGAGTAAGATTCTGTCTTTAAAAAAAAAAAAAAGACAGCAACAGAATTTCACAAGGCTTTGAGTATAGTCTTTTTTGGTTACTTATTTTCAGGAAATCCAAATAGGTTCTTTCAATTCCTAGGTGTATCAGATATGTTGAAAAGGCAAAACTAATTTTTATATTGTTAACTTATTTTCTGGGTGTGCTGTTCTTGTTCTAGGAGTCACATGATGCATTATTGGAATTTGGGAATAATAACCTACAAATATTGGTTCATGTTACCAAGGAAGGGGTGTGGAAAAACCCAGTTCTTCTTAAAATTCTGTCTCAACAGCCAGTAGAAACGGAGGAAGGTAAGTCTTAAGACTATATTGGATGAGGATTTAGTTCTGAGAACGTTGGAATTGATTATGGGTTAAAATTTTGGGAATTTAACTTGTGTATATATCTAGTCTTTCTGTTTTTACTTTGAGTAGTAAAAATTAACTATTAGCATTTAATGTTTTGCTTAAGTAAGGATTCTTGCACTGTTAGTTTTAAGTCCCTTTACACTCATTTTTAAATTTTGCATTGAGTAGCAATGTTCATACAAAGTTCCTGAGACAGAAATGAATAATCTGCTGTAATCTTTGGTGTGTGGTAGAGCTTTGCTTATACTTTTCTTTTCTTTTTTTTTTTTCCCGAGACGTTGTCTCGCTCTGTCACCCAGGCTGGAGTGCAGTGGCAGGATCTCGGCTCACTGCAACCTCTGCCTCCAGTGTTGAAGCGATTCTGCCTCAGCCTCCTGAATAGCTGGGATTACAGGCGCGCGCCACCACGCCTGGCTAAGTTTTGTATTTTTTAGTAGAGACGAGGCGTTACCATGTTGGTCAGGTTGGTTTCGGACTCCTGACATTGTGATCCACCTGCCTTGGCCTCCTAAAGTGCTGGGATTATAGGCAAGAGCCACTGCGCCCGGTCTGCTTATACCTTTTTTATTGGCTGCAACAACTGAGGGCCATGAAAAAAGTTTTTTTTATTTTATATATATGAAATAATTGGAATTCATTGTTTTATAGAGAGATGCAAAGAATGAAGTTTTTGTTGTTTTTGTTTTGTTTTGTTTTAATTTGAGACAAGGTTTTACTCTGCTACCCAGGCTGGAGTGGCACAATTATGGCTCACTGCAGCCTCTACCTTTCAGGCTCAAGTGATCTGCCTGCCTCTGCCTCACAAGTAACTGGGACTACAGGCATGCGCCACTGTGTACAGTTAATTTTTCTATTTTTTGTAGATATGGGGGTCTCACTATGTTGCCTAGGCTGGTCTTGAACTCCTAGACTCAAGAGATCCTCCTGCCTTAGCCTCCCAAAGTGCTGGGATTACAGGCATGAACCACCATATCTGGCCAGAATGAAATATCTTATTTGCAAAATTGTCAGTCGAAGACCAGAAAAATTATGTATTTGAATTGACATTTGCATTTTAGATCACAAAAGTATCTTCTTTGATAGAGCCAACAACTGTAACTTCATTTACGTCAAGTTAGTGGAAAGTTCAAAGGATTACACTCTGTTAAGTACATTTTTTGCTATAAAAACAGACTTTAGAACAATTATTACACATTTTGAGATATCTTTAGGTCTTAGAACTAGCCATTTGATTGTCGATCCTTTAAAATATCCCAGTTAGTTTATCCATTCACCAAGCTTAAGCACCTACCATATACATGGTGTTTGGACCTCTCTGTATAGTGAGAAGATGGGCATAAAGGCACTTAGATTTTCTCTTGATCCGTTTCCTCTGATCATTCTAGTGCTTACCAGTTGCACTGACAAGAAAAAAAAAGAATAAGGAAAAGTGCTGTTAAATAGAAAAAGATTGGTGTTTATAGTTTTCCATTGAGGTCCTCAATAAACGGCATCCCCTTGTAAATGTAGGTAGATGGAGGCTAAAGTATCACCTTTGTTATTGACAAAAGCTGTTAGAACCAGGTAATTTCAGAAACATCCCAGAATTGGGCAGATCCTATCCAGATAAGTCTTGACTGGGGCAGAGGAGATTGCATGTTTTGTGCAGGCAGGCCCAAGCCCAAGAGGAAAAAAGGGTGGGGTTGAGTTAAACATCCTTAGTGTATTTTCCCCTGATATACTAATCAACTATGTCACCCCACCTCTGGAGTTAACAGTAATTAATCATTTTTAACATAGAAAAACATCAAGAAATGGGGAGAAGCATTGCTTACCTAACATTCTTGGTATCCTGTTTATTCAGTAAATATTAATTAAGCACTCACTATCTTTAAGACTCTGAATAGGTACATGATACCTACATATCCAAGGAATTATGTTGAGGACCACAGTATAAGTGGTGGGTAACATGTAGCCTGCCTCCTTTCACAGTTGGCCCTTAATCTAATTTCAGGTCAAAAGATTAAAAAGCTTTCTTTATATCTCTGCTGCCCCTGCAGGCCAGATATTTAACATATTTGATACCAAAAAGCAGTGATGTTCATCTCACTGATTGTCTTCTGTAATAAGTGCCAATTGTTGATAATTTTACCTGATATTCACCTGACATGATCAGTAAAGATGCCATGGAAGAGCTGTTTTTCTTTTCTGTTTTTTTTTGAAATGGAGTTTCGCTCTTATTACTCAGGCTGGAGTGCAATGGTGTGATCTCAGCTCACTGCAACCTCTGCCTCCGGGGTTTAAGCGATTCTCCTGCCTTAGCCTCTCGAATAGCTGGGATTACAGGCATGCGCCACCATGCCCGGCTAATTTTGTATTTTTAGTAGAGATGGGGTTTCTCCATGTTGGTCAGGCTGGTCTCGAACTCCTGACCTCAGGTGATCTGCCCTCAGCTTCCCAAAGTGCTGGAATTGCAGGTGTGAGCCACCGCGCCCGGCCTCTTTTTTTTTTTTTTTTTTTAAAGACAGCGTTTCACTCTTGTTGCCCAGGCTGGAGTGCAATGGCGTGATCTCGGCTCACTGCAACCTCCGCCTCCTGGGTTCAAGTCATTCTCCTGCCTCAGCCTCCCAAGTAGCTGGGATTACAGGCATGTGCCACCACACCCGGCTAATTTTTTATATTTAGAAATGAGTTTTCACTATATTGGTCAGGCTGGTCTCGAACTCCTGACCGCAGATGATCCACCTGCCTCAGCCTCCCGAAGTGCTGGGATTACAGGCGTGCACCACTGTGCCCGGCAGAGCTGTTTTTCAACTGGATCTTAAGTGTTACTGTTTTTACATAATGAAGTATATAGTATAAGATAAAGTGTCATGATGTCTGCACCTTTCTTTTAAATGGTTCTGAAAAAGAGAAGGCAAAGAAATGCGGCAAACCAGTTCAATTGTTAAATCTAGTTGGAAGGAAGGGTATAAAACTAAAAAAAAATTTTGTATTGAAATGTTTGAAGAAATGAGATACAGAAAGGATTGTGATTGGGAGTGAGACATATTGTTTTAAATATTGAAGCATATGGTAGATTTCCTTTCAATAAAGAAATTCAAAGATTGATATCTTCAAATGATTTGTAAAATACAAGATTGAGCCATATGTTAAAATTGATTTAGCAGCAGTTTAACTGTAGTTATAATTATTGAATAAAATAGCTTACCGCATAGAAATAATAGCTATGATTTTTAGAGTGCCTGCTATGTGTTGGGCACTGTATTTGTGCTTTCATATCTCATGTAATCCATGAAACAGGTGAGAGATTACACATACCCAAGACCATGTAGTTACAATTGTGGAGGCAGAATTTGAGCCCAGGTGAGGTGACGTTAAAATGTTTTTGATTGGAGAGTGATGACCCTTCAGTTGCTAAGTGCATGGTTTAATTAAACATCCGTAATATACAAGCCCTTGTGCTTAGTGCTGTAGGGAATACAAAGGCTAACAAGACATGATATTTGTTCACAAATTGCTGACAGTGTAATAAAGGAGATATCAGAGACAATAGTAAGTACTATTAAACATTTACTCCGTGTTTGGCCTTGTGGTGAGTCTTATCTGCATTTCTAGTATTTCTTTAATTTGTTCATCCATGTGAGATGGGTATAACCTTTTTACAGATGAAGAAACTTGAGTCTCAGAGAGGTCAGTTAATTTGTCCAAGGGTCTCACAGCTGTGTGTCAGAATCAGGTTTCAACATCAGATCAGTGATTCTAAAACCTGAAATGTTAACGTTTGTACACTATAATCCCTTATCACTGTTCTTCGAGAAAACTAAATGTGGGGAAAGAAGTAAAATGCTGTGGGAATTTGCAAGGCGATAGGTTGTGTAGGTAATATGCCTGTTATCAGGTATGTTGCTTCCTGTTGGATTTGCAGAATTGCTTACAACCTCATATGGCAGGTAAATAGAGCAGAATCTGATGTTAGGCAGGCAGAATAGGATATAGGGGAGACGTGACAGGAAATAATAGGCATGATTTAGATTGGAGATAATTAGAAAAGAATTACTAGGACATAATAACTAAGTTGATTTCCTTGAGGAAAGGAAGTATCAAGGAAAGATAATTCCAAAATTTTATTGTTGTATAATTGAGAGAATATCATTGCTGAAAATAGAAGTAGGGAATAAGGAGCTATGTGAGTGAAGGGTATGACCGTGAGTTCATCTTGTGGAATTTAGTAACTGTGGGACTAAAATGGAAAAGTCCAAGTGATTGTGACCTGTTTTCCCTCCATGCTTTTTGACCTTGACTACATATTAGAGTATCTATGGAATTTAAAACCAAAAAACATACATCCCAAGGTCCAGACTCCACTTGCTAAATCATAATCTCCAGAGTTGGAGCTCTGGAATCCAGAACTTTTTGAAGTGCCTTAGGAAATGGGCACTTACATATTGCTGATGGGAATATAAATTGGTACAATTTTTGGAGAGCAGTTTGGCAGTATGAGTCAGTATTACAAATGAACAGAGCCTTTAATTTAGCAATTCCGCATCTAGGAATTTGTTGTGTAGATTTATTCACATGTTTCAGATTACCTGTATATAGGGTTGTAAGTTGCAGCATTATTGATGATTGACAGAGATTGGAAACAGCCTGCAAGTGTATCAGTAGGGGATTGGTTAAATAAATTATAGCACATCCATACCACATAATGCTATTCAGTTGTTAAAAATAAGAAGATAGCTCTAACTGCACAGATGATAGAATAACCTGTATCATATATTAAGTGGCAAAAGAAAATGTCTTCCATACTCATAGAATATTTCTGGAAGGATAAACAAGAAATTGGAAACTTGTTGTTTCTCAGGGTGGGAAACCAGAGCACTGGGGTCAGGGTAGGAGGGAGAAAAACTTTAACTGTATAGCTTTTTCTGTCCTTTTGAAATCTGTGATTATATATATATATATGTTTTTCTTTATATTATTTTAAAGGATAATGTTACGATTGATTCTCATATGTAGTTAAAATTGGGCCAGTGGTTTATCCTTAGTATAAACCATTGCTACTCTACACACACACACACACACACACACACACACACACACACACACACACACACACACACACACACACACACACACTGGTTTATCCTTAGTATAAACCATTGCTACTCTACACACACACACCCCAGTGGTTTATCCTTAGTATAAACCATTGCTACTCTACACACACAAACACACACACCCCCCCCACACCTCACACACACACACACCCCCCCCCCCCCCCCCGCAACCTGGGAGCTTGTGAGAAAAGCAAAATTTCAGGTCCCAGACCTAATAAATCAGAATCTGCATTTTAATAAGCTCCCTAGGTGATCTAGGCACTTTCAAGTCTGAGAGATACTGTTTTAGATTAACCACCTAAAGCAGTTTGTTTACTCACCACTTGGCTTGACATGCAATATTCTCACCTCTATTCTTTAAGTAATACTATGTAGTGATGTCACATACTTGTTGGATATTTACTATTCAAAAATTGAGGGCTCGGCCGGGTGCGGTGGCTCATGCCTGTAATCCCAGCACTTTGGGAGGCCAAGGCGGGTGGATCATGAGGTCAGGAGATCGAGACCATCCTGGCTAACAACGGTGAAACCCCGTCTCTACTAAAAATACAATAAATTAGCCGGGCATGGTGGCGGGCACCTGTAGTCCCAGCTACTCGGGAGGCTGAGGCAGGAGAATGGCGTGAACCCGGGAGGCGGAGCTTGCAGTGAGCCAAGATCGCGCCACGGCACTCCAGCCTGGGTGACAGAGCAAGACTTCATCTCAAAAAAAAAAAAAAAAAAAAAATTTGAGGGCTCATCCAGAGCACTGTACAGTCAATGCCAAGTGCCTAATATTCAGTACAGCTCAGAAGTACTGAGCTTCAGTACTTCTGAAGCTTTCAGAGTAGCATTTTCCAAAGTGTGTACTGAACCAGGAACACATGTTTTACAGGTTACTAATATGTATAAAAGGGTTCTCTGGTCAAATCAGTTTAGGAAACATTGGGTTTTTAAATAAAAGTGAACAGTTTTCTTTATTGCAGGACTGTTCAGAGATTTGACCAAGGAATCCTTTTTTTTTCTAGGACTATCTCTCAGGTCTTTTGGTCGGTGGAACACACTTTGAGAAATGCCTGGTTTAGAGGAAAGAGCACCACTGGCTTTGGAATCCTTGGCAAGTTACCTAACTTCTGTGAATATTAATTTTCCTAACCTTAGACTGGGGATAATAATACTTGCCTTGGTGGTGGTGTGAAGAATAAATGAGAGGTATATAAAAATATGCAGCTTAAAACTTGATGTCTCGTAAGCATTCAGTTGATAGTTGTTAATATTACATAGGTTACTTGCTTCATTTCTTGCATTTATGCTTATAGTTCATTTCACTATTTCTTAATTTTCCTCTCATCTCTATTAGATGAATATTGAGACCAGAGTAAACTTCTCATTTATATAAACTAAATTTTTATTAACTAAAAATCAAATAAAAAGATCTCAAACTTTCATCTTAGCAAGTCTGACATGTTATGTGGTATGTTGTCAAACTGTTTTATTTTTCATTTTTTCTAGTCAATAAATTGATTGCACAAGAAGGACCTTCCTTTCTGCAAATGCGAATAAAACATTTGTTGAAATCTAACTGCATCCCCCAGGCTACTGCTTTATCAAAACTATGTGCAGAATCTAAAGAAATTTCAAATGTGTCATCTTTTCAGCAAGCCTATATCACATGTTTATGTTCTATGCTCCCTAATGAAGATGCTATTAAGGAGGTGAGTAAATAATTGTTGTCATTCAAACTTGGTATTAATTTAATAGATTTATATATATATTGCATGGTTTATTTTTTCCCTTTAGAATGAAAACCAAGATTCATTTTTTTCAGGCTACCAAAATGTATGATTTTAATTGTATATTTAACTGCTCGACAGATAGAATGTAATATTTTAGAGTGAATTTGAAAAGTAGATAACTAAAGAATATACAGAGGCATGTTTACTTATTTGGGTGATGATTTGCTGTGAAATCTTTAAATGTGAAAGTTGTTTTTTCTTTTTAAAGTAATGACGTCTCCATGTTTGGGGAATGCAGAAGTTGTTAATCATGGCATCAAGGGATAAACTAAAGAAAATGGCACTTAATTTTAGCTTAAGTTACTTTATATATTTAATTTTGTAAGCAGAAAAGTATAGGACTCTAGATTCCATGACTACATCCTGAACAATTAAGTGGCCAAACTGGATATCATGGAAAATAAGGGTTGAGTCTTTTTTTTTTTTTTTTTTTTTTTGAGACAAGGTCTTGCTCTGTCACCCAGGCAGGAGTGCAGTGGTGCAATTTCGGCTCACTGCAGCCTCTGCCTCCCGGGTTCAAGTGATTCTTGTGCCTCAGCCTCCCAAGTAGCTGGGACTAAAGGCATGCGCCACCATGCCTGGCTACTTTTTGTACTTTTTAGTAGAGACGGGGTTTCACCATGTTGGCCAAGCTGGTCTTGAACTCCTGACTTCAACTGATCCACCTGCTTCAGCTTGTACTACTAAAAGTACAAACATTAGCCAGGCATGGTGGTGGGCGCCTGTAATCCCAGGTACTCAGGAGGCTGAGGCAGGAAAATCGCTTGAACCCGGGAGGTGGAGGTTGCAGTGCATCGAGATCGTGCCACTGCACTCCAGCCTGGGTGACAAGAGTGAGACTCCATCTCAAAAAAACAACAACTATTTTATGTATCAGATTGCATCCTTTAAAAAAAAAAAACCTCAATTATTATGTTTCTTAAATTTGGAGTTAGACTTCTCTAATGGTTTTTGACATTATACAGAAAAAAACTAGAGATTCTTAAGCTTTATTTCATCATCTACCTTTAATCCTCTTATCTGCCATTCAATTCTGACATATGGATTCTTACTCTGAACTGAAATTTTTTATTAGATGTAGTAGTCCCAAGGATCTGGTTTTATGCTGTAGTAATTCTGAAACTTTTACTTGTAATATCTTACTCTCCAAATACAATTGTCTATCTTTCTACCTTACTCCCTTTAATATACAGTCTCCACCAGGATCAATCAAGATCTATTGATCTTGTCACCTTTTCATTTTCCCTTATCCCCCTTATGTATTCACTTCCCTATTTAACTCTGCTTTGTCATTGTCAGATCATCATTATCACTCTCAAAGAGCGAGAGGTCCTCTCTCTTTTTTTTTTTTTTTTTTGACAGAGTCTCGCTCTGTTGCCCAGGCTAGAGTGTAGTGGCGCGATCTTTGCTCCTGGGTTCAAGCAATTCTCCTGCCTCAGCCTCCCGAGTAGCTGGGATTACAGTCGCCCACCACCACGCCTGGCTAATTTTTTTGTATTTTTGTAGAGATGGGGTTTCACCATCTTGGCCAGGCTGGTCTTGAACTCCTGACCTCATGATCCACACGCCTCGGCCTCCCAAAGTGCTGGGATTACAGGCGTGAGCCACTGCTCCCGGCCACTGGTCTCTCTCTTAATTGTACTTGTTTGACTACCAGTATCCTGATTATCCCTAAATCTTCACCTACTCTATGTGTTTACCTGCACTCATGGGGCCAAATTTACATGGAGAAAAATCTGCCAGCTAATTTTACTCCAGGCTAGAGTGTGGTGGCGCACACTGCTCACTGCAGCCTCAAAATCCTGGGCTCAGGTGATCTTCCCACCTCAGCCCCTGGAGTAGCTAGGACCACAGAAACATGCCACCATTCCCGATTAATTTATTTTTTATTTATTTTTTATTTTTTTGGAGAGACAGGGTCTTGCCATGTTGCCCAGGCTGGTCTCGAACTCCCAGGGTCAAATGATCCGTCCACCTCAGCCTCCCAAAGTGCTGGGATTACAGGTGTGAGCCACTCACTGCACCCAGCCTATATTTCTTTAGCCCATTCATTCTCCCACTCTTAGATAGTTGCATAGTTTTTTCTTATTCTTCAAAACTATACTGTAATACTTTCTGCCCTGTTTCACTCTCTGTTGCTGAACTTAACTCCCTATTTCTCTGAAAAAAATTGAAGCGCTGAGAAGATAAATAAGAGAATTTTCATAAGCTCTGTCTCTGAAACATCTATTCATCTACCAGCATCTATGAATGTACATCTTCTCTTCTGTTACTAGAGATAAATTATATCTGTTCTCCTAGCTAAGGCCAGCCTCCCTCACTTCTGTATTTCAATTGATGTTGTCTCCCTTAAGGATAATGCTACAGCAGTTCTCCTTTTCTCTATTACATCATCGATTTCCCTGTCTCTGTTATAACCACCCCATTGGCATTTATGCTATTATTTATTCTGTCCTTAAAAAAGAGCTCTTCTTAGGTCCAGAGGTGGTGGCTCATGCCTGTAATCCCAGCACTTAGGGAGGCCGAGGCACAAGAATTGCTTGAGCCCGGGAATTGCTTGAGCCCAGGAGGCAGAGGCTGCAGTAAGCTGAGATCACGCCACTGCACTCCAGCCTGGGCAACAGAACAACAGAACGAGACTCTGTCTTCAAAAAAATAAAATAAAATAAAAATAACGCTGCTTTAGATCCTGTTTCTACTTTTAGCTACTGCCCCATTTCCTTCTGGCTTTTTAAGCATAATTTCTTTAACAAATTGTCTTAATTTACTATCGAACATTTTCCTTCCTTCTTTTTTTTTTTTTTTTTTTTTTGGGACAGAGTCTCGCACTGTCACCCAGGCTGGAGTGCAGTGGCACGATCTTGGCTCGCTGCAAGCTCCGCCTCCCAGGTTCACGCCATTCTCCTGCCTCAGCCTCCCGAGTAGCTGGGACTACAGGCGCCCGCCACCATGCCCGGCTAATTTTTTTTGTATTTTTAGTAGAGACGGGGTTTCACCGTGTCAGCCAAGATGGTCTCCATCTCCTGACCTCGTGATCCGCTCGCCTCTGTTTCCCAAAGTGCTGGGATTACAGGCGTGAGCCACGGTGCCTGGCCCATTTTTCTTCTTTCAAGACATTCTAATATGACCTTTGCCCCTGGCAGTATACCATATCACTAAATCTAATGATGACTTTCAGTTTTCTGTCTACCTCATTGATTACTCCTTTCTCAGTTCTACTTTGCTGTCTGATGAGTACATGTTGCAGTACCCAATGACTCTGTCATTGGGTCTTCTCTTTTTACACTTAACTAGGCTTATTTCCTTCATCTTTGGCTTTAAATACCAACTATGGTCTGACTCCCAAAAGTTTTCTCTCCAGCCCTGTTCCCTCCTCCAAACTCCAGACCCATATCCAATTGCCTAATTACCATCTCTACTTACAGATTTAACATGTCCGTAACTAAGCTCTTGATATTCCTGATATTTGGACTTTGCTTTTATGAGGGTTTTTTTTAGTCCTCACTATGTGTTTGGCACCATGCTAAATGCTTTATATACTTTGCTACATTTAATCAGCACAATAGCTCTGAGGTAGCTCCATTTTATTGATGAGGAAAGTCAGGCTCAGATTAGGTTGTGTGCTTCAAGGTTACAAAGCTAAAGTGGTTAAGCTGGGATTCAAACCTGAGTTTGGTGTACTACCAGTAATATTATATTAAAGACATAGGATAAGGAATATTATCCTTGTTGGTATTTACCTTAGAGTTTATATGCCAAATGCTGTGTTAGGCATTGGGGTTCAAAGATGAATGCAGAAGTCTCTGGACTGGCATACTTGGTTTTACTGTTGGCCTCTACATTTTATCTTGAAAATAGCCAGAATAATCTCTCTAAAACTTGTCGTGCCATGCCACTTCTCTGCACACAATTATCTAATAGCTTTCCATCTTACTCAGAATACATTCAGAATTCTTTATTCTATGTGCCATGGGCCCTGGCTACTTTTCTAACGTTCTCTCACCTTATCTTGTAATCTTAGTGCCCACTACTCTCCAGCCGCCTTGTCTTTGCTGTTCTTTGAACAAGCCAAGGATGTTCCTGTCTTAGAGCTTTGTGCTTGCTATTCCCTCTGACGAGAATTGCCTTCCACAAGATAATTTGAATGGCTTACTCCCTTACCTCATGTCTGCTCTAAATGTTCTCATGTCTGTTCAATATTACCATATCAGAGAGGCCTTCCTCGCTGTCTCATCTAAAATATTACCCTAGCCCCCTACTCTGCCCTAAATATCTGCTGTCATTATTATAAATATATACTAACCCATTTAAAATGACCCCTATCACTTTGTCTTTCTGCCTATTTGTATTTTCTTCATAGTACACATTACTGCTTCTACTAGGCATCATATTTGATTATTCGGTATTTCCTCCCACTAGATTGTAAACTCCGGAAGGACAGGAACATAGGTTGTTTACTGGTATATCCCTGTATTCTAGAAGAATGCTTAGCCATGTAGGCACTCAATACTTATTGAATGAATTAATGAAAGGTATAGCCTCATCCCTTGATCTTTTGTTACTAGGATTTCTAGCTTTATTACCTGAGTTATGACCAGAATGTCAAAGCTGGAACATTCCACTCATGCTTTCTAAGTTTTTAAACTTTGCTTGGAGGTCTTTTTGAATTTTAAAATTGTGATTTTATATTTCTCTCTCTCAGCTTTATTTTATTTTGAAATATAGTTATGCTATCTGTATATTTATAAAAATAAGAACCAAGATGAAACCAAGTACAGTGTTGTGATTCAGATTTCTGTATAGGTTGATTGCATCCTGGATCAGTGCTTGGGTCAATAGTTATTTCAAATGGCTAAGACCCCCTGCTATGGCCCAGATCATATCTCCCACTGTGAGAATCTTTTATCAGATTTTTTTGTTGAAAATTGTTTTTTTTGGAGACAGAGTCTCTGTCGCCCAGCCTGGAGTGCAGTGGCGTGATCTCGGCTCACTGCAGCCTCCACCTCCTGAGTTCAAGCAGTTTTCCTGCCTCAACCACCTGAGTAGCTGGGATTGCAGACGTGCGCCACTACACCTAGCTCATTTTTGTATTTTTAGTAGAGACAGGGTTTTGCCACGTTGCCCAGGCTGGTCTCCAACTCCTGACCTCAAGCAATCTGCCTGACTCAGCCTCCCAAAGTGCTGGGATTATAGGCGTAAGCCACCACGCCTGGCCCCTTGTTGAAATTTAAGATGTACTTATATCTAAGATACTTCCCAGTGGCCAAAATACTGACTCCAGGAATTTGTGATTCTGTCCTGGCTCCTAGTAGTCTTTGCATTTCTATCAACTAACGTATTTTTTCAAGTGCTCACAGACTTTATTCTGGGATGGATATTGGGTTAGCAACATTCCACTTGGAAGCACTGTGGCCTGGTCTTTGAGATTTAGTAGTAACTTGAATCTGAGAGGATTGTCTAGGCAGGGAAAGTATAGATAGAGACAGAATGCTAGTCATCTTTGTTTTGGGGAATGACCTTACACAGGAGCACAGATACGGGATGCAGAGATGAAACAGCCAGTTGGTGGCTATGAAGTGGACAACATGTAGTTTCCTCAAATGGGGATTGAAGCTATGACCTAGGGCCTCATTAATAAATGTTCTTATTTGTTAGACTTTCTGGTGATAAAGAAATCAAAGGATAAAATGCTTTGCACTGCCTGTCTTTTCAGACTTTCTACTTGAATCTTAAATATAACTGCAGAAAACATTTATTGCTCACTTGTCTATTCCAAGCACTGTGCTGTGTGCTTTAAATGTGTCGGTATCTAATCCTTATAAAAATCTATTAATTTAGGCCAGGTGTGGTGGCTCATGACTGTAATCCCAGCACTTTGGGATGCTGAGGAGGGAAGATTGCTTGAGGCCAAGAGTTCAAGACCAGCCTGGGCAACATGGTGAAACCCCATCTCTACAAAAAAAAATGCAGAACTTAGCTGGGCGTGGTGGCATGTGCCGTAGTCCCAGCTACTCGGGAGGCTGAGGTGGGAGGATTGCTTGAGCTCTGGAGGTGCAGGTTGCAGTGAGCTGAGATCACACCACTGCACTGCAGCCTAGATGACAGAGTAAGACCCTGTCTCAAAAACAAAAAAACTTTGAATTTTATAGAAATTAACTGAGGCTCTGAGAGATGATATTACTGGCGCATAGTAGTAAGATGTCCAGTAAGTGGTGTGCCCAGGGTTTAAATCCAAGGTGATCTGCCTCTGCTTTGCTTTTATACATATTAATCTGACACTCACACATCTCATGTACATGATCCAACTCACTGTCACTGCCAACCTTCTGGTTCTTTCTGGATTCTGGTTCTTAAAGTAGACTTGTTGTGCAGGCAAGTTTTTATTTCTTTTGTTTACCCAGAGGGGAAACTTCAGAAAAGATGGGAGGGGACTTTGAAGTTCTGAGGCTTGTGGGTGGCTCATTACTGGACTGGATTTACTGAGGAGCTTAGGTAGAGTATGTTTTTCACAAGACATCTAGAGAAGTGAAAGCAACAATCAAAATATGTAGGCTTGAATCTTGACATTGTCATTTACTAGCCATACAGCCTTGGCCAGGTAGCTTTATTTTCCTTATCTATAAAGTAGGCACAACAGTAGTAGCCGTCTCACAAAATGGCTGGATAGTTTAAATGTGATAATATCTAAAGCACTTAACACAGTTCTTGGCATATTTTAGACACCTTACAAACATAGACCCTAGTATAAGAATTCTTTAAGCCTGGGGTGCAGAACTAGGGAGGATCCGTCGAAGTCAAGATTGATCAGAGGTGAAACCTGAATTTGCACAGAGAAACAATGTGGTATACACAGAGATAGCCTCCTATGACTTCATCTACATTTTTAAAAGCAGTCATATGGGCTGGACAGAGTGGCTCATGCCTGTAATCCCAACACTTTGGGAGGCCGAGGCGGGCAGATCATGAGATCAGGAGTTCAAGACCAGCCTGGCTAACATGGTGAAACCTTGTCTCTACTAAAGATACAAAAAATTAGTCAGGTGTGGTGGTGTGCGCCTGTAATCCCATCTACTCAGGAGGCTGAGGCAAGAGAATCACTTGAACCCAGGAGGCAGAGGTTGCAGTAAGCCAGGATCGTGCCATTTGCACTCGAGCTGGGGCGACAGGGCGAGACTCCGTCTTAAAAAAAAAAAAAAAAGGCGATCATAAGAGACCAACTATAAACCTGTATGCTAATTTATTTATTTGCAGTATCAGGTAGTGTAAGGAGATAGATTGCTTACCTCTAATAGCAGCTGCAGTATTTTATGTTTGGGAAAGTTAATCAGACTGAGATGTAGTAATGGTTATTCTCAGCACCTGACACATGCCAAAACAATTCAAAAGCAGCAGCAAAACACTACATTTTGGGTTTGATTCCTCATCCTGTAATAATAACAACTTTACTCTCTCAGCCTTTGCTTAATTAAAACCCGTTTTGTTTCTAATGTTGTATTAGGCATTGGCAAATACAGCAAACTGTATGGCCCAGTTTGTTTGCCAAAAATAGTTACAGAAAGAGAAGTACTAAGCTCAATGATTACTGCCCTAAATTCAGTAGAAGTGTAAAGATAGAGAATTCTGTGTTTATAGAAAAATTGATCCTTGAATTGGAGCTTTAAGTAATGGTGGGGTTTGGATGGGTGGAAAGAATGGTTTGGAGATGACTGAATGGTAGTAAAGCACAGGTACTAATGAGTACTTTGCAGGGATCCACTGGAGAATAAATACCCTGCTTAGGGCAGAGTGGTTATTGAAGTCTTGTGAGAAATAAGACCTGTTGGGGTTGGAAAAGAAGGGCTTGGAAACTCCATTGCATTAATGGTTAGATTTGATGCAGTAGAAATTAAGAAGGCTTTGCAGTTAGGAAGTGACATGTCTGAAGTGGTGTTTTAGGAAGACTAGACAGAAAGAATATGTATTATGTTTAGGACAAGAGATTGTAGCCAGCAAGAGGACAAAGGACAGGACTTGCTGACCGGGCAAAAACAGAGGAGGATGTACAGAGATACCTTCAAGAGGCTCATAAGGCTTCTAGCTTGGGAGACTGGAAGAATAGTGGTGCTCTGCTGCTAATTAGAAGAAAGAATGGGTGGAGGGACAAGGGAGAGTCTGGGAAGATGATAAGCTTTGTTTTATACATGATCTTTCCTGGTTTATTAATAACAATGTTTGGAAACAGGATTTTTCCTGATTGTGTTGAGTTTGCAGGGAACTGTGTTATAGGAAATACGATTTGATACTATTCACAACAGGGGGTTGGCACCCACCCAGCTACCTGTTTTTATAAATAAAGCTTTACTGGCACAAAGTCTTACATTCATTTCTTGTCTGTGGCTGCTTTTGTGCTACAGTGGCAGAGGTGAGTAGTTGTAACAGAAACTCTCTGGCCAGAAAAGCTAAAAATATTTTCTGTCTGTCCTTGTACGAAAAATATTTGCTAACCTCTGCTCTACAAGAATTAAATTTTCCAGTCTATTTCAGTGGTTTAATATCGGTTGGTCTAACCCTCCGTGTTCTACACGTGATGAAACTGAAGCCAAGCTGATAATGTTTCCAAGGCCCTTCCTGCATTAAGCTAATTAGAAAGGCCAAGCCCAGCTGGAATGCAGGTCACCTGGCTCCTTGGTCAGCCTTCTTTCCACTCTACCACCTATTTCCATGTGTTAGACATTGATAAGCCATGGTCTGATTGGGAACATCTTGGTGATATATCATTCTGTTCATATTTATACATATAGGTGTGATTTAAAACATTTTTATCATGATGTGGATTAATTTGTTAAATATACCAATGCAAAACATTTAGTACACATAAAGTTATCTTAAAATTATTTTAAAGGAACCCTAGTATCATCGTATCATCATAACTAGTCAGTCTTTTTTTTTCCTTTCTTTTTCTTTGAGATGGTGTTTCACTCTTGTTGCCCAAGCTGGAGTGCAATGGCGTGATATCGGCTCACTGCAACCTCTGCCTCTCGGGTTCAAGTGATTCTCCTGCTTCAGCCTCCCGAGTAGCTGGGATTACGGGCACGTGCCACCACGCCTGGCTAATTTTTGTATTTTTAGTAGAAACGGGGTTTCACCGTTTCTACTGGTGACCAGCTGGTCTCAAACTCCTGACCTCCTGTTATCCGCCCGCCTCGGCCTCCCAAAGTGCTGGGATTACAAGGCATGAGCCATCACGCCCAGCCACTAGTCAGTCTCTTATCCTAGTGATACTTTTCTTTTGCAAGTGTCAACAGAATTAAAAATAATCTGTAGTTTGCTTTGGAAAATTACTAGTGAGTCACCAGATGTTGATTAATTAGAGTTTAAATTCAGCATACGTTCTAAAGTAGCAGAGTTACACACATATTTGCCATCTACTTCACCTGAGTTCAGGAGAAGAGTTAACTTGAGCAACAGCTGGGAATAAAAGTACATTGTATGTTGGTACCTGGGGGTATCCCAATAATAGGCATATGTAATGGGAAACCGCTGCTGGGGAAGATTTAGCCAGACACATACAATTAAGATTAATTGACTGGGTCATCTGAAAGTCAAAATTCAGAACCTAGTGGGTAAAGAGTGAGTCCTTTCAGATATCTGGTAGGTCTGGAAGGCAGAAGAATTTCATGGAATCCTGGAGTTTTAGGTTGTGATACTTTATTTATGTAGAATTGAATGAGATGACATTGCTATTAACTTTACATATTAAAGGATTTTAATAAAAGTTATAGACTTGGCAGTGGCTCAGTGTCCCAAGTGGATGTTTCCTATATTTTTTCATTACTGAAAGGGGAAGTCTTTGCAAAGATCAGGTTTTCAACATAGAAAAGATAACATTTTAAACATCAAGCACTTCTATTTTAAAGAGCTCAAGAAATCTGTCAGCAGAGTTCTTGGCGCAGTTAAGGCAGGGGTCCGTTTCATTCTTAATCCCTGAATGAACTACATCTTCGGTATCTGACGTGGTTGATAGACACAATAGCAGATGGTTGTTTCTTTTCCTGATGGGGAAAGGAAAGGACAAACAGGATCCAATTTACTTACCAGCCTAACACTGTTGGGAATTGACACAGTCACTAGGTATAAATGATAGAGCAGATACCTTTAAACAGGACCCAGTGGGAATTCAGTTTGGGAGTAGAAGAAAAAGTAAACAGGAGTATAGAAATTCCAGATGTAGTTTAAGTAAGAATCAAGATTAAGATGAACTCTGAACAAGGAATAATTACAAAAGGTTTAATTAAGTTTAAAATATGCCACCTCCACCACCTTCTTTTATGCTAATTGGCTGCCTGTTAGACCATTGGTGTTTAATTGCCTGATTATTTTGAAAGTCTTAATACTTCTACTTTATCCTTGTGATCATACAAGGAATGAGATAATACACTCAGAATACACTAATGACAGAAAGTCTGTGTAAAGAAATTGAGGATTTGCTTGTTTAGGTATTTTATCTCCTAAAGCACAGTTCTTTCAAATAGCTTTGAAGAGACGTCTTCCCAGAACTTTGTATGCATCTGGATCTCACTTCTGATCTTACTTTCATGGGTTATGTGTGGGTATTTTGGTTGGTGTATGATTGCACTGGAGGGGGTCATTATGAAGAGTCGATCAGACATATTGTCAAGAATTCAGCAGGACGTTTCAGCCTTCTTTCAGATACACACTGTGATAGGGTTTAAATGGAAGCATTGGTGACCATTTATTTCTTTAAGAAATATACAAGGTCCGTGCAGCATCATAGTACTGGTCTGTAGCATTACTGCAGTTTAAAAGGAGTCTCATGTTTTTAAAACTGGTCAGTATTCTTTTTTCCCAGGTAATGTCTTTGAAGCTAACAGATGATTTTCCCAAAGATATCTAGGGTTACTTGAAATGTAAGTTTGCTAACTGTAACTCCCACCTTTCTTCTACTCAAGGATGCAAGTGAATGAAGTATTATTATATGAATAAGCTTAAATCTACTTTGATTCCTTTTTGAAAAAATAAAACATTTATCAACTTTGATTTTTAAAATCTATTACTAGGAACAAATTGTTTTCAGTATACCTCAGAACTAATCAGGGAAATACTGCATTGAAAACCACTATTCTAGAGAAAGGTAATGATAAAATATTAATGGCACTGGCCGGAATACTAGTTTACATTGATAGCCTAAGCAGGAAAATAACTTAGGAACGTAAGTATGCTGCCTGTACCCACCTTCTGTTATGCCAGTTGGCTGCCTCTTATGCCTGTTATTACTGTTGTTTAATTGCCTGATTATTTTGAAACCTTTCTAACTGTATCTAATCTTGCCTTTTCCTAATTTGTTTTCTGCAGTGGCCAAGGTGATCCTTTTTCTTTTTTAAGTAAAATTAGATATTTTATTTTGAGGTAATTTTAGATTCACATGTAATTACAAGAAATAATGCAGAAATGCCTTCCATTTATTCAGTATACATTCATTGGAGGTGTCTGCTGGGCAATGGGGTTACAAGAATGAACAAGACAAAAGGGAGAGAAACAACAGACAGTGTTCATACAATGTGAGATTTAGAGGTCTGAGCTGGAAATTAAGAGTTCTAATCACCATTTGAAACCAGAGAGTGAATAAGATTAACTTTTTTAGAACTCTGAAAAATAAAGGCTTTACAGCAATCTGAGGAGGTTTTACTCAAGAAAAAGAAATAAATCTCATAAGAATATCACCTTTGACCTCAGCTGGTAATATGCCTGTCAGGTGGCTCAAATTTTTTTGTCACACTGCGCATGTTTGTGAAGTGATCACAGAAGTGCTCTGATTATTGATTTGGGGGTTTTACAAATAAATTTTAGCAAGTAGGCTAATACACAAATACAGAATCTGCAAATAGTGAGGCCCAACTATATATTCAGAGAACTAAAGGAAACATGCTTAAAGAATTAAAGGAGGCCAGGTGAGGTGCCTCACACCTGTAATCCCAGCACTTTGGGAGGCCGAGGTGGGAGGAGCTCTTGAGACCAGCCTGAGCAACATCTACATGTGCAACATGTAGAGACCCTGTGTCTACAAAAAAATTTTTCAAATTAGCTGGGTGTGGTAGTGTGCACCTGTAGTCCCAGCTATTCATGAGACTGAGGTGGGAGGATCACTTGAGCCTGGGAGGTCAAGGCTGCAGTGAACTATGATCATGCCACTGCACTCCCACCTGGACAAGAGTGAGCCTGTCTCAAAAAAAAAAAAAAAAAAAAAAAAAAACTAAAGTATGAGAACAATGTCTCAGTAAATAGAGAATATCAGTAAAAAGACAAATTATAAAAAACCAAAATGAAATTCTGAAGTCAAAAAGTGCAGCAACTCAAGTTAATTCACTAGAGAAGGTCAGCATCAAATTTGAATTACCAGAAGAAAGAATCAGCAAACTTGTCCAGTCTGAGAAATGATAGAGCCCAAAATGCATGAAATAGCAGAATCAAAGAGGCAAATGGACAATTCAAACATGAGAGTTGGAGACTTTAACACCCACTCTGAATAATGGGTAGAACAACTAGGCAACAAAGAAATGGAAGACTTAAACAATACTGTAAACCAACTGGACTGAGCAGACATCTATAGACTACTCCACCCAACAGCAGCTAAATATACATTCTTCTCAAATGCACATGGTCTATTCTCCAGGATAGACCATGTGTTAGCAAGTAAAACAAACCTAAATAAATTTTAAAGGATTGAAATACATAAAGTATGTTCTCTAACTACAGTAAAATAAAATTAGAAACCAATAGCAGAAGGAAATTTGGGAAATTCACAAATAAGTGAAATTTAACCTACCTTCCCAAATAACCAATGGATTAAAGAAAAAAAAAGAAATTAGAGAGTAAGTTTTTGTTGTATTTTGTTTTGTTGTTTTTGAGACAGGGTCTCACTCTGTCCCTCAGACTGGAGTGCAGTGGCAGAATCATAGTTCACTGCAGCCTTGAACCTCCTGGGCTCACGTGGTCCTCCCACTTCAGCCTCCCAAAGTGTTGAGACTACAGGCATGAGCCACCATGCCCAGCCCAGAAAATACTTTGAGATGAATGATGAAACACAACATACCAATATTTATGGAGGGAAATTTCTATTTGTAAAATGTTGATTTTAAAAAAGAAATATCTTAAGCCAATAACCTAACGATTCACCTTAAGAAACTAGAAAAAGAAGAGCAAATTAAACTGAAAGCAAGCAGAAGGAAGGAAATAATAAAGATTAGAGTATAAATAAATGAAATAGAGAATAGAAAATCAATAAAGAAAAGTAATAAAGTTCTTTGAAAAGATTGACAAAATTGATATACTTTCAGTTAGACTGAACAAGAACAAAGAGAATACTCAAATCAGGAATAAAAAAGGAGATACCATCAACCTTACA
Source organism: Homo sapiens (assembly GCF_000001405.40). Lineage (NCBI taxonomy): Eukaryota > Metazoa > Chordata > Mammalia > Primates > Hominidae > Homo > Homo sapiens. The sequence goes on from NC_000001.11 coordinate 40,216,098, forward strand.
GAAATAAAAAGGATTATAAAGGAATACTCTGAACAACTGTTTGCCAACAAATTACATTACTGGATGAAATGAACAAATTTCTAGAAAGATAAAACCCACTGAGGCCAGGTGCGGAGGCTCAACGCCTGTAATCCTAGCGCTTTGGGAGGCCAAGGCGGATAGATCACATGAGGCCAGAAGTTTGAGACCAGCCTAGCTAACATGGTAAAACCCCGTCTCTACTAAAAATACAAAAAACAAATCAGCTGGGCGTGGTGGCACACACCTGTAGTCCCAGCTACTCAGGAGGCTGAGGCAGGAGAATCGCTTGAACCCGGGAGGCAGAGGTTGCAGTGAGCTGAGATTGTGCCATTGCACTCCAGCTTGGGCAACAAGAGCGAAACTCTGTCTAAAAAAAAAAAAAAGAGAGAGAGAAAGAAACCCACAGAAACTGACTCACAGATAAATAGAAAACCTGAATATACCTATGACTAGTAAAGAGGGTAATTTAAAAATTTCCCACATCCACAGGGCCTCACTGTACAAAACATTTACGGAAGAATTAATACCAGTCCTTCACAAAGTATTCCAAAAAATAGAAAAAGAGGGAACACTTCCCAACTTATGCTATGAAGCCAGTATTACTTTGATACTAAAACCAAACAAAGGCATCCTAAGAAAGAAAACCACAGACCAGGCCAGGTACGGTGTCTCACGCCTGTACCAGCACTTTGGGAGGCAGAGGCGGGCAGATCACTTGAGGTCAGGAGTTCGAGTCCAGCCTGGACAACATGGTGAAACCCCGTCTCTACTAAAAATACAAAAATTAGCGAGGTGTGGTGACACGCACCTGTAATCCCAGCTACTCAGGAGGCTGAGGCAGAATTGGATGAACCCAGGAGGCGGAGGTTGCAATGAGCTGAGATCGTGCCACTGCACTCCAACCTGGGTGAGAGAGTGAGACTCTGTCTCCAAAAAAAGAGACAAGAATTCCAGAATGTCCACTCATGCAACTTCTGTTCTTATTGATCTCTTTGCCTCTATATTCTCCTCACCTTCTCCTTTTTTTCTGGGCTGTTGAATACATCTGTAAAAACTCTTACTTAAGGCTGGGTATGGTGACTCATGCCTATAATCCTAGCTCTTTGGGAGGCTTAGGTTGGGGGAACATTTGAGGCCAGGAGTTCAAGACCAACCTCGGCAACAATATGAAACTCCATCTCTACAAAAAAATAATAAAATAAACTGGGCATGATGGTGGGTGACTGTAGTCCCAGCTACCTTGGAGGCTGAGGCAGGAGAGAGGATCACTGGTACCTAGGAGTTCGAGGCTGCAGTGAGCTGCCATCGTACCACTACACTCTAGCCTGGGCCACGGAGCAAGACCCTGTCTCTTATAGTAAAAAACAAATGGGCCGGGTGCAGTGGCTCACTCCAGTAATCCTAGCACTTTGGGAAGCCGAGGCGAGCAGATTGCCTGAGGTCAGGAGTTCGAGACCAGCCTGGGCAACACGGTGAAACCCCATCTCTACTAAAATACAAAAAATTAGCTGGGCGCGGGAGCGTACGCCTGTAGTCTCAGCTACTCGGAAGGCTGAGGCAGGAGAATTGCATGAACCCGGGAGGCGGAGGTTGCAGTGACCCGAGATTGCGCCACTGCACTCCAGCCTGGGCAACAGAGCAATCCGTCTCAAAAAAAGAAAGAAAGAAAGAAAGAAAAACCCAACTCCTACTTAAGTCACAACATAGCATAAGGTAAAAGAAGTAACATATAACCAGCATAGTATCACCTTTCTTTAAAATATGTATATATTTGCAGTAGTCACATATTAAACCCATGCTGTGTAACGTGTATGTAGACATAATACTGGAAAAAAATTCACATTGTTAATACTGGTTATCATTGAGTTGTAAGATTTAAGGATAGTTTTTATTCTGTTTTCTAGGTTTTCTATCGTAAATATTTTTGTAATGAGCAGAAATCTAGTAAATAGTAATTAAACTACAGGTTTCAAGTGATTTCTTTTGGATGTATATCCAAGTGAAAACAACAAAATTATCTGTTTTCCCCATAAAACCCCATGAGTAAGTTTCAGATCCTTTAGTCTTCTGTTATCATTGGCCTGTATGATAACTTTGTGGAAATCAGCAAAAAGTACCATCACCCTCTAACTCCACCTTCATATGGTTGCCTTTCAAAGGTCTTCCGTCTTCTGAGGGCAAAAGCCTCATTGGGGCTTGACAAGTGGACTGAATTTCAGCCCCCACTAACTCCCTTGGCTGGTTACTTTTGTGCCATGCAAAACTGCACAACTCTGTGACATGGCCTTATTCAGTCTGTCTTTCCCCCAGTGTATGATTTAGCTCTATCCTAAGTCTCTAAACTTGTTTAATTTAACCTTTCATTCACTGAGTGTCAGCTACGTGACATCACGCATTGCCGTTACATCAGATAACCTTTTCCCTCCTCACATGCCACAATTACTCTCACGTTAATTAGTTTGCTCATTCCAGCTTTGTATTTTTTGGGCTACATTCTCCCCTATCCATCTAGACTGCTATCTCCCCGAGAATTCTTTTCCTTGGAATCTTTGTGGCTTCCTTCAGTCAGTATTATTCTTCCTGTCTTCAGTTTTCTGTCCCATTTATTCTTCATGTTATTTATCTTATAGTTATTTTTCATTCTAACAAATAGTTATTGATGTTCATTCATGGGTCTGGCACTGTTGTAGGCACTGAAGATACAGTGGTGAAAGAAACAGACTTTTGCCCTCAGGGAACTTACATTTTAGTGGTAAAATAGTAAACATAATTGATTCTTTAAAACACGTGTTCAGTTTGTCTTAATAGCTATAGAATTGTAAGCCCCAGGACTAGAAATTATATTTAAGAACAAAAAATTGTTTCAGTATCTTAAGTATAAGATGTTTCCTAGATACTCATTAAAACTCTCAAAAGTTTGTTGGTGACCTTCATTTTAATTTACTTTAGCTGAGAAGTATTTTGTGGCATATATTTGTTTTTTAGTGTGGTCTTAGGTATTTATTGCAAAAGATTGAGGACAAGTAGTATAACCATATTTTATTAGTGAGGTGTTATCTCATTTTAATTTACATGAATTTTTTAAGTTATTTATTTACTTTTATTTCTTTATCATATCTTTTCCTCTATATTCAAGAAGGTACAGGTATTTGGGGCATAATACTGAGATTCTCTTCAAGTCAAAGGATATTAACTGAGTGCTTGTCATGTGAAGATCCTAAAACAGGTGCTAAGGGGGATAAAAGTATAAAATAAGATCTAGTATCTGTTTTCAAGGGATTTAGAGTCTATAAGGAAGAACAGATAACAGATATGAAAAAACTCTGGCTTCAGTTTTTCTCATTTGTAAAAATGATCAGATGTCTCATTTAGTTAAATGACAGTGGAAAATAAGTCTAGAGTGATATTCCTGTTATTAGCTCAGATAAGTGGGTGCAAGGCAAATGAGCTCTTGAATTGGAAGCTTATACAAAGCCCACACTATAAACTAGTTCCGCCTTCACAATAGAAACCTTGATGGAAGTAAAACAGTCAAGTTAATAGGTAATGAAAATGTGTGTGTGAGATACCATGCTTAGGAGTTATGAACCTCTTGATCAGAAATTTAATTATCAGGCATATTCGTGTATTTTAAAATGCCAGGTAAACAGCAATATTAAGAGCTAATTAAAAGAATGTTAGTATTTGCTGAAACTGCATAATTGGAGAAAGTTAAGTTTAATTTGAGACATTGGTAGAGAAAGTTAAACTTTGCTTGTTTAGGCCAGTGCAGGAGCATGTTTACCAACAATCCCTGTGGTAACTTAGAAGGCATGGAGATAATGATAATAGAAAAACAGAAGTACTGGCCAGGTGCGGTGGCTCACGCCTGTAATCCCAGCACTTTGGGAGGCTGAGGCAGGCAGATCATGAGGTCAGGAGATTGAGACCATCCTGGCTAACATGGTGAAACTAAAAATATAAAAAAATTAGCCGGGCGTGGTGTAGTAATCCCAGCTACTCGGGGGGCTGAGACAGGAGAATCACTTGAACCTGAGAGGCAGAGGTTGCAGTGAGCCAAGATCACGCCACTGCAGTCCAGCCTGGGCAACAGAGCGAGACTCTGTCTCAAAAAAGAAAAGAAAAACAAAAGTGCTTCTACTCCTAGCAACTCTCAAGAGTTGATGCTCCCACAGTATTGCTGGGTTACCCACAACTATACTGAAATATTTTATTTCTATTTCTATGCCATGCTCACTCTTATTAGGCCACTGCATGTGTTTTTCTTGTCCTGGAGTATCTTTCTCAGTTCACTCTCTCTTTGCCATGGCTTATTCCTACTCATTCATTCCTACTCATCTTAGGTGCCACTTTACCCAGAAAGTCTTTTTTGGTCCCCAAATTTGAGTTAGATTCTTCCTACCAAAGGTATTTTTAAAAAGTATACTCTCTCATTGTAGCTATTTGATTCTTAGTAACTGCTTCCTTACTAACAACCCTGACTAGACTGTGATATCCATTAGGGCAAAAATTAGATTGGCTTGCATCTCCAGTACTTAGCACGGTGCAGGTATTTAGCAAATGGCACTGCTTTGCTAGGCACATACATTTTGATATGGCTATTTTTCTTACAGGATTTTGTTTACAGTGGATTTGGGATATTATTTATAGAGCTGTGCTCTTGTCCTCAAGTTTATAGTCTAGCTGGAGAGCCATAGTGAAAGTGCATAAAAAAGTTAAATAATAGGGCCAGGGCATTGGCTCACAACTATAATCCCAACACTTTGAGAGGCTGAGGGAGGAGGGATCACTGGAGGCCAGGAGTTTGAGACCAGCCTGGGCAGCATAGTGAGACCTCATCTCTACAAAAATTAAAAAAAAAAAAAAAAAAAGGTGTGGTGGTACACACCTGTGGTCCCAGCTCCTTGAGAAACTGAGGCAGGAGGATCGCTTGAGCCCAGAAGTATGGAAACTTCAGTGAGCCGTGATTACCCTAACTGCACTGCAGCCTTGGCAACAGAGTAAGACACTGTCTTAAAAAAACTAAAAATAATAAAAGGTAAAGGCCAGTATGAGTAGGTTAAATGTTGGCCCAAGGCAGAATAAATAGCCCAATTTAAACATTTTTAATTTAAAAATGAACTTTGGACTCATTTTTTATTTGTGAAATAGAAATAATATTGCCTGCCTTGCCAGTCTTACAGATTTGTCATGTTGAGATATGAAAAAAAAAACAAGATAATACAGTAAAACTTATTTGAAAAAATAAAAGTTCTAGAAATAAGTGCTACAAAGGAGAAATTTGAGAGTGTTTGACAGCGAACCAAATAACATGACCTCAGAAGTTAGGAAAGGATTCTGTAAGAAAATAACATTTGAGCTGAGCTTTAAAAAAAGCCTTTCTGCACCTACCTGAAGATATGACTAAAATTAGAGCCTTAGAACCACCCCCTTGTAACTGCGTAGCGCACTGGAGGAGTTGAGCTGTTTACCTCATTTGCTCTGATGCAAAAAAAAAAAAGGCCGGGCACGGTGGCTCACGACTGTAATCCCAGCACTTTGGGAGGCCAAGGCGGGTGAATCACGAGGTCTGGAGATTGAGACCATCCTGGCTAACACAGTGAAACCCCGTCTCTACTAAAAATATAAAAAATTAGCTGGGCACGGTGGTGGGCGCCTGTAGTCCCAGCTACTCTGGAGGCTGAGGCAGGAGAATGGCTTGAACCCGGAAGTCGGAGGTTGCAGTGAGCTGAGATCGCGCCACTGCACTCCGGCCTGGGCGACACAGCGAGACTCCGTCTCAAAAAAAAAAAAAAAAAAAGAGAAAGGAAAGGAGCCCCAGAAAAATTTGATTGATTTGTCCAGAGGATTTTTATTTGTTTTTTGTTTGTTTTTTTAAGATTTAAGTCATATAAATGAAAAGATATATTTCTAAAAAGGGTTTTGATGGTCTGAAAAACTCATTAATACACTAGATATTTTCCTTCTATGAAAAAATGATGTTAATGTAGCATTTGTATTTAAAGCAGTTCCTGAACTGGCCTCCTTTAGCCCCACTGATATTGAGGATAAGCCATATGTTTTACTATCTGTAACCAGAGTGACCCAGCTGTGGTCATAGATACTAGGGGAAGACAGGAACAGGAAAGAAAAAAAAACATAGTAATACTTCAGGTAAAAATAACCTGAGATTATTATATATAATTTGACTCATCTATATGGTAGCAATGTTCGTAATTTTTTTAAACTGCAAAAATGTTTTTATCTGTATTGAGACTGTAGTAGAACTTCCTTATAGTGTCTGTTCCCTTCTTTAATATTTTCTTATGTGAAATATTCATGCAAGAAGACTCATTCATTAGCAGGAGAAAATTATGTCTCTAATTTTTGCCTCATTAAGAAGTTTCACCTTATATAACAAAGTTTACTGAAAAGTCACCATTTTCTTTTTGACTTAGTCATCTCATTTTTGATAGATTGCAAAGGTCGACTGCAAGGAAGTACTAGACATCATTTGTAATCTGGAATCTGAGGGGCAGGATAACACAGCATTTGTTCTTTGTACGACTTACCTTACCCAGCAGCTCCAAACTGCAAGTGTATATTGTTCTTGGTAAGTATATTTAGTTTTACACTCTTTATTTGTTAGTACATAGTATAGCATTTAGGGTTTATGTAAAATGTTAATTTGTTTCTAATTTAAAACCTAGCATGACCTGTGAATAGCTTCTTGCTTCCACACACAATCATTTAATTAAAAATATCATTGGTTTAATCTAGTCAAGAAAAGGTAAAATGTTCCTCTTGATCATCCCATAATGGGTTGTCTGTTAACTCCAATATATGTCTTCTACCTTGAAGATAAAATTTTGTCAATATGAAACAAACCTGTGTTAGTTAGATTGTTTTTCTTTTCATTTTTTTAGTATCTTCTGGGTAGTCACTCCCCATTCTTATTTGGGAACCCACAAATGAAAAGGATCAAATTATCTAGGTTTCTAGGTCAAACTAGCACTAAAAAAGGAAATTCACTTGAATAGTAATCTCTTTTGCAACTTTGGAACTATATAGTTGAATTGCATTATTTTGGTTTTAATTCAATTTATATCTTGTTTGCCTACAGAATACTTAGTTGCTAAAAAGGAAACAGTAAGTGTATCCGTGGTTCTTTCATTCTAACTGTATTGAATCTATTTAGGCCAAAGGGACAAACCTGATACACAGGAAACCTCTAAAATGTAAGACTCTCTGTCAGTAAGTATCAGATTAGTGGTATGGATAATGCTATAGGAGATCAGAGAGAGGTGCTCACTGTATACCAGAGTATTAAAGGTGTCAGGGAGGAAGTAATATTTGAGATTTAATTCTAAGAATGGGTTGGATTTGCATTATCTTGATTAGAGGAGCTCTGAGTATTTCAGAACCTAAGGATGGCTTAAAATTGGAAATGAGCATTTTGTTTATAGGAAAACCTAGTAAAGCCTTTTGTGTACTTCAGCCCTCATTGATCTCCCTCTGGATCGTCTGTCTATTTTTATAGTTTTATGGTTAATACCATTGTATGTTACTATATTTCTTTTTGTTTATTATTTTATGTAGAAATTTTGTGTACTGTAATCTCACCCAGTCCTCATAATAATCATTGCACAGGTGAGGCAGTGGGAGGATCATAGGGACCAGAGAAAACTTGTAATTGTCCATGGTCTCAAGGCTAAAGTGGTAGAGCTGAGATTCAAGCCCAGGTTTTAGACTTCTAATCCAGTGCTTTTCTTCTGTATACTTGTTTTCTTGGCATAGGCCAAAATTCAAATTGTAGTTTTTTACCACCAAATCCACTATGCCAGAGTTATACCTCCTGTGAGAAAGGAGATAGTGGGATAGCGACTTAAATATAATTTCTTTATAATGAAAAAATATCCACCATTATAGCTAGGTTTTCAGTACGAATAATAAATTAAATCATATATAGAATGTGTTATAGATTGTGTTTAAAATTTTTCTCCCCTTCTTCAGTCAGCCACCATTCACTCTTCCAGAGCTGTTAGTGGCTCTAGGATTAATGCTGTTCTTCTGTAGCAGGAAGAGATGAATGGAGATTTCCCTTTGTGGCCTCCTCAGGAGCTATAATGAGTAAAGGAAAGAAAATCTTAGTCATTTCACACTTTGTTAAAAGGAGCTTCTTTCAAGCAATTCAAGGAGCAATTGCATCTTTTTTTTTTTTTTTTTTTTGAGACGAAGTCTTGCTCTGTCACCCAGGTTAGAGTGCAGTGGTGTGATCTTGGCTCACTGCAACCTCCGCCTCCCGAGTAGCTGGGATTACAGGTGCACACTGCCACGCCCGACTAATTTTTGTATTTTTGGTAGAGACTGGGTTTCACCATGTTGGTCAGGCTGGTCTCAAACTCCTGACCTTGTGATCCACTGCCTCAGCCTCCCAAAGTGCTAGGGTTACAGACGTGAGCCACTGCGCCTGGCCACATCTTTTTTTTTTTTTTTTTTTTTTCCCCTTCCATTGTTTTTGAAAGCTTTTTTTTTTTTTTTTTTTTTTTTTTTTTTTGGTAGTGGGATGCTGGAGTTAGAATATTAGAATAACATAAAACATTGAATTTTGGCCAGGCATGGCTCATGCCTGTAATCTCAGCACTTTGGGAGGCCAAGGTGGGTGGGTCAGCTAAGGTCAGGAGTTCAAGACCAGCCTGACCAACATGGTGAAACCCCGTCTCTACTAAAAATACAAAAATTAGCCGGGCATTTTGGCAGACACCTGTAATCCCAGCTACTCGGGAGCCTGAGGTACCAGAATCACTTGAACCTGGGAGGCGGAGGTTGCAGTGAGCCGAGGTCATGCCAGCCCAGGAGACAAGAGTGACTCCGTCTCAAAAACAAAAAACAAAAAACATTGAATTTTACTAAGGAAAATTAATCACAGGAATTCTGTTCATATGAGATAGATCTTTTGTTATGCTTGAGGTAGTGGGACATAAGGAGTATTTGTTTAGAAAAAAATTTTAAATTAAGTGGTATTTTGGATAAGAGAGATATCAGTATTTTTTAAATGTGACAATAAAGTTAAAATACAATAATAAAAGTAGTCATGCTTATTTTTAAACACATACGCTAGAATTTATGTCTTGGGAGTATCATTCTTGAGTGTAGTTACCATGAAGATAATATTTGAAATGTAAACTATGTAGCTATTGGCCAGGCGCAGTAGCTCACGCCTGTAATCCCAGCAATTTGGGAGACTGAGGCGGGTGGATCATTTGAGGTCAGGAGTTCGAGACTAGCCTGGCCAACATGGTGAAAACCCATCTCTACTTAAAATACAAAAATTAGCCGGGCGTGGTGGCGTGTGCCTGTAATCCCAGCTACCCTGGAGGCTGAGGCAGGAGAATTGCTAGACCCCTGGAGGCAGAGGTTGCAGCGAGCTGAGATCGTGCCACTGCACTGCAGCCTGGGTGACAGAGCAAGACTCTGTCTCAAAAAAAAAAAAAAAAAGCCGGGCGCGGTGGCTCATGCCTGTAATCCCAGCACTTTGGGAGGCCGAGACGGGCAGATCACAAGGTCAGGAGATCAAGACCATCCTGGCTAACACAGTGAAACCCTGTCTCTACTAAAAATACGGAAAATTAGCCGACCTGGTGGCGGGCGTGCCTGTAGTCCCAGCTACTCGTAAGGCTGAGGCAGGAGAATAGTGTGAACCTGGGAGGCAGAGCTTGCAGTGAGCCGAGATCGGGCGCCATTGCACTCCAGCCTGGGTGACAGAGCGAGACTCCGTCGCAAAAAAAAAAAAAAAAAAAAAAAAAAGCCGGATGGTAGTGGTACGCACCTATAATCCCAGCTACTCAGGAGGCTGAGGCAGGAGAATCGCTTGAGCCTGGGAGTGGAGGTTGTGATGAGCCAAGATCACACTGCAGCACTCTAGTATGGGTGACACAATGAGACCCTGTCTCAAAAAACCAAACAAAAACAAAAAACTATGTAACTGTCACTCAGAACGGTTTTTATTATTTTAGAAATTTCGCTCAGAGACATTTACAAACCACAGTAAAAAGTAAAAATGTTTTAAACTTTATAGCAGTTATGTTTAACTTATTTATTAATCTTGACCCCAAAAGATTTTTGGCTGTTGAAGAAAATTAAAGAAGTACTAGAGGAGTAAGCTCCCTGTAGATGCCTCTCAGTGGTAACGTAATTGGAATAGTCATGCATTTGAAAAAGGTGACCATTTTGAGTGAGATGGTGTTTGTATATAGAGAGGTGTAATTACGGCAGCCATTTTAAAGTCATAAAGTTGAACTTTGAACCTCCACAGTAAGCTTTCAGTGAGTATTTGATAGACTGGCCTTTGATTTCTGTAATGTGCTAAGCTTAAATTTTGTGTTACACATTTGTATTTCTTCAGATGTAGTTACATGTCTGTTCTGCCCCAGCTAGACTGTGATATACTAACCAATATGTTGTCTAATTCACGGTTGTGTCCTAAGTAACTGGCGAAGACTAGCATATGTGTTTTATTTAACAGAATTGTATGGGAGAGAAAAGAGGTCATGGGGGTCAATTACTATTGTAATAGCTTTAAAAATTTTTTTTTTCTGTAATAGCCTTTTTTAGGGGATGATCATCCCTTAATTCCACAGTTTTATTTACTTCATTCCTAAAATACCTAAATTCTGAATCTCAGTGTAACATGTTAACTGGACTTCATGGGCTTCTTGCTATGTAGAAACACAGAGTGATGTTTGTATGTATATATGTGTGTATGTATTTATTCATTTATTTTTGAGATAGAGTTTTGCTCTTGTCACCCAGGCTGCAGTGCAATGGTGCAGTCTCAGCTCACTGCAACCTCTGCCTCCCGGGTTCAAGTGATTCTCTGCCTCATCCTCCTGAGTAGCTGGGATTATAGGTGCCAGCCACCACGCCTGGCTAATTTTTTATATTTTTAGTAGAGATAGGGTTTCACCATGTGGGCCAGGCTGGTCTCGAGCTCCTGACCTCAGGTGAGCCACCACACTGGCCAAAACACAGAGTAATTTAAAGTTCTTGCTTAGTAGCTAAATTCCTACCAAAATGTGCTTCTTGCTGTTAACAGAGCTAAATTTCCTTTCCGATTTTTATAAATTTATATATAATTTGTTGAAATGAGCTAGGTAATGGGCTAAATCAAGGGTACAGTACATCATCTGAACATTGGCAGCATACATACAGTGGAATCATTTTCCATGATTTTCAATGGTTGGCTTTGTTTAAAAAAGTCACATTATTGTAGTAATTGAAGAAGAACTTATCCTAGCGCATGTTTGATCTGTCAGGCTGTAGGTTACTATTGGATGTTGATTTCAGTGTTCCAGTGTACAGATTTGAATGGATGATTGAAGTGACATCTTGCATCCTCATGAGTAACATACTGGCTGTCGTGGTTTCAGGCATGTTTATATATTTGGGTGGGTAATCATTTTACATCAATTTATAACTATGCAAATATTTTTACAAAATACACCATAAAATGCCCATTTTTGATCATGCTTATTTGGAGTTAACATACTTGGAGCCTGAAATACTTAATTTGGAATAAACCAAGCCCTGGACATTCTGACTTACTGTTTTAAAAATTATTTGAGTGGCCAGGCATGGTGGTTTACACCTGTAATCCCAGCAGTTTGGGAGGCCAGGGCAGGTGGATCATGAGTTCCGGAGTTCAAGACCAACCTGGCCAAGATGCTGAAACCCCGTCTCCACTAAAAATACAAAAAATAGCTGGGGATGGTGGCGGGCACCTGTAATCACAGCTACTAGGGAGGCTGAGGCAGGAGAATCGCTTGAACCTGGGTGGCAGAGGTTGCAGTAAGCCGATATCGCACCACTGCACTCCAGCCTGAGGGACAGAGCAAGGCTCCATCTGGGGGGAAAAAATTTATTTGAGCCTGTAATCCCAGTACTCTGGGAGGCTGAAGTGGGTGGATCTCTTGAAGTCAGGAGTTCGAGACCAGCCTGGCCAACATGGTGAAACCCCATCTCTACTAAAATTACAAAAGTTAGCCAGGCATAGTTGCGTGCGCCTGTAGTCCCCAGCTACTCAGGAGGCTGAGGCAGGAGAATTGCTTGAACTTGGGAGGCAGAGGTTGCAGTGAGCCGAGATCATGCCACTGCATTCGAGCCTGGGCAACAGAACAAGACTCCATCTCAAAAAAAAAAAAGCCAGGCGTGGTGGCTCATGCATGTAATGTAATCCCAGCACTTTGGGAGGGCAAGGTGGGCGGATCACCTAAGGTCAGGAGTTCAAGACCAGCCTGGCCAACATAGCGAAACCCCGTCTCTAAAAATACGAAAATTAGCTGGGCGTGGTGGTGGGTGCCTGTAATCCCAGCTACTCGAGGGAGGCTGAGGCAGGAGAATCACTTGAACCCGGGAGGCGGAGGTTGCAGTGAGCCAAGATCATGCCATTGCACTGCAGCCTGGGCGACAGCGTGGACTCCATCTCAAAAAAAAAAAAAAATTATTTGAGACACCTTAGTTCTCAACCTGCCTTTTACCACTTTAATGGATTTACCTAACTTTGTTGCCAGGCTGGAGTATAGTGGCAAAATCGAAGCTCGCTGCAGCCTTGAACTCCTGGGCTCAAGTGATCTCCCACCTCAGCCTTCCAAGTATCTGGGATTATAGGCATGAGCCTCTGTGCCCAGCTTTAGTTAGTGAATTTTATTTTATTTGAGAGAAGATATTACTCTGTCACCCAGGCTGGAGTATACTGGTGAGATCACAGCTTACTGCAGCCTTAAATCCTGGGCTCAATGACCACCCTGCCCGCCCCCCGCTGCCTCTGCCTCCTCAGTAATTGGGACTACAGGTGTGCCACCAAGAGTGGCTAAGCTTTTTTTGTTTGGTTGGTTTTAGGGTCTTACTGCGTTGCTCAGGCTGGTCTTGAACTCCTAGCCTCAAGTAATCCTCTGCTGAGGTTATAGGGATGAACCACCATGCCCAGCCCTGCAGTAAATTTTAGATAGTTGACATCATTTACTCATTTATCGTTATAATCAGGATTTACTGGCTTTGATAATTTTTGTTCTGTTCAAATAGGACAGATTTCACATACATATGACAGATTACAAAAATTTTTATTACTTAACGTGCTTAAATCTGAATAAAGCAATTGTGTGTTTAAAAATGAACAGTTATCCCAGCTTGCCTGGTTGGTGGCTATTTTCACAGCTGGCCTATCTCAATTTTCACTTCTTGTGGTTAGGAAAGTAGCACTAGCCAAATAAAGGCAAATATTTAAAGGCATTTTAAATTAATTATATTGGTTATAGCTCAAATTTGCCATCCTGTTAAGCTTTATTCATTTATCTTTTTTTTTTTTTTTTTTTTTTTTGAGACAGAGTCTTGCTGTGTCACCCAGGCTGGAGCGCAGTGGTGCAATCTCGGCTTACCGCAACCTCCACCTCCCGGGTTCAAGCAATTCTCCTGCCTCAGCCTCCTGAGTAGCTAGGATTACAGGCATGCACCACCACACCCAGCTAATTTTTGTATTTTTAGTAGAGACGGGGTTTCACCATGTTGGCCAGGCTGGTCTCGAACTCCTGACCTTGTGATCCACCTGCCTTGGCCTCCCAAAGTGCTGTGATTACAGCCATGAGACACCACGCCCGGCCAGTCATTTATCTTTTGAGACACCATATATTCATTTCAATCTTTGAAGCGAGTTTTATAACTACTTAAAAATTTCACCTTATGCCGGGCACGGTGGCTCATGCCTGTAATCCCAGAACTCTGGGAGGCCGAGGCAGGCAGATCACCTGAGGTTGGGAGTTAGAGACCAGCCTGACCAACATGGAGAAACCCCATCTCTACTAAAAATACAAAATTATCCAGGCGTGGTGGCACATGCCTGTAATCCCAGCTACTTGGGAGGCTGAGGCAGGAGCATTGCTTAAACCTGGGAGGTGGAGGTTGCGGTGAGCCAAGATGGTGCCATTGCACTCCAGCCTGGGCAACAAGAGCAAAGCTCCGTCTCAAAAAAAAAAAAAAGAAGAAAAGAAAATCACCTTACAAGAGCCCCAGTTCCCTCTTTAGAAATATAAGAAAATAAATTCCGTTAAATATATTTACTTTAAATTACATGTTTTCATTTCTTAAGCTTTGGATTTGTAGCCAACTTTCTGGGAGACAGTCTGTGTTAATAGCAATATAGGATATCAGTGTTTTTAAATTGGCTTATGAAAAAGTACAGATTTTTAAATGAAAATTATTTAATCAGTATCCATTGATTTACTTAAAAGAGCCACATGTATTAAGTGATAGCATTCTTTTTAGTTTAGTGTTTTTTTTGTTTGTTTGTTTTGTTTTTTTGAGATGGAGTCTTGCTCTGTCGCCTAGGCTGGAGTGCAGTGGCGCTATCTCAGCTCACTGCAACCTCCACCTCCCAGGTTCAAGCGATTCTCCTGTTCTCAGCCTCCCAAGTAGCTGGGATTACAGGCATCCACCACCACACTCAGCTAAGTTTTATATTTGTAGTAGAGATGAGGTTTCACCATGTTGGCCAGCCTGGTTTCGAACTCCTGACCTCAAGTGATCTGCCCCCCTTCACCTCCCAAAATGCTAGGATTACAGGCATGAGCCACCCGCCATGCCCGGCCTCTTTTTAGTTTTGCTATTAGAAGTGATAACATTCTTTTTAGTTTCACTATTAGCTTTCCTTGCATTCACATTTTACATTCTCTCATTAGCATTTCTATCCTTGGCATTGTTGAGTTTCTAATGCTTTTTTGCGTGAGTGTTTTACCCATTAAATGTTTTTGTTTAATTTATTATTTTCAAGCTTTCCTTTTGTTTCCATAATGAATCTTTGTGAGATTCCTGTATTTTAGCCATTTCCAAAAAGTGCCATTTTACTTATTTCACTGGAAGTATTTAACCATTCCAAACTACAGGCTCTAAGTAGCATCCTGACATTTTAGATCTGGAAAGGGCCCTTTAAGATCACTGTATAGAAGTGTACCATTAGAGTGTCTTTGTTGTATATATATTTCGTTGTTAATTTAGTGATGGCTGATTATTTCTGCCCATTAGGACAGGGCTTAATTCAATCAGTATATTAATCACCAGTGTGAAGGATAAAACCTTTTAGAACAACATGGGATCTAAATAAGTTTTTTTTAAATGCCACTGTTAAGGAGGTAGTGTTTTGTTTTTATTTTTCCCCCTAAACACAAGAGAGAAGTCAGGGAATTGTTACGGAGGATTCTTAACAATTTTATCAGTTTGGGAGAAAGCAGTGGTGAATATAGACAGCTTTTAATCTAGTTTTTGTTTTCTCTACTGTCAGCTTTCTACAGATCAAAAAATTGGGTTGCCGGGGGCAGGGCAGCAAATACCAGTTACTTTAAATGTTTTACCATGATCTTCTTTTTTTATAGGGAACTGACTCTTTTTTGGAGTAAACTGCAAAGAAGAATTGACCCTTCTTTAGATACTTTTTTGGAGCGCTGTCGTCAGTTTGGTGTCATAGCTAAAACGCAGCAGCATTTATTTTGCCTCATTAGAGTTATACAAACTGAAGTGAGTACTTTATGCCTTCTCTGCTAACTGTAGCTGGAGGAAAGAAATGAGTGGGAAGATAACTTCTCAGGAAATTCCCTTTAAAGGAAGATAAGAAATAATGAGTTTTAATAAGATTAATGGAATTGACCACATCTGACTGTTTCTCCAGATTGACTTCCTATAATTAATCAGAAACAAATTGATGGTCAAACAAGTTAGGTGATATTTATTTCTAATTACTGTGAATGAAGTTGTGTCTCCTGTCACGTTAAGAACATTTTAAGAGGCCAGGCACGGTGGCTCAAGCCTGTAATCCCAGCACTTTGGGAGGCCAAGGCGGGTGGATTACTTGAGCTCAGGAGTTCGAGACCAGCCTGGCCAACCTGGTGAAACCCCGTCTCTACTAAAAATACAAAAATTAGCCGGGCATGGTGGCGGGCGCCTGTAATCCCAGCTACTTTGGAGGCTGAGGCAGGAGAATCGCTTGAACAGGGAAGGCGGAGGTTGTGGTGAGCCAAGATTGCACTGCTGCACTCCAGCCTAGGTGACAGAGTGAGACTTGGTCTTTTTTTTTTTAAAAAAAAAAAAAAGAACATTTCAAGGTAACTATAGAACTTGCCTGTTTAAACAATTACTTTATAATTGGCCATTAGAACATTTTGTTTTGTTTAAATCTTTAATAAAGGTACTAATTTTCTATTGTTGAATAACATCACAAAAATTAATACTTAAAACAATGTCCGTTTTTATCAGTTCAGTTTTGTAAATCAGAAATCCAGCACAATGTGGCAGGATTCTCTTCTAAGATTATCATATTGGCTAAAATGTAGTTTGCCAGGCTAAGTTCTATCAGAGGCTCTGTGGAAAATCCACTTCAAAGCTTATTCTTATCGACAGGTTTCAGTTCCTGTGGTTGTAGGACTAAGGTTTCTGTTTTCTGGCTGGCTGCCAATCAGGGTCTGTTCTCAGGTGCTAGAAGCTACACTCAGTCTTTACCTCTGTTTTCAAGCAGCAAGGGTGCAACAAGTTGGTGCTTGAAACCTGACATCCTCCATCTCTGACTTTAGTTTTCAGTTTTTGGTTGAGACAGGTCTCGCTCTGTCACCCAGGCTGTAGTGCAGTGGTGCGATCATAGCTCATTACAGCTTCAAACTCCTTGGCTCAAGCAATCCTCCCGTCTCAGCCTCCAGAGTAGCTGAGATTGCAGGCGTGTGCCACTATACCTGGCTTTTTCTTTTTTGGCGGGGAGCAGTGGTAGATACAGGGTCTTGCTTTGTTGCCCAGACTGGTTCTGAACTCCTGGCCTCAAGCAATTCTCCCACCTCAGCCTTCCAAAGTGCTGGGATTATAGGTGTAAGCTGCCCCACCTGCTTGAACTTGGGAGGCAGAGGTGGCAGTGAGCCGAGATCACACCATTGCACTCCAGCCTGGGCGACAGAGTGAGACTCTGTCTCAAAAAAAAAAAAAAAAGCAAAGATTGAATGACTTGGCTATATCCTATGTGCGCTTGCAACAGTATGCCAAGTCACTCTTGATCCCTCACCTTCCTAGTTTAAGACCCACCAATTTCTTCAAAATTCAGCTCCACATTGCATATCCTGATTCACATTTATTCACTACTCCTTTCAGTAACTTTTTGGCATATCTGTTCAGAATATATAATAGTATTTCTGGTTACTTTTCTTTGAAAAATGTTGTTAGTGATTTTTCAAATGTTACCATCCCAGCCAGATTAGGCTGTTTAAGAAAGAATGGCCATTCTTTGCTGTCCACCTCACAGTCTTCCAAAAGGAGTTAGTAACTTGTTGAGAAACTGAATTATTTTAAAATTTAGCTGACTTTCCCCAAGTCCTCTCTGCTCTTACTTACAAATGATAAACTTCTATCACATCATCCTAATAAGTCAAGAGACCCATGGTCTAGTCCTGTGGAGCCACTAAAGCAACATGGCCTGTTTTACTTGGACTACATTCCAAATGAGAGGGAGAAACTTCTATATTCTTTAGGCCACTACTGTTGTGGGAAGTCTGCCACTCACAACAGAACCAGATCCTAGCTGATACAGGCTAGGTAATGCCTCTCTTTCAAAAAAGCTAGAGTCTCAGCTCGTCTGAAAGGTAGGGAGTTATCTCAATTGATTGTTCACAGTCAGTTACAGACTGAACTCTGTTCTACTCTTTCCCCCTTCTCACTATTACACTTGACTAGTTTTAAAGAAAAAAAAGTTGGAGTCTCAGTTTGCAAGGGATTCTACACTCACTCACTCCCTTTTCACCTACCAGTCCACATCTCTTCTACTCTTCAGGCCAAATATCTTCTTTTTTTTGAGACGGAGTCTCACTCTGTTGCCCAGGCTGGCATGCAGTGGCGTGATCTCAGCTCACTGCAACCTCCGCTTCCCAGGTTCAAGGGATTCTGATGCCTCAGCCTCCCAAGTAGCTGGGGCTTTGGGCCTGCATCACCATGCCTGGCTAATTTTTTGTATTTTTATTAGAAATGGGGTTTTGCCATGTTGGCCCTGCTGGTCTTAAACTCCATGCCTCAAGTGATGTGCCTGCCTCGGCCTCCCAAAGTGCTGGGATTACAGGTGTGAGCCACTGTGCCCGGCCTAAATGCTTTTAAGTCCTTGCTCCTCTGCTCACTAGTTAGTGACATTGGGCAACTTAACGTTCTGAGTGTTGGGGGTTTTTTGTCTATAAAATGAGGATAATACGTGCAAAAAAGTTTATTTCAAATAAGTGCCTAGGCTGTAGTAGGGGTTCTGTAAATCAATGACAGTGATTTCTTTGTGTTCCCAGCATTTAGAATGAATGATGCCCAACACAGAATTAAATGCCTGGCAAATTGTTTACTGATTTAAACAGTGGAATTTACTCCATTATTTTACATTGTATTCTGTTAAATAGTTACAATGTGCCAGCGTTATTATTTCATCTTTATAACCTTAGGAGGAAAATCTGTTATTAACATTACTGTTATCATTTTACCAATAAGGAAACTGAAGTTTAGAGGTTGAGAACTTGTCACTTGTTGTGAAGCTGGGGTTCAAAGGCAGTCAAAGTCTGATTCTAAAGTCTCTGCTCATAGCAGTGCGTTTTAAGCCACTCTGACATATCTTGCTTTTCTTTGCTCATGTCATTTTTGTATTTTATTTCAGCCTCTCAGATAAAAAGAGTTATCTTGTATGTACCAAGCTTTTATCACATATGACCAGGTCTTCCTAATTTTAAACTAGTTTCTGAGAACCTGCTGCCATAGCAAGATTTCTGATTTCTGTTTTTTCCCTGGAAAGCTGAGATTCAGTACACCTGTGACGGTGACTATAAATTACCAGATTCTTTCAGGAGGAAATGGAAAGGATCATTTATTTTATCTTTGAAGTTTTGAAAAATCCAAGTGTTCATGATAGAGAGAATTTTTTTTTTTTTTTTTTTTTTTGAGACGGAGTTTTGCTCTTGTTGCCCAGGCTGGAGTGCAATGGTGTGATCTTGGCTAAACTGCAACCTCCACCTCCTGGGTTCAAGCGATTCTGCTGCCTCAGCCTCCGAGTAGCTGGGATTACAGGCATGCACCACCACACCTGGCTAATTTTGTATTTTTAGTAGAGACGGGGTTTCTCCGTGTTGGTCAGGCTGGTCTCAAACTCAGGTGATACACCTGCCTCGGCCTCCCAAAGTGCTGGGATTACAGGCGTGAGCCACCGTGCCCAGCCAAAGAGAATTTCTTAAATTGAATTTAATCTTAGACTCACATCTATACCTGTGTTTCCTGTTGCTGCCATTTTAAACCCTGCCCCTCTACTCAACATCATTCTATTTTGAATCCTCCAGTGACCTTTTTTATCCTGAATTTCTTTGGATTCACATGCATTTATTGTTTATGCATTCGGGGTACAGATAAATTCCTTGGAAGTAAGGAACTGCTTTAATACACAGTGCCTAGTAAATGTACATTGTTCGTAGTTGTAGCATCTAATTTAGTTCTTTGCATGTTGAGACAAGAAATATCTAAATGTAACTTTCATGAAGAAAGATTTAAGATAAAATTTAGGAACTCTAAAAGTTTTTACAAGCTAAAATTCCTTATCAGTGAAAGTTATATAATCTTTCTGTATGCAAAAAAATAATTTTTTTATCCTCTTTTACTTACAGGCACAAGATGCTGGTCTTGGGGTGTCAATTTTACTGTGTGTCAGAGCTCTTCAACTCAGATCAAGTGAAGATGAGGAAATGAAGGCATCAGTTTGTAAAACAATTGCCTGTCTTTTACCAGAAGATTTAGAAGTTAGACGAGCCTGTCAGCTTACAGAATTCTTAATTGAACCCAGTTTGGATGGATTTAATATGTTAGAAGAACTATATTTGCAACCAGATCAAAAATTTGATGAAGAAAATGCACCGGTTCCAAATTCTCTTCGATGTGAGCTCTTACTAGCTTTAAAAGCCCACTGGCCTTTTGATCCTGAGTTTTGGGACTGGAAAACTTTAAAACGACACTGCCACCAACTTTTAGGACAAGAAGCCTCAGATTCTGATGATGATTTAAGTGGCTATGAAATGTCCATTAATGACACAGATGTTTTAGAGTCATTTCTCAGTGACTATGATGAGGGTAAAGAAGATAAACAATATAGAAGAAGAGATTTGACAGATCAGCATAAGGAGAAAAGAGACAAAAAACCTATTGGCTCTTCTGAAAGATATCAGAGGTGGCTTCAGTACAAGTTTTTCTGTTTGTTATGTAAGCGGGAATGTATAGAGGCTAGAATTCTTCATCATTCTAAGATGCATATGGAAGATGGAATTTACACCTGTCCAGTTTGTATTAAAAAATTTAAGAGAAAAGAAATGTTTGTTCCTCATGTGATGGAGCATGTTAAAATGCCACCAAGCAGAAGGGACCGCTCTAAAAAGAAATTACTGTTAAAAGGCTCTCAAAAGGGTATTTGTCCTAAGAGCCCCTCTGCAATCCCAGAGCAAAACCATTCATTGAATGACCAAGCCAAAGGAGAGTCTCATGAATATGTCACATTCAGCAAATTAGAAGATTGCCACCTGCAAGACAGAGATTTGTATCCATGTCCCGGTACAGACTGTTCCCGTGTGTTTAAGCAATTTAAATACTTAAGTGTGCATCTTAAAGCTGAACACCAAAATAATGATGAAAATGCCAAGCACTACTTGGATATGAAAAATAGAAGAGAGAAGTGTACTTACTGTCGACGACATTTTATGTCTGCTTTTCACCTTCGAGAGCACGAACAAGTGCATTGTGGGCCTCAGCCTTATATGTGTGTATCTATAGATTGCTATGCTAGGTTTGGATCAGTAAATGAACTACTTAACCATAAACAAAAGCATGACGATCTGCGTTACAAATGTGAATTAAATGGCTGTAATATTGTTTTCAGTGACTTGGGACAGCTTTACCACCATGAAGCACAACACTTTAGGGATGCATCTTACACATGCAACTTCCTTGGCTGTAAAAAGTTCTATTACTCCAAAATTGAATACCAGAATCACCTCTCAATGCATAATGTTGAAAATTCAAATGGAGACATAAAGAAATCAGTGAAACTTGAGGAGTCTGCAACAGGTGAAAAGCAAGATTGTATTAATCAGCCCCATCTACTTAACCAAACTGATAAATCACATTTACCTGAAGATCTTTTCTGTGCAGAATCAGCTAATTCTCAAATAGATACAGAAACTGCAGAAAACCTGAAAGAAAACAGTGACAGTAATTCTAGTGATCAGTTAAGTCATAGCTCTTCAGCTTCAATGAATGAAGAGCTAATTGACACACTAGATCACTCTGAAACTATGCAGGATGTATTGTTATCTAATGAGAAAGTCTTTGGGCCCTCCAGTTTAAAAGAAAAATGTTCCAGTATGGCAGTTTGTTTTGACGGGACTAAGTTTACCTGTGGTTTTGATGGCTGTGGTTCCACATACAAAAATGCAAGAGGAATGCAGAAACATTTACGGAAGGTTCATCCATACCATTTCAAGCCCAAAAAGATAAAGACGAAAGATCTGTTTCCCTCTTTGGGTAATGAACATAATCAGACAACTGAAAAGTTGGATGCAGAACCTAAACCCTGCTCAGATACAAACAGTGACTCCCCAGATGAAGGTCTAGATCACAATATTCACATTAAATGTAAACGAGAACATCAAGGTTATTCCTCAGAATCCTCCATTTGTGCTTCTAAAAGGCCCTGTACAGAGGATACCATGTTGGAACTTCTGTTACGCTTGAAACATTTAAGCTTGAAAAACTCAATAACACATGGATCTTTCTCAGGGTCATTGCAGGGGTACCCATCCAGTGGTGCTAAGTCTCTTCAGTCAGTTTCATCTATCTCAGACCTTAATTTTCAGAATCAAGATGAAAACATGCCAAGTCAGTACCTTGCACAGTTGGCGGCTAAGCCGTTTTTCTGTGAGCTTCAAGGATGCAAATATGAATTTGTGACCAGAGAGGCTCTGTTAATGCATTATCTTAAAAAGCATAATTATTCAAAAGAAAAAGTCCTTCAGTTAACCATGTTCCAACATCGGTATTCCCCATTTCAGTGTCATATTTGCCAAAGGTCATTTACAAGAAAAACACACCTTAGGATTCATTATAAAAATAAACATCAAATTGGCAGTGACAGAGCAACTCACAAACTATTAGATAATGAAAAGTGTGATCATGAAGGCCCATGTTCAGTAGATAGGTTGAAAGGTGATTGTTCTGCAGAACTTGGAGGTGATCCCAGTAGTAACTCTGAGAAACCACACTGTCATCCTAAAAAGGATGAATGTAGTTCTGAAACAGATTTGGAATCATCTTGTGAAGAAACAGAAAGTAAAACATCTGACATTTCATCACCAATAGGCAGCCATAGAGAAGAACAAGAAGGAAGAGAGGGCAGAGGTAGCAGGCGAACTGTTGCTAAAGGAAATCTGTGTTATATTTTGAATAAATACCACAAACCATTCCATTGTATTCATAAAACTTGCAACTCCTCATTCACCAATCTAAAAGGCTTAATTCGCCATTACAGAACTGTACATCAGTACAACAAAGAACAGTTATGTTTGGAGAAAGACAAAGCAAGAACCAAAAGGGAACTTGTCAAATGTAAAAAGATATTTGCTTGCAAATATAAGGAATGTAATAAACGCTTCCTGTGTTCCAAAGCTCTTGCTAAGCACTGTAGTGATTCTCATAACCTAGACCATATTGAAGAGCCTAAAGTACTTTCCGAAGCTGGATCTGCAGCAAGGTTTTCTTGTAACCAGCCTCAGTGCCCTGCTGTTTTTTATACATTCAACAAGTTGAAGCACCACTTGATGGAACAGCATAATATTGAAGGGGAAATACATTCAGATTATGAAATTCATTGTGATCTTAATGGCTGTGGCCAGATTTTCACCCATCGCAGTAATTACTCACAACATGTATATTACCGACATAAAGACTATTATGATGATTTGTTTAGAAGCCAGAAAGTAGCAAATGAGAGACTACTAAGGAGTGAAAAGGTATGTCAAACAGCTGATACTCAGGGGCATGAACATCAGACCACCAGGAGATCATTTAATGCTAAGTCTAAAAAATGTGGCTTAATCAAAGAAAAGAAAGCCCCAATAAGTTTTAAAACCAGAGCTGAGGCCCTCCATATGTGTGTGGAGCACTCTGAGCACACACAGTACCCCTGCATGGTTCAAGGATGCTTATCTGTGGTGAAGTTGGAGAGCAGCATTGTGAGGCATTACAAACGCACTCATCAGATGAGTAGTGCCTATTTAGAGCAACAGATGGAGAATCTTGTTGTTTGCGTTAAGTACGGTACCAAAATTAAGGAGGAACCCCCTTCTGAAGCAGATCCCTGTATAAAGAAAGAAGAAAATAGAAGCTGTGAATCAGAGCGCACAGAACACAGCCATTCCCCGGGTGACAGTAGTGCACCCATCCAGAACACTGATTGCTGTCATTCAAGTGAAAGGGATGGAGGTCAGAAAGGGTGCATAGAAAGCAGCTCAGTATTTGATGCAGATACTCTGCTCTACAGGGGAACTTTGAAATGTAATCATAGTTCCAAAACCACTTCCCTAGAACAGTGTAATATAGTTCAGCCTCCTCCTCCTTGTAAAATAGAAAATTCCATACCTAATCCCAATGGGACTGAAAGTGGGACTTATTTCACAAGTTTCCAGCTGCCTTTACCAAGGATCAAAGAATCAGAAACTAGGCAGCATAGTTCAGGGCAAGAAAACACTGTAAAAAATCCAACCCATGTCCCAAAAGAGAATTTTAGGAAACATTCACAGCCCCGGTCATTTGATTTGAAGACTTACAAACCTATGGGATTTGAATCTTCATTTCTGAAATTTATTCAGGAAAGTGAAGAGAAAGAAGATGATTTTGATGATTGGGAGCCTTCAGAGCACTTAACATTAAGTAATTCTTCACAGTCCAGTAATGATTTAACAGGGAATGTTGTGGCAAATAATATGGTGAATGACAGTGAACCTGAAGTTGACATACCTCATTCTTCCAGTGACTCTACAATTCATGAGAACCTGACTGCAATCCCACCTTTAATAGTAGCTGAAACAACAACAGTTCCTTCCTTGGAAAACCTGAGGGTTGTATTGGACAAAGCATTAACAGACTGTGGAGAGCTTGCCTTAAAACAGCTTCATTATCTTCGGCCAGTGGTGGTTCTTGAAAGATCTAAGTTTTCCACACCAATTTTAGACTTATTTCCAACAAAAAAGACAGATGAGCTTTGTGTAGGAAGTTCATAAGTAGCAATTTTGTTTTAGTAACAGACTGGCTCCAACACTGCAACATGGGGACATTTGCCAACTCGAACAAAGGCTGAGAAGCAGCCACACCGTTGTTTAGGGTAGAATAGGCTGTGTATTTACATGAATGTATAATATCTATGTCAGCAGTATTGGCTGAGTCCATTAGCTCTCCAGTTGGTTTAATGATTGGGTTTATTTTTGTTTGTTTGTTTATTAAAAAAATGGAACTGTACACTTGTTTGGTGCTAATTAATACATCAAAATATACTGGGGCTTCCTTTTTCAAATTAAGTGTGCATGATTGTATATGGAACAAATACTAAGGTCCCAGGGTGGGAGGGCTAGGGAAAGGGATATGGAGTTCTTACTTGACTTGAATGTGCACCTGAGGGTGCTTTGTGTAATATATTGTACACTACAGCATCTTATATTTTTTGAGTTGAGTTTCAATAAATTACAATTTTTCACCCATTCGTTGTTTACTCATAATGAGCTTTCATGCCACATGTAAACTGAAATTGCACTTGTATTTTCTGAAATATGCCATTCACATTTTACCCCAGTAATTTTTTTATTTATTATTAGCTAAATCATTCAGAACAAGGTTCTTTTTTTTTTTTTTTTTTTTAAGACAGAGTTTCGTTCTTGTTGCCCAAGCTGGAGTGCAATGGTGCAGTCTCGACTCACTGCAACCTCCTCCTCCCAGGTTCAAGTTATTCTCCTGCCCCGGCCTCCCAAAGTGCTGGGATTACAGGCATGAGCCACCGTGCCCATCCCAGAACAAGGTTCTTTTTATCTTAAAATTTTTGTTTTTGTGGAAAGATAATTCTGAGATTAATTAGCTGCGGGAGTCAAGATAGCTCCCAGAGGATGTCCAGATGTTGGCCGAGTAGAAAGGAGAGGATATGCCAACCTAGAACATGAAGGACGTAGCAAATTCAGAGGGCATGTTTCTAGGAAACTACAAATAATTTGATATGCTGGCAATAAAAGGGGAACAAGAGAGTGACATCATTGTAGAGATAGCAGGAACTAAATCATGAAGACTAAGGAGTTTGGATTTGAGTCTATAGGCATATATCAGTTGAAGTGTGGAGTGCTCACTTGATTTGAGAAGCTGAAATTGGAAACAGTATACTTGAAGTAATTGAGGCAAGCTTGGTGAGTGTATTTACTGACAATTGCAGCAGAAGGCAGAGTAGATGAAGTATTTAAGGAGACAGGATTTTGGGGGCTTGGAGAGTGAAGGAAAAGATTTGGTACTGATGCAACCATTTTAAGTAGGTATACAAAGAAGGAATGAATATTTGGGAAGATAATGGAAACCAAGGTGAGTTTGGCTTTTAGATGTGTTGAGTTTCATTGGACTGTGGGATGTCTGTCTAATGAGGATAGCAGTATATCCTTTTAATACAGCAGCTTCATTTCCTGTTGCTTGTGAAGTTTTCAACTACTTTCATTAGCTAGTAATGAAGTGACTCAGACAACTAACATCTCTTTCTCATCCTTGTGGTTAGATTTTTTTTTTTTTTCAACGGAGTCTTGCTTTGTCGCTCAGGCTGGAGTGCAGTGGCGCGATCTCGACTCACTGCAACCTCCGCCCCTCCAGGTTTAAGCAGTTCTCTGCCTCAGCCTCCAGAGTAGCTGGGATTACAGGCTTGTGCCACCACGCCCGGCTAATTTTTTGTATTTTTAGTAGAGACAGGGTTTCACCATCTTGGCCAGGCTGGTCTTGAACTCCTGACCTCGTGATCCACCCTCCTCGGCCTCCCAAAGTGCTGGGATTACAGGCGTGAGCCACCACACCCAGTCTATTGTGGTTAGAATTTCAAGACCTTTTCTCTGACTCTTAAACCTTATTTTCTTGTTTTGTCAGCTCTTCAGGAATTTCATTCTGTCACCTCACCCTGAGTCTAAAGCACTCCCATAACCAAGTCGTTTATTGTCTCAGATCCCAGTAGGTAACAGAGGATTCTGAGAAATCCAAGTGATCTGAGTAAGACTCTGTTGAAAGAAGTGGCAGAAACAAGGATCTTAGAGACTGAGACCAGTATTGTTTCTTTGGAATCAAGCTAATTTCTTCAGTGGCTTTAATTTCCTCACTTACGAAGGGAGGAGGTAGAGGTGAAAGGTCCCTTTTTGTGATATGAGCATGAGAAGCACCTGTAGGCCTAGTAAAAATTCCTCATACGAGAGAGATGGTTAGTCCAGAGTAAGAGAAAGCTACTAAGACTGAACTATATCCATTCAACCACACAGAACTTGTAGCCCCTGGAAGGACCAAGTGAGGCCATTCACAGTGGAACTAAACCTAGATTTTAAGAACCCAATTAGGCCGGGCGCGGTGGCTCATGCCTGTAATCCCAGCACTTTGGGAGGCTGAGGTGGGCGGATCATGAGGTCAGGAGATCAAGACCATCCTGGCTAAGACGGGGAAACCCCGTCTCTACTAAAAATACAAAAAATTAGCTGGGCATGATGGCACACGCCTGTAGTCTCAGCTACTTGGGAGGCTGAGGCAGGAGAATCGCTTGAACCCGTGAGGCGGATGTTGCAGTGAGCCGAGATCGCGGCATTGCACTCCAGCCCAGGTGACAGAGCGAGACTTGTCTCAAAAAAAGTAAAATAATTCAAGTATAAGCCTAAGTAGTTGATCCCAAGATCACTGTCTATCCCAGTTAGAGCAGCTTGCATCATTTGATCTTTATTAAAGACTTTTGGCTGGGCGCGATGGCTCGCACCTGTAATCCTGGCACTTTGGGAGGCTGAGGCGGGTAGGTAACCTGAGGTCAGGAGTTTGAGACCAGGCTGACCAACATGGAGAAACCCCGTCTCTACTAAAAATACAAAAATTAGCTGGGTGTGGTGGCAGATGCCTGTAATCCCAGCTACTCAGGAGGCTGAGGCAGGAGAATCGCTGTTGGACCCTGAAGGTGGAAGTTGGAGTGAGCTGAGATTGCACCATTGCACTCCAGCCTGGTCAACAAAGCAAGACTCCATTTCAAAAAAAAAAAAAAAAAAAGACTTTCCTGTTTAAACCAGCATGAGTGACTATACGATAATACAGGGCAAAGGGTTATTTTTTTAGCTTGTAGTAATCATTTTAACTTGATATCTCTGGAATTTGTCCCAACCCTGGCACAGACCTGAAAGCACTGACTTTGTTTTCAAAGCTTTTTCAATTCAAGAGTGCCTCCAAAATGGTGAGTAGGAATGAAGACTTCCAGACACTTCTATTCTTGCCTTTACCCAGAATTCTCTTGCTTCAGTGTTTTCCCCATTTTCATGAGCCCATGTGTGAAATAGGGTAAGGAACTGTGGAGGAGAAAGTTTTTTATTAGCCTTCCTCAGGGTATTCCATTCTCAATCTATCCTTTCTCAGTCCCAAAAGGCCTACTGAGCTGAACTGCCTAAGACATAATCATTCACCAAATATTTAAATACACACATTTAAAGAGATACAATTCCAGATGCAATGGGAGACAAAAAAAAAAAAAAGTTGTCAGGGCCATCAAGAAGCTTTCACAAGGTGAAGGGAGGGCTGGAGTATCTCAGAACATTGTTACTTAAAGTGTGGTAGTGGGCCAGCAGTATAGGTGTCACCTAGGAGATTGTTATTAATAAAAATGCATAAATTCAGGCCCTACTCCAGACCTACTGGACCAAAATGTGCGTGTTAGTAAGATCTCCAGGTGATTCTTAGGCACAGAAAAGTTCTAGAAGCACTGGCCTGGAAGTGGAAAGTACTGTGAGAATTCAGGGTAATTGTGCTTTTTAGCATTTTACATAAAATTATGTTGTTGAATTTTCATAATCCTATGAAGTAGGTGCTGTTACTATATTTGACAAAGAACGAGATGAAGTGTCTTGCCTGGCTGGCACAAATAGAGGTGGAGCCCAGTTTCCAATCTCTTCTGACTAGAAGAATGTCAGAGAGGGACATTTAGTGTAAAGGAATAACAGATGGAAAGTTGCAGGTGGTATTTGAAGTACCAAAAATACCACAGTTCTGTAATGTGAGTGTTGTTTGTGAAGGTGAATAGTGGGAAATACAATTTGAAGTGTAGGTGAAAGCCAGGTTATTCAACTCAAACTCCACAGTCATATGGTGCTGACATTTCTTCATTTGAGTATAGAGATGGGAAACGTGCATATTTTTTTCTGTGAATAACATGTAACCTACGAAAAAGGCAAGTTTTCTTTTCTGAAAGAAACTTACTCATTTTTGTTATTTTTTGAGGCGAGGTCTCATTAGGTTGCCCAGGCTGATCTTGAACTCCTGAGCCCAAGCAATCTTCCCACCCCAGCCTCCCAAAGTGCTGGAATTGCGGGCATGAACCGCTGCACCCGGCCAGAAACTTCTAAAACTCAGAAAAGTTGCTCCTCCTCACCTCCTACCCCAAGGTAAACTGTGATACCTCCTGGCTTTATACTACTGATTTTATACCCTATTATATAGAACTGTGTCTAGAGAGAGTGGCCTATCCCTCTGTGACCTTCTTGGTCTACTCCTGCAGGAGTGGCTTCTGTGACAGACTGCATTTGGAGGTTTGATTCACTCTGGGGAAGGTAACCAGGATAGGCAAGAGATTTAAAAATCTGTCAGCATGTATTTGACAGGTATAACCTGAAAAAAAAGACCAGAGGCGTAGGAAAGCTATCTAAATGGTTAAGAAGCCAAATATTTACAAAGCATATACCATCTGCTAGCCCCTGGGTGGTAGGTGTTGAACAAGACTCATTTCCTGCATCATAGAGATTTAAGAATCCAGTAAGGGACTGGGTGCGGTGACTCATGCCTGTAATCCCAGCACTTTGGGAGGCACAGGCAGGAGGATATTTGAGGTCAGGAGTTTGAGACCAGCCTGGCTAACATGGTGAAACCCTGTCTCTACTAAAAATACAAAAATTAGCCGCGCTGTAGTGGTGCATGCGCCTGTAATCCCAGATACTAGGGAGGCTGAGGCAGGAGAACCGCTTGAACCCAGGAGGCACAGGTTGCGGTGAGCCAAGATCAGGCCACTGCACTCCAGCCTGGGCAACAGAGTGAGACCCTGTGCCCCCAACCTCCCCACCCCCAACAAAAAAAATAATCCAGTAGGGAAGACAGACATTAAAACAGTACAAATAATAAAGTAAAAGTGCTTTTAAACAGGGGGGGTGGAGGGGCTTATGAGAAGGGGACCAAAAAAGGACAGCAAAAGCTTCATTGAGGATAATGTTTAAACTGAAACCTAAAGAATCAATAGAAGTTAGCCAGGCAATAATCTGTAGTCCCAGCTACTCGGGAGGCTGAGGTAGGAGGATCACTTGAGCCCAGGAGTTAGAGGCTGTACTGTGCAATAATCGCACCTGTGAATAGGCATTGACCTCCAAGCTGGGGGAGGAGGGGGAAGCTAGGCAAAGAACAAGAGTAATCCAATTATGTGCCAAAGCTTTGTGGTTCAACAGCTTGGTGTGTTGGTGACATTGATAAGACTACTATAGCTGGAGTTGAAAGAACAAATGGCAGAGGAAGAGAAGACTTGGTAGGTAAGCAGGGACCAGGCATTTTAGTGCCCTGTTAGCCATGTTACAGATTTTGGATTTTGTTTGAAAGACAATGAAGAACCTATAAGAATTTTTCAAAGGCGGACTGGGTGCTATTTCTCATGCCTGTAATCCCAGCACTTTAGGAGGGCAAGGTAGGAGGATCACCTGAGATCAGGAGTTCGAGACCAATCTGGCCAATATGGTGAAACCCCATTTCTACTAAAAATGCAGAGATCAGCCAGGCGTGGCACGTGCCTGTAGTCCCAGCCACTCAGGAGGCTGAGGCAGGAGAATCGCTTGAACCCAGGAGGCAGAGGTTGCAATGAGCTGAGATCGCACCACTGCACTCCAGCCTGGGCAACAGAGCGAGACCCTGTCTCAAAAAAAAAAAAAAAAAGAATTTACCAAAGGCTTGAAAGTAGGCATTGCCTAAGTCAGTAAGTCCTAATAGGGCATGATATGGAAGACTACTGAGTGGAAGTGACTGACAGATGAGTGGGTGGATGCCACTATTAAAGGTAAACTGAAGGCCGAGTGTGGTGGTTCACGCCTGTAATCCCAGCACTTTGGGAGGCCTAGGCGGGTGGATCACGAGGTCAGGAGTTCGAGACCAGCCTAACCAACATGGTAAAGCCCCGTCTCTACTAAAAATAAAAAAATTAGCCAGGCGTGGTGGCACATGCCTGTAATCCCAGCTACTCAGGAGGCTGAGCCAGGAGAATCGCTTGAACCCCAGAGGCAGAGGTTGCAGTGAGCCAAGATTGCGCCACTGCACTCCAGCCTGGGAGACAGGGCGAGACCAAAACCCCGCCTCAAAAAAAAAAAAAAAAAAAAAAAAAAAAAAAAAAAAAAGCCCTGTTTATATCCTACCTCCTTGCTGGGTGCAGTGGCTCATGCCTGTAATCTCTGCACTTTGGGAGGCCAGGGCAGGTGGATCACTTGAGGTCAGGCATTCTAGACCAGCCTGGCCAAAATGGTGAAACCCCATCTCTACTAAAAATACAAAAAATTAGCCAGGCGTGGTGGCGGGCGCCTGTAATCCCAGCTACTCAGGAGGCTGAGGCAGGAGAATCGCTTGAACCTAGGAGGCATAGGTTGCAGTGAGCTGAGATCGCACCACTGCACTCCAGCCTGGGCGACAGAGTGACACGCCAGCTCAAAAAAATAAAAATAAAAAATCCCATCTCCTCACATTTCCATTCAACCTCAATACAACTCAGTTTTTTTTATTATGTGAAAACAGCTGCAACAGCTGCTGTCCATTTGAATTGTTGGAAATGTAGATCTACACTAACCAAGAGAGAAGCCACTAGCCACAGGTGGCTATTTAACTTTTTTTTTTTTTTTTTTAGATGGAGTCTCGTTCTGTCACCAAGGCTGGAGCACAACATCAGCTCACTGCAACCTCTGCCTCCCAGGTTCAAGTGATTCTCCTGCTTCAGCCTCCCAAGTAGCTGGGACTACAGGTGTGCACCACCACGTCAGGCTAATTTTTGTATTTTTAGTAGAGACAAGATTTCACCATGTTGGCCAGGCTGGTCTCGAACTCCTGGGCTCAAGTGATCCACCTGCCTCAGCCTCCCAAAGTGCTGGGATTACAGGCGTGAGCCACCATGCCCAGCCAAATTTAGTTAAAATGTAAAATGCAATCTCTGCTGCACTATTCACATTTCAGGTAACTAGTGGTTACCATATTGGACATGGCAGATAAAGAACATTTTCATTATTGCAAAAAGTTGTACTGGACAGCACTATGCTAGAGCCAGAACTAGCCAAAGATCAGACAAAGCAATATGAATGAACTGAAAACCCAGGCCGGTGCCTGGTTGGTTTTGAGTAAGATTCATTGGTTGGGTGAGTGGGAAGCAAGCTGACCTTTGGAACAGTGACATCACAAAGCACAGCTCACAATGGCTCTGGAATACCTAGGCCTCCAGACTACTCCCCCTAACTCATATTTAGATTCCTGAAGCTTCTGCACATGTAGTTCCTAGAGCTGCTGCTTATTAAAATGTCAACATCTTCATCTTCTAGCTGGGACAACCTCTTAGAGTCTCTCTCTCTCAGCACAGTATGGAATTGGATACAAGCAAGTTTTTTGGGAGAGACTAGTGCACCTCAGCAAACAAGTTTGGGACTATTAGATAATCTTGCTCCAGCTGTGCAAATCATCTTGAGGATTTCTTTCTTGATTTTATTGGGAATAGGAATATATGCCTTATGGAAACGAAGTATTCAGTCAATTCAGGTTATACTCTTTTGTTACAAACATTTATATAGTTATAAATTGAAATTTGATTAGTTCTCTCCCATATTGCTGCCACCAGTTTTAAGATCATGCAGATGTGCAAAGGCGAACCTTTGTCTCTTAAGTTGGCAAAAACTAGGTTATCCTTGAAAATCTCCACCAATTAGGCTTTGGGCATAAAAATGCTTTTCTCACAATGGTCTTTGGCTTGTCTTCTGTAATAAAATAGACCAAACATGTTGGTAACCTGAAAAGACAGCCTTACCCTCAAAAATTTTTGATCACTTATTCATCTTTGAGTGCTACTATGTTTATACAATAGGCACCAAAGTAGCTAGGATCATGAGTATGGCCTTTCTTACTATGCCATTGTTCTGTAACTGATAAGGAGGCATATGTATTAAGTCATCACAATGTGTTCATTATTGTGTTTTGACAAGATAAGGCTCCATAAGTATATAGGAGCTCTTTGGGGAGTAGGAATTTAACTGGCTGGGATTGTGAGAGACAGGATTTTACATACTTCTGTGTAGTCACCAATAATAATAGTTGACATACAATATAGTTGAATGCTTTGAGAATCTCAAAAATTCCATGAAATGGATGGAGATTATTTTCACATGACAAGTGAAGAAACTGAGGTGCACTGAGGTTCAGTGGAAACTTAAGGTGACAGGCTTTTAAAACGGCTTTCTTAGAGTGACAAGTTTACTTGATAAATGCAGAGAGAAGTTGTTATTGGATCATTTTTTAGCATTCACTTATTTTCATATGTCACTATTGTTTAGTAATCATGGTCACGGGGCCTTTCTATTTTAAACCATCACAATCCTGCATAACAGTCAGGGAGAGATTATTTGCTCCATTTTGTAGATGAGAGAACTTGATTGCTACCCACCCAAGTTCACATAGTTTGTAAGAGCTGGCAAAATTGGAGTTTGAATCGAATTTTTAGGATTTGAAATTCAGTTCTTCTCCAAAATCTCATTTAATGCAAACCAACTGACCTAAATCTTGAACAGGAATGTGTGTGTGTGTGTGTGTGTGTGTGTGTGTGTGTGTGTGTGTGTGTACGCGCATGCGCATATATATGTGTATTGTGAGGATTAAAGAAGATATTGTATGTGTAAATCTTAGCACATATATTCAATAAGTGGTGCTACAGTGAAACCCCATCTCTACTTAAAATACAAAAATTAGCCGGGTGTGGTGGTGGCACGCGCCTGTAGTCCCAGCTACTCAGGAGGCTGAGGCAGAAGAATTGCTTGAACCCGGGAGGTGGAGGTTGCAGTGAGCCAAGATCGTGCCACTGCACTCCAGCCTGGGCGACAAAGACTGTGTCTCAAAAAAAAAAAAAGTGGTGCTAGTTGTTATAATAAGGAACAAGATGATTTTTTTTCTTATCCTAGCAAGAATCTGTCCTACTATACATATTCTTTTGTTATTTATTTATTTATTTTGAGATGAAGTCTTGCTCTTGTCCCCTAGTCTGGAGTGCAATGGTGCAATTTCGGCTCACTGCAACCTCTGCCTCCCAGGTTCAAGCAATTCTCCTGCCTCACCCTCCCGAGTAGCTGGGATTACAGGCGCATACCACCACACCCAGCTAATGTTTTGTATTTTAAGTAGAGACAGGGTTTCACCATGTTGGCCAGGCTGGTCTCGAACTCCTGACCTCAGGTGATCCGCCCACCTTGGCCTCCCAAAGTGCTGGGATTACAGGCATGAGCCACCGTGCCCAGCATATGCTTTATTTTTATTTTTTATTTTTTTTTTATGTTTTAGAGACAGTGTCTTGCTCTGTCGCCCAGGCTGGAGTGCAGTGGTGTCATCATAGCTCACTGCAGCCTCAAATTCCTGATCTCAGGTGATCCTCCTGCCTCAGCCTCCTGAGCAGTTGGAACCATAGGCATGCACCACCAGGCTTGGCTAATTTTAAAAATTTTTTTGTAGAGACAGGGTCTCGCTACGTTCACTATGTTGCTCAGGCTGGTCTTTAACTCCTGGCCTCATGCAATCCTCCCATCTCAGCCTCTCAAAGTGCTGGATGCAGTGGTCCACACCTATAATTTATTTTATATAAATAAAATATATATATATATACATTAATTTTTTTAAGAGACAGGGTCTGGCTATCTTGCC
Organism: Homo sapiens; assembly: GCF_000001405.40. Taxonomy (NCBI): domain Eukaryota; kingdom Metazoa; phylum Chordata; class Mammalia; order Primates; family Hominidae; genus Homo; species Homo sapiens. The sequence continues at coordinate 40,250,373 of NC_000001.11, forward strand.
CAGGCTGAAGTGCAGTAGCCATTCACAGGTGCCATCATAGCACACTACTCCTGGGCTCAGGTGATCCTCCCACCTTACCCTCCCTAGTAGCTGGGACTATATGTGTGTGCCATTGTACCCAGATCTCTCCTAGTATATTTTAAAAACCTTTTCCATGACCAAGAAATCCAGTTTTTCAGACTACTATGTCCTAAAGTGTACTTGGAAGTGTGAATTTCTGGATTCCTGTCCTGGCTCTGCCACTTCCAATATATAACCTTGGACAATGACAGAGTTCAAACTAGAAGGTATATAGTTATCCAGTTGTGTTTTTTCTGCATAAATAGATCATGCAAAGGCAAAGTTACTTCCAGACATTCAGAAAATGGTTATCTATTATTACAATCTTGATTAAATGCAAATAATAATCCTGCCTGACCTGCCTACCTCTCCAGTTTGCAGTGAAAATCAAAAGATGAAATAGGTGTGAAAATATTTTGCTAAGGCCGGGCATGGTGGCTTACGCCTGTAATCCCAGCATTTTGGGAGGCCACGATGGGCGGATCACGAGGTCAGGAGATTGAGAACATCCTGGCTAACACGGTGAAACCTCGTCTCTATTAAAAATACAAAAAATTAGCCGGGCGTGGTGGTGGGCGCCTGTAGTCCCAACTACTCAGGAGGCTGAGGCAGGAGAATGGCGTGAACCTGGGAGGCGGAGCTTGTAGTAAGCTGAGATTGCGCCACAGCACTCCAGCCTGGGTGACAGAGTGAAACTCCATCTCAAAAAAAAAAAAAAAAAAAATTTGCTAAATGGGAGACTTGTTATTGGAATGAGGAATTATTGTTACTATTAGGTTTTTGTTTTGTTTTTCTCTTATAGATAGTAAACTGTAGCAACTAACACTCAACTTCTGTTGTTCCATTTTAGAAAACATTGTTGTTTGTAATCACACTCTACAAACTTTACAAGAAGGGCTCACATATTTTTGAGGCTTTGCTAGCCAACCCAGAAGGAAGTGGTCTCCGAATTCAAGACAATAATAATCTTTTCCTGTCCTTGGGTCTGCAAGAGAAAATTTTGAAAAAACTTAAGACAGTGGAAAACAAAATGAAGAACCTAGAAGGGATAATCGTTGCTCAAAAACCTGCCACGAAGAGGGATTGCTCCTCTGAGCCCTACTGCAGCTGCTCTGACTGCCAGAGTCCCTTGTCCACATCAGGGTTTACTTCCCCCATTTGAAATGTGATGGACTCCAATCTTTTCCAGGAAAGCACTGTTTCCCTCATGTGTGCAGTGGTGTATCAATAAAGATAGAGAACGCTATTGAAATTACCGTGCAAAGACTAGCTCTCTATTTAGTAGGGCTGAGCTTCTACTTGTATGGATGGTGGGGTATAGTGGGGTATAGTGGTAGTTAAAAATGTCTCTAGGATTGTGGTGTACACTCAGCAGGCTGGAGACCATAAGCTGCCATAGATGGGAGAGGATAGCTGGGCTGGAATCTAAGGCTGTAGGAAGAGAAGGGAGGGTGGTCAGGTACATGGCCTTGAGGTCCATGCTGACGAGGTTAGACTAAATATAATAAAAAGTAGGAAAGTGCTGTTTGAGGGCCCTGCAGTGGACTGTCCTTTAGAGGTAGGCTGACCCCTGTGCTGGTCTTTGGCCTAAAGGTATATATGCAGTCCAGGGGTCTCCTGCATTAATTACTCAAAAGTGGGCAAGGGTGGGAGTAGATACAGACTGACATAAAGGAGACTAATTTTATCCAACTTTTACTGATACCTACTCTATGCTAAGCATTGTGATAATCCCTAGGCATCTTTCCTGAGTGCTTCAGGAGCATTCAGTTTGGCTGGATGGACAAGTAATTTCAGATCAGGGAATTATAATACAGTGGGGTCATAACTTTTTTTTTTTTTTTTTTTTTTTTTGAGTCAGAGTCTCGCTTTGTAACCCAGGCTGGAATACAGTGGCAGGATCTCTTCTCACTGCAACCTCCGCCTCCTGGGTTCAAGTGATTCTACTGCCTCAGCCTCCCAAGTAGCTGGGATTACAGGTGTGCATCACCACGCCTTGCTAATTTTTGCATTGTTAGTAGAGACAGGGTTTCACCATGTTGGCCAGGCTGGTCTTGAACTCCTGGCCTCAAGTAATCCACCCACCCTGGCATAACCAAGTGCGGGGATTACAGGCATGAGCCACTGCACCTGGCCATAACATCTTGAACTGAAGAGAATTCTCCTTGGCAGGGAGGGAAGAATGTAGAGATTCCACTCAATGAGTATGTACCCTGAGAGAGAGAGATGGCCCGCCTGGGAGGTGGCAAAAAATGGTTCTCTCAGCAGGCCTCAGATTCCACCAACCTTATAGTGTGTGCATTTTTGCCCCAATAAATGAGATCATGGTCATCTGAAACACTGTGTAACTATCTGGCACCTAAATGAAATATTTCATACCCACAGAGGAGGTCTACAGAAAAAAAACATTTCATCTGGTATGCAGATAAAGTGATTTGTTGCCTTCCTGGAGAAAAACTGGCTATGCTGCTCAACAAGACACAATGTAAGGCTGGGTGCAGTGGCTCACGCCTGTAATCCCAGCACTTTGGGGGGCCAAGGCAGGAGGATTGCTTGAGTTCAGGAGTTCGAGACCCACCTGGGCAACATAGTGAGACCTTATCTCTACAAAAAATAAAAAAATTAGCTGGGTGTGGTGGTGCACACCTGCAGTCCCAGATACTCAGGGGGCTGAAGCAGGAGGGTCACTTGAGCCTAGGAGATTGCTGCAGCAAGCAGCCTGGATGGCAGAGTGAGACCCTGTCTTTAAAAAAAAAAATAGCAGTCTCCAAAGGGGCATCTTCCTAAGGGAAGGGTAATCTTGACCATTTGTAATTTCTGCCTGATCCACTGGAGTTAAAATGCCACCCCTGGATGAGACTTCACTGTATCGTGTACTAAATGCAAAAACAGGTGGGTGAATACAGGGTGGGGCCAGGAAAGGCTTTGCAAAGGAAGTGACATCGAGGTGTCCCATAAATGATTACATAGGCAGACAAAGAAATGGAAGATAATATTCCTGAGCGGGATCATCATGGAAGTATATTTTTATTTTTATTACTTTTTGAGACAGAGTTTCGCTCTTGTTGCCCAGGCTGGAGTGCAGTGGCGCGATCTCAGCTCACCGCAACCTCTGCCTCCCAGGTTCAAGCGATTGTGCTGCCTCAGCCTCCCGAGTAGGTGGGATTATAGGCGCCCGCCACCATGCCTGGCTAACTTTTTGTATTTTTAGTAGAGATGGGGTTTCACCATGTTGGCCCGGCTGGTCTGGAACTCCGGACCTCAGGTGATCCACCCGCCTTGGGCTGCCGGAGTGCTGGGATTACAGGCATGAGCCACTGCGCCCGGCCCAGAAGGATATATATATATGTATATTTTTTGAGACGGAGTCTCGCTCTGTTACCCAGGCTGGAGTGCAGTGGCGCAATCTTGTCTCGCTGCAACTTCAGCCTCCCGGGTTCATGCCATTCTCCTGCCTCAGCCTCCCAAGTAGCTGGGACTACAGGCACCCGCCACCACGCCTGGCTAATTTTTTGTATTTTTAGTAGAGACAGGGTTTCACCGTGTTAGCCAGGATGGTCTCGATCTCCTGACCTCATGATCCACCCGCCTCGGCCTCCCAAAGTGCTGGAATTACAGCCGTGAGCCACCGCGCCCGGCCAAAAAAGAAGAGTTTTGAAGAGTAGACTGATGTCAGGTAATGAAGGACCTCGAAGGTCATACCATATATACCATATATAGGTTGGGCTTTATACTATCATAAATGGACCATTACAGGGTTTTTGTTTTTGTTCTTTTTTAACAGGGAGTAACACAGAATTAGTAGCCTATATGAGAGACAGAACGTATGAGCTAGAAAGTAGAATGAGCTAGATGCAAAAGAAATAACAGCTGCTCTTGTAAGGGTACCCAGGCTGGAGTGCAGTGGTGTGATCTCCGCTCACTGCAACCTCCGCCTTCCGGGTTCAAGCGATTCTCCTGCCTCAGCCTCCAGATTATACGCGTCCACCACCATGCCTGGTTTTTTGTCTTTTGTTTTTTTTTTTGTATTTTTAGTAGAGATGGGGTTTCGCCATGTTGGCCAGGCTGGTTTCAAACTCCTGGCCTCAAGTGATCCACCCACCTCGGCCTCCCAAAATGCTAGGATTACGGGCGTAAGCCACTGCGCCCAGCCAAGGGGGATCATTCTTTTCTTGAGGCCAGAGCACTTATGGCCAGAGTTTCAATTAAGGGACCTTGAATGCTTGGTAAGCAGAGAATCAAGGCAAGATAGGGAAAAAGCTTGAGAGCAACTCTATGATTTAGGTTAGACAGGGTAGATGGACTACCCTACAGCAATGTCTATCACTCTAGGGATAATAATCTTTATCTTTCAAATTCAGTCATTTTATTTATTTTTATAGAGATGAAGTCTCACTGTGTTGCCTAGGCTGGTCTCGAACTCCTGCACTCAAGCAATTATCCCACCTTGGCCTCCCAAAGAACTGAGATTACAGGTGTGAGCCAGCACACCCTGCCAGTCTTTCTCCTTTAGCAAAATCCTGCCAACAGCCTGTTTTGAGGTTCCCATTTTTAGACTCCACACAGGCCAGCCCTTCTATTAGTACTGTCTTTCTGAAAAGAGAAACAAGTGATTATTCACTTTCCATAATTCACTAGTTCTCCACTGCCACCACATTAGTCTGCACTACCATCTCTCACCTGGATTCTTTTTTCTTTTTTTCTGATATCCTTGGCAACTGCTAAATCACCTGGATTCTTGAAATGGCCTCCTAACTGCACTCCCTCCTTCCATTCCCCATTAAATTTATTCTCCACGTTGTAATGAGAAGGATTGTCTGCTCAAAACTCTGCAATGCTCTGCTCAAAATCCTGCAATGGCTTATTCTTTCATTCTAAGTAAAAGTCTTTTAACTAAAAGACTGCATGATGGCATGGATCTGCACTCCCCCTCTTCCTTACTCTTTCCACAGCCTCTTGCCATTCCTCAGATATGATAAGCATTGGCCAATCTCAGGGCCTTTGCACTTGCTCTTCACTCTGACTGGCAATTTCCTCAGATATCCACACAGCTTGTTCTCTTACTTTTTTTGGGGGACTCAAATGCCAGTTAATCTGAGAAGGCTTCCTTGACCAACTTATGTAAAGCAGCATCCCTCACACCAACATGCTGTATTGCCTTTTTGCTGCTTTTTCTTCATAGCACTTATCACCACTTCCACTTTTACTATTAAATATTTGCTTATTATTTATCAAACACTGCATCCACCCCAGCTAAGAATGTAAGCTCCAGGAGAGGGGCTTTGGTTCACTGCTATATCCCTGGCACCTGGAAATGCGTCTGGCATTTCGCAGACATTCAGTATTTATTGAATGAATGAATTCCAGTCAGTCTTGGCTTTTTGACACCTCGGCCTCCTACTCTCCTATCTCTTCAGACACATGGTGACAGATCAATGCTATGATGCCCCTCTCCCAAGCAGTAGCTAACCTTTATTGGGCACTCAGGGCCATCTACATTGCTAGGAGCTTTACATGAATTTTCTCATTTGATCCTAACAGTATGAGAAAGTAAGTACATACTATGTTATTCTCATTTTACTGATGAGGATCTGATGCACAGATTAAAGAACGTGCTAATACATGGTGCGGCCGTGGCTGGCAATCAAGCAGCTTGACTCTAAACCTGTGCCCTTAGCCACAAAGCTTGGGTGGTAGAAGCTCCTGTGAGGCTTTGGACTCACAGACAGCTGAAGTCAAGAGTGAAGAGGGCATAGCAATGATGGCCTGAGGGAGAGAAAATTTTGAAAAAGTGTTTACCCCTTATATATTTAAGTTGGTATCTAACTGGTTCCATCATAAATTCAAATAGTTGCAATGGATGTAAATTCTTGCAAATTGTAAATACTGACATTTTAAGATAAAACTGTTAAATCACTCTTTATAATGTATCCAAGAGAATCTACATAACAACTGAATAACCACCATTATGCATTAAAACATACACTAATGAGCTCTTCAACATTGTTCTTTTATTATCTCTAACATATTTAGATTGTACTCTAACAAAAAATGTTATTCAAATATAGTACTTTGATGTTTGAACAACCTTTTCTTGATCACTTCTTCGCAATAAAAATATGACATATGTAGTAAACCTTAAAAAATTTCGTGTAACTTTATGGCTCTACGCTGGAATTCTTCTGAAGTGAGTAATCATCACAATCATCTTTAGTATATAATGGATCAAAATGACACGATTGCAAATATTGATAACACACAGTTATAAAAGGTGAAATTCTATTGGGAACACATCTCTTAGTGAGATAGATGGGGCTGACCCACCAATTAATTCATTTATCTGGATGAATAGTTCCTACTGGTAGATTAACAGGGTTCATTTTCAATTCTGTTGTTTTCACAGATACAAGTGCTGAGAAATGGTTTTACATAAATAGGTGAGAATGCTAGTAGTTTTGTTGTAAGCATGTCAATCAATCGTTTGGTTTCTTTCCGAGTTGCATGCCAAAAACCAAATAGTGTTCCTTCATCAGCTGACAATTCATGGGCCACCATTAATTTTGTTGAAAGCAAAGAACTGGAAACCATCTGACTTGAAAAGAATTTGTTATCCTGTTATTAGAGTCATTCACTTTCTCTAGTGACTTTTAATTATACTAATTACTCTCAGAGGCATTTAGGCAGGGTTGAGAAATTCAAGATATTAATTTCAACACATCTTTAGCATCACAATATCACAGTAATTTAAATATATTTTAGTTGTAGCTATTTAGCTCACTTTATTGTAAATAATAATTATGCTAATTAGCAACGATAGTATGTTTAACCAATTAATCATCAGATTAACTTTCGGTCAGAATAATGGACTTCAATTTTTAAGTCAAAGCAATGTACAGGCGTCCCAGTCACCATATTTCACTTCTGAATTCCAAGAGAGAAATGGCGTTGCGCCTTACTGACGCAAATATGTACCTAGATAAAGTAAGACGCTTTCATTTCAGGTATGTCTAACCCACGCTATCCTTGCTTTGTTCCAGGGCACTCTCGCAGGGAAAACGCCGCCTCTGACTACACTTGGGGTGGTTAAGACGAGATCTTCAAATGAAAATTCTCAACGCTACCGTCCACTCTCTCATACGCTTGAATTCCGAACACCCCAATACTGGCCAAAAGACTCCATTTCTCATGCTTGGTCTTGCTTTTGAGGTAGCTCTAACTCAGAGGCACGATTTTTAGAGCCTGGGAAGTCGGCTGCTGTTCAGTCCTTCCTAGCCTCCTCAGGCGGGAGCCGCGGCCCACTCAGTCAGTTGCGGCCCACTCAGTCAGTTCCGGCCCCAGCCCCGACTACCTGTCGCCTTGTTGGGGGAAGGAAGGCAGATACCGCAGCCCAGTCAGGGTAAGCCGCTGACCCAGAGGATGGAACTGCGGCTCTGGAGATTAGAAAGAGGAGGACTTCGCCGCGTTCACTAGCCCAGGAGGAAAGCCAGAACCCTAGGCCGGAACCCAGCGTCAAGACGTGGGGGAAGAATGTTGATGCAACACAGCTCAGCCGGGCCCGGAACTCGGCGTTTGGGTCCCCGCCCTCTTTGGGCCGGAAGTGAGGAAGGTGGGGCTGGGGCTTTTCCTGTAGAAACTAGGAGGGACTAGGGAGAGTCTGCAAGGGGAAGAGTGTGTCTGTGACACTGCCAGCAGCGCGCAGAGGGAGGGATGGGGGCGGGTATCGGCGTAGGGGCCCTCGGAAAGAACGGATATTGCTGTGACACCGCGGGGACGCTCTGAAGGGACGAGTGTCGGTGTGGCACCGGTGCACGCTGAAGGAGCCGGCGGAACCGGGTGGCCATGGGGATGTGGGCATCGCTGGACGCTTTGTGGGAGATGCCGGCCGAGAAGCGTATCTTCGGGGCCGTGCTGCTCTTTTCCTGGACAGTGTATCTTTGGGAGACCTTCCTAGCACAGCGGCAGGTGAGCCTAGACAGGGTCCAACCTGACCCCCATACCCGGCCAGCCCTGGAGTAGCCTTGGCTTCGACCCTGAGACTCTTGATTGCTTCGGTCCCCGCGCCAGTCTCGTCTTTGTGGTCCCTGCTGAGTCTCGTAACTTGGCCCGATGGCGGACTGTGGCTTTGAGGAGGGTCTTGGTGCGTCAAGGAAGTTTTCTGTAACGTTATCATGGGACCCAATCCCTTTAGGGCCTGGAGGAAGGCTTGGGCTCTTGTGCCCTCCCTGCAGCTTCCTTGGGATCCTTGGGCCCAGACTTGGCCTCCTTTATCTTTGGAATAAGCCTTTAAAAGGATTTAGACACCCAACTTCCTCATGACATTTATGTAATCATGCCTAACCATAGGATTTTGCAGTCCTTCCAAGAACTTGCACTCTTGTTTCTCCTTAAAGTGCATATATTGTTTCTGCTTGAAAAAACAAACAAACAAACAAAAAACTTATCGGGCCCGGCGTGGTGTCTCATGCCTGTAATCCCAGCACTTTGGGAGGCCGAGGCGGGCGGATCACCTGGGGTCAGGAGTTCGAGACCAGCCTGACCAACGTGGCGAAAACCCGTCTCTACTAAAAATAGAAAAATTAGCCGGGTGTGGTGGCGCGCACCTGTAGTCCCAGCTACTTGGGAGGCTGAGGCAGGAGAATCATTTGAACCCAGTAGGCGGAGGTTGCAGTGAGCTGAGATTGTGCCACTGCACTCCAGCCTGGGCGACAAGAGTGAAACTCAATCTCAAAATAAATAAATAAATGAAATTAAATGAAATATATTTCTCGTTTTTCATAAAATCAACATTATTTTAGTTTAAATATTAAAATGGTAAAATAAAAAGTGAAAGTTAACAATTTACCTGAGATAACCATGGTTTAGAGATCTGAACTTTTATTTATTTATTTTTAATCTTTATTTATTTATTTAATTTTAGAGTCTAGCTCTGTCACCAGGCTGGAGTACAGTGGCGTTATCTCGGCTCACTGCAAGAAACTAGGAGGGACGAGGGAGAGTCTGCAAGGGGAAGAGTGTGTCTGTGACACTGCCAGCAGCGCGCAGAGGGAGGGATGTTCAAATGATTCTCCTGCCTCAGCATCCCGAGTAGCTAGGATTACAGGCACGTGCCACCACGCCCAGCTAATTTTAGTATTTTTAGTAGAGACGGGGTTTCACCATCTTGGCCAGGATAGAATATTTATTGTATTTAGAGACAGGGGCTCACTCTGCCACCCAGACTGGAGCACAGTAGCATCATCATAGCTCAAGGCAGCCTCGAACTCGTGGGCTCAAACGACCCCTCCACCTCCACCTCAGCCTTCTGAGTTGCTAGGACCACAGGTGCGGATCACTGTGCCTGGCTAATTGTTTGATTTTTTTGTAGAGATGTTGCCCGGGGTGGTCTGGAGTTCCTGGACTCAAGTCATCTTGCCGCCTCCACCTCCCAAAGGGCTGGGATTACAGGCATGAGCCACCGTGCTCGATCTCCCCTCAGCTTTTATTGGCACACAACAATATATAGGGAAAGCATGTTGTAGTGGCCCATTATTTTGTTTGGTATCCATTCTCTGTATTACATTTCCTGGACTGAAATTACCCTTACCTTTTATAATTTAGTATAATGAGATAGTTGATCTTTCTCCTTTTTTTTTTTTTTTTTTTTTTTTAAGGAGATAGATTCTCTGTCACCCAGGGTGTAGTGCTGTGGCACAATATGGGCTTACTGCAACCTCTGCCTCCCAGGCTCAAGTGATCCTCCCACCTCAGCCCCCCAAATAGCTGGGACCACAGGTGCATACCACCACACTCTGCTAATTTTTGTATTTTTTGTAGAGACGGGATTTCACCACATTGCTCAGGCCAGTCTTGAACTCCTGGGCTCAAGGAATCCTTCTGCCCCTGTCTTCCAAACTGCTGGGATTACAGGCGTGACCCACCGTGCCCGGCTGAAAATTGGTCTTTTCTCACAGACCTGATATGTTTCCATCTGGTGATCCTCAAGTTTCTGGCATTTAGGACCAAATTTAATGAGCAGCCTCAGTATCTGTTCATACTCACAGTTAGCATGTGTGCTTCTCCTTTGCATGAATTTGTTTTCCGTATTATAGGAGGTATGTAATACCCAGAATGAGTAGTACATGTAACAAAGTTGTGATGTTAACAGCTTTGGTTTACATATACAAACTGAAGTGTGATGACAACCCTGATTATAGTTTTACCAGTCAGGTCACCTCAGGTTCTCTTGTTCTGCTTTTATTTTCCTGCATCAGTCGTTTCATGTACTTGATCAAGTGCAATATTTGTGTAGGTATAAAGCAAATTCAACAGATATAAGTGGCAAGCTATAAACCATTCGATGTTTGATCATAAATGACTATTGTAATAAACAACTATTTCACTAAAGTGTTTTCTTTAAAATATTTCAGAGAAGGATATATAAAACAACAACTCATGTACCACCGGAGTTAGGACAGATCATGGATTCTGAAACATTTGAGAAATCTCGACTCTATCAACTGGATAAAAGCACTTTCAGCTTCTGGTCAGGACTCTATTCAGAGACTGAAGGCACTGTGAGTAATTTACTTCTTGGAGAGACAGTCTGTCTGGTTGTTTTCATTTTCATATTTTTGTAACACAAAAGAGGGTACCACACTTACAAGTCCCAGAATGCTTTCTTAACCTTTGTTATTGATAGTAACGGCTGTGGAGCAAAAAAGACAGAAACATAACTGCTTAGTCAGTTGAAAACTATAGAATATGGGAACTATTACCCTGAAGCCAGGTAGGAAAAAGATCCTCTTCCATTAGGATCCAGCTGAGATGTCATGTCTTCTAAGCAACCATTTGAAACTCCCTGCCTGACGAATGTGGATAGGGTAGCATTCTATCATTATTCCTGTCAGAGTACTTATCTCATTATGTTGAATTTGCCTGGATTTTTTTTTTTTTCTTCTGGCACAGTCTTGCTCTGTCACCCAGGCTGAAGTACAGTGGCGTGATCTTGGCTCACTGCAACCTCTGCTTCCTAGGCGCAAATGATCCTCCCACCTCAGCCTCCCGAGTAGTTGGGACTACAGTTGCATGCCACCATACCGTCTCAGAGTGCTGGGATTATAGGCATGAGCCACACTGTACCTGGCCTGATTTGACTGTTTAATTGGCAGACTGGTAGTTCCTTAAAGAAATAGTTAAGTCTTGTTCATCATTTTATACCTAGTGCCTGGCATGTAATCAGCATATAGTTCCTATTTATTGAATGAAATAATGTGGGGTTTTTTTGTTGCTTTTTTTGTTTTGTTTTGTTTTTGTTTTTGAGCAGTGTCTTGCTCTGTCGCCCAGGCTGGAGTGCAGTCGCACGATCTTGGCTCACTGCAATCTCCACCTCCCGGGTTCAAGCGATTCTCCTACCTTAGGCTCCTGAGTAGCTGGGACTACAGGCGCGTGCCACCACACCTGGCTAATTTTTTGTATTTTTAGTAGAGACGGGGTTTCACCATGTTAGCCAGGATGGTCTCGATCTCTTGACCTCGTGATCTGCCTGCCTTGGCCTCCCAAAGTACTGGGATTACAGTCATGAGCCACTGTGCCCTGCCACTTTTATTTTTATCATCCTGATCATCATCATCATCATTTCTCTAGAACTTTTAGATCTACTAGTACCACTAAGAGAAAGATTCCTAAATTTAAAAGAATTATGATCAGCTACCATCATTGTTTCATGAGTTAAAGAAACTGGCTTTATGTAGCTGTGGTAAATGACAGAATTGTCTAGCTCATCACAAAATTTTTCTTAACAAGTATGGAATAATAAGACTAGTGTGGTTAGATCCAAATTATTAGAAACTGCACTTATTTCTTCAAGGTGATGGAAAATGGCAATGCTTCTAGAAGAGTTAAATTTTGGTATTTAGAAAAATTAATAAATGATTTGGAAAACAAAGTCTCATTGGCTTTGGGGATACACAGCTATTGCTATTAAGTAATCTTTTCAATAAAGACTTGGCTTTAGTTAATTTATCTGAGCATTGCTTCTGTTAGGGACATGTCACAAGTAGGAAATCATCCTTCAGAGACAGATGGAAGTAGAAGTGGTTAATTTAGACACTATTCTTTTTTTTTTTTTTTTAAATAGATGAAAGAGAGTTTACTTATGTATTTATATAATGGCCTTGGTCCAAAAAAGACTAAAGGGAGCTCAAAAAAGAATTATAGTAACTTTAAAAAATACATTAAACATATCCAAGATCTTAAATGTATCATTCTCCCCAAAAGCTAGTTGCTTCCAAACTTGACTTAATATTTTGCATGTTTTCCCTCCATTGCTTGGTAAGTGTATTTGCCTCTTCTTTCTGCAGTTGATGTCTGACGGCTGAGTTTTGCTGTTTTGTCAACTGACATTTCCCCTTCTGTTTCACCAGTTCCAGAGAATTGTTGAACAACTTAACAACACTACCTGAAGAAGTAATACTCAAGAGTTCTTGTTCTATACTGATTAATAGCTCCCATATTTTCTTCATCTCTGAAAAGTCTGAATTCTCTGTTTAATAATGACAAGGCAATTAGATGAGGTAGACACTATTCTCTTTCTGATGTTTGCTTCTTGGAAGTCCTTTGACTTTACCCACTACAGGGCCATAGTAAAATAATAGGAAAAGCATTTTCAATCTCCTTGGTTGTCCCTGGTAAATAGTGCCAGGAAAGATAGACAGTAGCTTGGTAATTATGGTTGGTGACCATAGGAATGGCTGTTTGTTCTAGGGGATGACAGAAATAGGGAGAATACATATATAAAGTGAGAGCTTTGTAATGTACTGTGGCTCAAACTAGAAGCAGTACTGATGGGCTAAGGTTGGGAACAGTAATAGTTAATAGTCGTCATGATTTTCACTTCATACATAGTTTTTATATGTATTGTTTGATGTTTACAACAGTGAAGTGGAAAGGATAGGCATTATTATTCCCTTCTTATGAATGAGGAAGCAAAGGCTTGGATAAATTAAAGGGTTTGCATGTTTAATTGCCAAGGGACATGCTAATAAGTAGGATAACTGGGTTTCAAACTCTGTTCTGCTGAGTCTTTAAAATGACATTGAAAAATCCATTCTTGAAACTCTAAAGACTGCAACATGAATGTGCTAAATTTATCTCTGGGGATTTTCTGGCTGCATTTATGCTTGGCAGGAAGAATATTTTGGGTAACTTTGAAACCTTGTTTTGTTTGGAAACAAGTTCATTAATTTCTATTTTGTGTTGATTAGAATTAATAGGTTTGTATGTTTTGGTCACAGAGATCAAGTGAGAAGATTAGCTTCGACTTTTTTTTTTTTTTTTTTTGCCGTAGTACTTTCTACCTGAGGGAACCTAAATAGAGTCATTGTGTGGCCATTTATGGTTGCCACTGTTCACATAAATATGACACTGCACCCAGACAGAAAATTCCAGCCTCTCTGAGACACTTTCTCTAATATCTCACAGATATCAATAAAGGGCCCACTGAAGAAATGGAATGGCTGGGGAGCAGAGTAGGTCAGGGTCGAAAAGTTTAAATTGTTGCTTCTCTAATTTTTGCATGTTTCTATGTGAGCAGTTTCACCTTCTTGAGCCTAAGTTTTCTCATCTTTAAAATGAGAAGTGGGCTGGGTACGGTGGCTCACGCCTGTATTCCCAGCACTTTGAGAGGCCGAGGTGGGGGCGGATTACCTGAGGTCAGAAGTTTGAGACCAGCCTGACCAACATGGCGAAACCCTGTCTCTACTAAAAATACAAAAATTAGCCTGGCGTGTTGGCACATGCCTGTAGTCGCAGCTACTCAGGAGGCTGAGACACAAGAATTGCTTGAACCCGGGAGGTGGAGGCTGCAGTGAGCTGAGATTGCAACACTGCACTCCAGCCTGGGTGACAGAGTGAGACTCCATCTCAAAAATAAATAAAAATAAAATAAGAAGTGTGTGGATGTTAAGCCATACCTTGTATGGTTTGTGGCAAGGACTAAGTGAGTGAGATAGCGTAAATGAAGCTCAATGCGTAGGAATTACTTAGTCATTGGGTTTCTTTGGACAAGTTACTTCAACCTCTCAGTTAAAGTAACCTTTCAGTTAAAGAGTTTCAGTTGCCTCATCTATTAAATAGAGATGATTATACCCTTTTCCCTGCCTGTTTTTCAAGACTGTAGTAGTGAAGCCAGGCATGATGACTCAATCCTGTAATCATAGCACTTCGAGAGGCTCAGGTGGGAGGATCACTTGAGCCCAGGAGTTTGAGACCAGCCTGGGAAACATAGTGATACCCCATCTTTGCAAAAAAATTTTTAAAAAATCAACTGAGTGTGGTGATGTGCACCTGCAGTTCTAGCTACTTGGAGGCTGAGGTGGGAGGGTTGCTGGAGCCCAGGAGATGGAGGCTGCAGTGAGCTGTGATCACACTGCTGTACCCCCGCCTGGTGACAGAGTGAGATCCTGTCTCAAAAAAAAAAAAAAAAAAAAAAAGAATGTAGTGAAATAATATATGTCAAAGCGCTGGAATTATTTTTTCTGGGATCATTAATTTTGCCATAGAACAACCCTGGGAGCATGCTTAGTGAAATTGTCAACATAGAGACATTGTACAGTTCACCATGCTTTGTTTTTCAGTCCCCAAAAGAAACTAAACATGCTTTGTTTTTCAGTCCCCAAAAGGTTTGCAGTATCAGTTTTCAAATGCATTTATAGATCATTCAGAATTCATATTAAAACTACCCTTGATGCTTATTTAAATACTGGACTTTTAATAATAGTTGCTGTGGCCTTTACTAAAAGCATTATAAGTCCTTAATTATACATTATTTATTAGTATTGGGAATTGGCTGAAAGAAATACCATCCCAGGTCAATTAGATCAACAACTACAGCATATGTCAGACAGTGGTACCAAAGCATGTCTTTTGGGAAAACAAGGTTTATGTCTAAGATTGAATTAGTTGTAGTAAAGTGGAAATACCTGGAGGTAGTGTTAGGGGAGCCTTTTGAAAAGCAATTTATTGGGGCTGAGTGCAGTAGCTCATGCCTGTAATCCCAGCACTTTGGGAGGCCACAGTGAGAGGACTGCTTGAGGCCAGCCTGGGCAACATAGTGAGACCCCATCTGTACAAAAAATTAAAATTAGCCAAGTATGGTGGTGCATACAGTCCTGGCTACTTGGGGGGCTGACATGGAAAGATCCTTTGAACCCAGGAGTTCAAAAATTCAGTAAGCTATGATCATAACACTGCTCCCTAGCCTGAGTGACAGAGTGAGACTCTGTCTCTTAAAAAAAGAAAACAATTTATTAAAGCAATGATTTTCAAACTTTAGTGTACATCAGGTTTACCTAGAAACTGCTGGGCCCCACTTCCAGCTTCTGATTTGGTACATCTGGGGTAGGGCCTGAGACTTTGCATTTCTAAGAAATTCCCAGATGCTGTTGCTGCTGTCCAGAGACCATATTTGAGACCCATGATATTAAACCAATCCAATGTACTGGTAACAGTCTAAAAGATGGATAGTTTAAAGTGTGGGTGAGATTGTGGGAAAACAGAAACACTGGAGTACTGCTGATGGGAGTGTAATTTGTTATAAACACTTTAGGAAATATCCTGATAATACCAAATAAAGTTGAAGTCCACCATGGATGGATCTAAGAAAATTTAGAATATAAAAAGCAAATCATAGACTGATAAGTATAATATGATGTCATTTATATACATTCTTTAAAAGCATACATAAATCACTATATTATTTGTAGATACATGTATGAAAATGGGAATTAGATTGGAAGGGTACCCATGAAATATGATAGTACCAAAACCCCTCAAACCATGAGGAACTATGTCTGAACCAGTGGGAATATTGTGCTTCTAGTCAAGGAATGTGATTGATCATTGTGTTCCTAAGCTGCTGTCCTACAGAGAGAAAAAATAAATTGATTCCTCTTGACAAATGAGTTCCACAAAGTTGTATGTGTTTTGGGCGGTAGAATTCTTAAACATGCATTCTTCTCAAATTTTGAGCTGCTTCCTAGCTCCTAATGTCCTGGTTATTTAGTGAATGTCTGTGTTCACTTTATCTGCCCAAGACCAAGACAAAGGGTGGTGCTGAGGAAGAGCCTTCTCCTGTGAAAGCCGGGCCCCTACCTCACCTCTTCCTGACCCAGCAAAGACACAGATAATCCCATTCTGTTCCCCAGTTTAGTAAGTGGACATGACTCTCCACTTCTGTGCTTTGTTCTGATGGAAAAGGACTATTTTCTTTCACAGAAAAGACAATTATGGAGCCATATTAATGTGGTTCAAATTCCATTTCTATCACTCATTAGCTGTTGGATTTCGAACAAGTTTTTTTTTTTTTTTTTTTTTTTTTTGAGACAGGGTCTCATTCTGTCACCCAGGCTGGAGTGCAGGCACGATCATGGCCCACTGCAGCCTCGACATCCCAGGCTCAAGCAATCCTTCTACCTCAGCTCCCCCGAGTAGCTGGGACCACAGAATCATGCCACCATAATTGGCTCATTTTTGTATTTCTTGTAGGGACAGGTTTCACCATGTTGTCCAGGCTGGTCTCGAATTCCTGAGCACAAGCAATCTGCCTGCCTTGGCCTCCCAAAGTGCTGGGATTACAGGCATATGCTACCATACCCAGCTGTTTAACCTTTCTAAGTTTAGTTTGTGATTTTGTTGTGGTCTTTTGACAAAAGGTTTTTTTTTGTTTTGTTTTAGAACAGCTTTATTGAGATAATTCATGTACCATACAATTCATATACCATACAATTCATCCATATATAGTGTACAGACAAAAATGTTATATTAACCACCTAAATTTAGTATCTCAATGGTTAGTACTCATCTAAATGCATAATTTATGCTAAATGTGAAATAGGTCTATTTTTTAAAAAAATATTTTATTTTGTTATTTTATTTTATTTTATTTTATTTTATTTTATTTTATTTTATTTTATTTGAGACAGGGTCTCAGTTTATTGCCTTGCTGGAGTGCAGTGTCACAATCACGGCTCACTGGAGCCTTGACTTCCCAGGCTCAGGCAATCCTGTCACCTCAGTCCCCCAAGTAGCTGGGTCTACAGGTACGCACTATCAGGCCCAGCTAATTTTTAAATTTTTTGTAGAGATGGGGTCTCAACTCACCTTGTTGCCCAGGCTGGTCTTGAATTCCTGGCCTCAAGCGATGCTTCTGTCTCAGTCTCCCAAAGTGCTGGGATTACAGGCATGAGCCACCGTACTGGCCTCTTTTGTTTTTTTAATAGAGATGATTATTTTGTCCTTTCTTTCTTTATACCATGCTTTCTCATATGATAGTTTCTAGTACTGTTCAACTGTGATCAAAGTATGCTTTGTTTTATAGCTTATTCTTCTCTTTGGAGGAATACCTTATCTCTGGAGACTTTCTGGACGGTTCTGTGGTTATGCTGGCTTTGGACCAGAATATGAGGTATGTGATTCATTAGCATGTATTTGTCATGGTATTTCTTTTAGCTTGGCAGGCTTTCCACTAAAGTTAATTTTTTGGCTTCTGCCAATGTTAAGATTTGCCTCTCTGTTTGCATAGTCCTTGGTTACCCATGCTGTATTGGCATAACATTAGTTACAATAACAAATCCCAGAATATCACAGGCTTATTTGCAATGGTTTATTTCTCAATCACGTAATAGTCCAGTGTGAGTATTTTTAGTTATCAGGTGACTTTCTTCCATGTGGTAAGCCAAGAATCCAGGCTCTTTATCTTAGGGATTTGTCTGTATGATTTAAGGTACCTTTCATATAGTGCCTGTGTAATAAAAAAGGAATTGTTTTGTTTCTCATTTACTTCTCTCAAAAGTAAACTTTTTTGAAGGCAGGGATGATATTTCAGACCTTATGTTATCCATAGAATCAAGCATATTGCTTGGGATGTAGTAAGTAAGTGCTCAGCAAATACTTGTTGATTTGTTTGCCAGTAGTTCATAAAAACTGGATTTTTGTTTTTTCTTTTGTTTAGATCACTCAGTCCCTGGTGTTTCTGCTGTTGGCTACACTTTTCAGTGCATTGACTGGTTTGCCATGGAGTCTTTATAATACTTTTGTGATAGAAGAAAAACATGGCTTCAATCAACAGGTATAATAAAGAATACAAATGTTCTCTTTTAAATGTGAAAAACTTCTGTGCTTTTGTCCTGTACTGTTTATAATTTAAACATAATTTACTATTTCAGAGTATGAATTGAGAAAAAAGGGAACTACAGATATGGTAAAGATCATAGCTGAAAGTCTTGGGGGCCGCGGTGGCTCTGGCCAGTTGCCCTGGCACTCGGGGAGGCAAGGCTACATGTTCGAGGCCAACCTGGTCAACACTGATTTTAAAAAAAAAATACTTAAGGCCAGGCCCAGTGGCTCATGCCTGTAATCCCAGCACTTTGGGAGGCTGAGGCGGGTGGATCCCAAGGTCAGGAGATCGAGGCCATCCTGGCTAACACCGTGAAACCCGTCTCTACTGAAAATACAAAAAATTAGCCGGGCTTGGTGGTGGGCGCCTGTAGTCCCAGCTACTCGAGAGGCTGAGGCAGGAGAATGGCGTGAACCCGGGAGGCAGAGCTTGCAGTGAGCTGAGATCTCGCCACTGCACTCCAGCCTGGGTGACAGCAAGACTCCGTCTCAAAAAAAAAAAAAAAAAAAAAAAAGAAAGAAAAAAAGTCTTGACTGGGTACAGTGGCTCACGCCTGTAATCCCAACACTTTGGGAGGCTAAGGCGGGAGGATCACTTGAGTTCAGGAGTTCAAGACCAGCTTGGATAGTATAGTGAGACTTCATCTCTACAAAAAAATTCTAAAAGCCAGTTGTGGTGGCATGCACCTGAAGTCCCAGCTACTTGGGAGGCTAAAGCAGGAGGATTGCTTGAGCCCAGGAGGTTGAGGCTACGGTGAGCCATCATTGTGCCACTGTACTCCAACCTGGGCAACAGAGCCAGACCTGTCTCTTAAAAAAAAAAAAGAAATTTATGTTATAAACTCCTTTAGCACTAATATCTATTGTTTTTCAGCTACTAATCATTTGTTTGTTTGCGACAGGGTCTCGTTCTGTCACCTAGGCTGGAGTGCAGTGGCAGGATCATGGCTCACTGTAGCCACGACCTTCCAGATTCAAGCAATCCTCCCACCTCAGCCTGCCTAGTATCTGGGACTATAGATGAATTATACTACACTGGGTTAATTTTTTTATTATTATTTTTAGTAGTGACAGGGTCTCACTATGTTGCCCAGGCTGGCCTGGAACTACTGGGCTCAAGCAATCCTCCCATCTAGGCCTTCCAAAGTGCTGGAATTACAGTTGTGAGCCACTGCACTCGTCCTCAGTTAATAAGGTTTAAATGAATTTTCAGCTGTAAAATGCAAGACATTTACCCATTGTCTTAAGCTGCCTAATGTCATATAATATAGTTTCACTGCATGTTAATTTTAAAAATTGCTTTAATAATGTATCCTTTGTATTTATTTATCAGTTATTTTAAAAAGCAGAACCAGTTTCTCAGTTTCTTGTGGTAATGTTTTCTTTTTGCAGACTTTGGGGTTCTTCATGAAAGATGCAATCAAGAAATTTGTTGTGACTCAGTGTATTTTGTTGCCTGTGTCTTCACTTCTACTTTACATTATTAAAATTGGGGGTGACTATTTTTTTATTTATGCCTGGCTGTTCACATTAGTTGTGTCTCTGGTGAGTAAAATCTTTATTTCGTTTTCTTTTGCAAAAGTTCCTTGGTGAGATTACTGTAATCTTCATTGGCATGTAAACAGTTCTTAAGAAGCAGCTGAAATATAAATAGGTGCTTATATACATTTCCCCCTTGGTTTCTGCTTTTGATTGTAGACACAGGAGTATTGACTGACCATAAATTTCCTTCTCCTTATGCTAACTCTTCAGGTCATAGAAACTAGTTGTTAGTCACTTTTAATGATTCAGTTGTCAGGCAGTTTTGGGTTGTGCATTTGCGAGTTGCCACCAGAATGACTAAGTGTGATAATTTAATGACTCCTGACTGACCTCCACTGCCTAAAATCATGGTTATTTTGAAGAGAAATGAGATTTAAGAGGGACAAGAGAAAGAAAGCATATACTTAACTGGCTTTCTTCTGCTTCCCTTCCCTTGCCTTTCCCTTCCACGTTAGACACTCTCTCCCTTCTTTGCCCCATCTGCTTCCCCTTCCCCTTCTATCTTTTACCCATTCTTCTTCCTTTCCTTCTCCTGTCTTCCCTTTTCTCCCCAACTGCCACCTATTCCTGCCTCTCTTCTCCTTTCCTTTTCCCTCTCACTCTTTTCCCCCTGATTTTTCCCTCCCTCACATCTCCTATTCCTCTTCTCTTTCCATACTCTCAAGTGCTTCACAACACAAACACTACAACGCAGTCAAAATGGTCTGTTCAGGGCCAGGCACAGTGGCTTATGCCTGTAATCCTGGCACTTTGGGAAGCCAAGGTGGGAGGATTGCTTAAGCCCAAGAGTTTAAGACCAGCCTGGGTAACACAGTGAGACTCTGTCTCTACAAATAATAATTTTTAAAAAACCCAAATGAAAAAACCCAAAGTGGTCTGTTCAGTGCACCCAGAAATTATCATCTATCAGCTCTTCAGCTCCACTGATGAGGTTTATTTTATTTTAGAGATAGGGCCTCCCTGTGTTGCCCAGGCTGGAGTACAGTGGCTATTTCACAGGCATGATCATAGTGCACTACAGCTTTGAGCTCCTGGGCTCAAGCAGTCCTCCTGCCTTGGCCTCCTGAGTAGCTGGGACTACAGGTGTGTGACACCATGCCCAAGCTGAGGTTTATTTTAGTCTGAATTACATAATGCTCATTGTTTCATTTTCCATTGATGGGATCAAGATCAGAAAATGGGCGCTAGTTGGATTTACAGGTATCTATTGTATGGCAAATTAAAGTAAGATGAAAAAGAGCAGAGAAAATGCTCTAAAAATGCTTAAGGAAGTGCTATTTCAACCACATTGTACAATTATGAACTACAGGTAATTAATTTTAGCTGATAAGCCAACCAAGTAACAGCACACAATCAAGTTCTACTAATTCTTTTTTGGGAAAGACTTCAGGTCTATTGTGATTACGCTAAAAGGTAGAACTGCGTGTTATGATTGACTCATGAAGCATCAGAAATCCCCAAGATAGTTTTGAAAGGACTATACTTATTACCACCTAGAGATTTTAATCACTGTTAGTAGCATTATCCTTTAAAATAAAATTCATAAGTTTACTCTGTTATCAGACTACTCATTTCAATTTAATTCATCAGACAGATATTATGCTCTTACTATCTGGTACTATTTGGGCCTGGGAATACCAGAGCAAGTAAGTTCCTTGTTCTCAAGTTTGAGGTCAACATAGTTGTTTTAATATAATTTAATCTGTATAATAAAGAATGTTTTTTCTTTAAGAACATGTTCATATGTTATTCTGACATTTACTTTTCAGGTTCTTGTCACAATCTATGCTGATTATATTGCCCCTTTATTTGACAAATTCACACCTCTGCCTGAGGGAAAGCTTAAAGAAGAAATTGAAGTAATGGCAAAGAGTATTGACTTTCCTTTGACGAAGGTGTATGTTGTGGAAGGTAAGGCTACCTGGGGATAAGAAAGTTTTATCCAAGTGGTTTGTTTTATTTGATACTTTATTCTTAAAATTTTAATAAAAGAATTAATCAGTTTTTGTTTTTTTCTTTTTAAAATTTGTTATTTAAAGGCTAGGAGTTTACCTTTTGGCTTTTTAAGATTTACAGAAATTGATAACATAGGCCAGGGATAGAAACTGGTGGCTTGATACCAAATCCTGCTCTTGTCTGCAGCTATGTTTGTTTGGTTTTACAGTATTGTTTTAAATTTTTGGCCAAGGCTTTTTCACTCTCTGTTATGTTATCTTATATATTAGACTGATTTATTCACTTCTGTTATCTGCCTAGTTCTTTTAGGTAGTTAAGTTGGACTCTTGAATAGTCAAATTCTGTTTAGTATTAGTTTGGAGGCTCTTAAACAAAGCCAGTGTTATTGGCCTTGTCTCCTCCAAGAAAATATCCAGTGTTCTGGAGGACTCACCTGAAGATTGATTACCAAAGACTGCAGTACCACTGAGTACTGCAGATTTGTTATACTCTGCTTTTTTGATGATTACTTTTGAGATTTAAGTGGTCTCTTGACCGTTACTCAAATCTTGACTTCCCATTAACACCCAGTCTATTACTTTCTTTGAGACTTTGGTAGTTGACTATTAAAGTCTCAAAGAAGACTACGGAGATGTAGAGAGAAACTGTTGTAAGGTTCTATGACTTTCAGAATTTATAAAGTCCATATAAATGAATGTAATAGTTCTGTTCCTGCCACTTACCAGTTATAGGATCTTGGACAAGTGACTTCACCCTTCTGGGTTTCAGTTGTATTTCCTCTAAGCTATGGTTTCACAAATGTTTTTTGTAAAGGGCTAGATAGTAAATATTTTAGCTTTGCGGGCCACTTGTTCTCTGTTGCAACTATTCAGTGCTACTATTATAGCGCAAAAGCAGCCATAGACAATACTAAACAAATGAGTGTGGCTGTGTTCCAATAAAACTTTATGAAAATAAATGGCAGATTGGATTTGGCCTGTGAGCTACAGTTTGCTGATCCCTGCTCTAAAATAAAATATTACCAGTGAGAAGCAGCAGTGTTAGATGAAGGAATAGAAGCAGAAACAATCACAGGGTTAGAGGAGAACAGAGATGGTCACAACTGAAAAGAATGAATCAACAGCAACTGGAAGAACATAGAAATTTCAGACATCTGGCTGGGCGCTGTGGCTCACGCCTGTAATCCCAGCACTTTGGGAGGCCAAGGCAGGCGGATCACCTGAGGTCAGGCGTTCGAGACCAGCCTGGCCAACATGGTGAAACCCTGTCTTTACTAAAATACAAAAAATTAGCTGGGCGTGGTGGTGCGTGCCTGTAATCCCAGCTACTTGGGAGGCTGAGGCAGGAGAATCGCTTGAACCTGGAGGTGGAGGTTGTGGTGAGCCAAGATCAAGCCATTGCACTCTAGCCTGGGCAACAAGAGCCAAATTCTGTCTAAAAAAAAAAAAAAAAAAAAAATATATATATATATATATATATATATATATATGTCAGACATTTAGTGGCTCCTGAGGATATACAGCCCAACTAAAGGCACGATTGGAGTAGCTTAAAAGTCTGTGGAGAAATGGTAGAATAAGCCAGTTCATACTTACTTCTTTAGCCTCTGAAATAACTACTCTTTTTTTTTTAGGTAATATTAAACTAGAAATTTAATCATTAATCAGTACAACAGAATAGTCTCTAAGCTGCTTTTACTGAAGGAGCAACCTAAGTTGCTGATCCCTTAAGTTACAATCAGATAACGTGAAATAATAGTTAATGCTATGACAGTGGAGGTAGTCAATAGAATATGTGAAATATATCGGTGCTATTTTCTTTTTATCTTTTTTTTTCCCCCTACAACATCCAGAGTATGAGAGCTATTTTCATTTTAGATAAAATAGTCAGGGAAGGCTTTATGGAAGGTTATGACCTGAGCTGGGTGTTAATGGGAAGTCAAGATTTGAGTAGGTTGGGGGCAGCATTTCAGACGTCAGGCTTCAGGGTCAAAAGGCTTGGGTTTGAATCATAGCTCTACCACAGATTACCAGTGCTGGGCTTGGTGGCTCCAGCCTGTAATCCCATCTACTGGGGAGGCTGAGGTGGAAGGTCAGGAGTTCGAGACAAACTACTTGTGTGACTTTGCGCAACTTAGCTTTGCCAAACAGCAGTTTACTCACCTATAATGTATGTTTTAATTGTTGTTAACAACAGTAACAATTCTCAAAAATATTTTGAATGAATGAATGTTGTTGCTGACAATAACAACACACATTACATATTTGTAAATTGGTAGGGAGATTGTAGTGAAAAGCCAAGAATCTTGCTCTCAAAATATTATCAGATAGCAAGTGCTATGCAGCAAATTAAACTAGTTTGGTCTGATAAGTTGATACTGTAGATTGGTCATCAGATTGAGCTGAGACCTAAAGGGAGGAGCCGCCCATTTGACGTCAATGGGAAGATGTTCAAGGACCATGAAGAAGTCCAGTGTGGCTGCACCATAGCAGGAGAGTGTTAGGAGATGAAATCTGAGACATAGGCAAGAATCAGTCCACATAGGCCTTTGTAAGTCAGGGTAAGGAGTTTGGATTTTGAGTTCAGTGGGAAGAGCCATTGAAGGCTTAGACAGGAAAGTGACATGATCTGCTTTGTGTTTTTAAAATATCCTGGGCTACTGTATGGAGAATATGTTGTAGAGACAGGCAAAAGTCTAGGTAGGACATAATGGTAGCTTAGACTAGGATAATAGTAATTAATGGAGAGAAGTGGATACATTTGGGACAAGTTTTAGGGTAGAGTTGATTGAATTTTCTAATTGATTGCATTGGGAGAATAAGGGAAAGAGTGACATCAAAGATAATGGCCTAGACTTTTGACCTGAGCAGTTAGATATATGGTAGTTTCCTGAGATGGAAAAAAATAGGAGAAGAGTAGGTTTGTGGGGAATTAAGACTTCTAATGGCTATATTACATATTGAGGAACCTACTAAACATTGTATTAGAATTCTGCAAGCAATAGAAACCAACTGTGGCTGATTTAAGCAGAAAAACTGCTTATTGAAGCACTATTTGGACCAGGCGCAGTGGCTTATGCTTGTAATCTCAGCACTTGGGGAGGCCGAGGTGGGCGGATCACTTGAGGTCAGAAATTCGAGACAAGCCTGGCCAACATGGTGAAACCCTGTCTCTACTAAAAATACAAAAAAAAAAAAAAAAAAAAAAGCCGGGCGTGGTGGCGGGCGCCTGTAGTCCCAGCTACTTGGGAGACTAAGGCAGGAGAATTGCTTGAACCCAGGAGGCGGAGGTTGCAGTGAGTCAAGATCGTGCCACTGCACTCCAGCCTGGGTGACAAAGCAAGACTCTGTCTCAAAAAACAAACAAACAAACAAACAAAACCAGTATTTGGCCAGGCGTGGTGGCTCACGCCTGTAATCCCAGCACTTTGAGAGGCTGAGGCAGGTGGATTACCTGAGGTCAAGAGTTCGAGACCAGCCTGGCCAACATGGTGAAACCCCATCTCTACTAAAAATACAAAAATTAGCTGGGCATGGTGGTGCACACCTGTAGTTCCAGCTACTGGGGAGGCTGAGGCAGGAGGATCGCTTGAATCTAGGAGGTAGAGGTTGCAGTGAGTCGAGATCGCGCCACTACACTCCAGCCTGGGCAACAAGAGTGAGACCCTGTCTCAAAAAAAAAAAAAAAAAAAAAACAACGTTTGATATCTCACAAAATCCACAGGAAAATTAAGTTTACGAAGCTCAGAAAATGGGCTGTTACATAGGAAGGCTAGGAACTTATAATCATATTGCAGAACCTGTCTGGTGAGGACACTGCTGTGGCTACTTCAGAACACCGGATTCAGCCACTAGCACCTGCAGAATTAATTCCTCACTGCTTTGCTTTTTTATGTAATTAGCTAACTATTCAGAATCCCTAAGGGGCACATCTGATTGACTAAGCCAGGGCATGGGGCTAGCTGCTCGGAGTGCTGGGGAAACAAATATCTGGCCTTTTAGATTTCTCAAATGAGAAGCAGCCTCTTACATAGTGTGACACTTCCTAAACTCTGAAAGGAGATTCTAATATTGGACAAGAAAAAAGACTACACACAAGAATACAAACAACAAATAAGTCTATAGACATCCCTGTGGAGATGTCAGACAGGTAACTGTATGTATGAGTCTGGAGTTTTAGGGCGAGGTCAGCGCTAAAAATACAGATTTGGAAGTATCTGGCACATAGATGGTGTTCAGTGCTATCCATGAAGGCACTTAAGAGAAGGGGACCAGGGTCAGAGTCAGCAGAGAAACAGCCAGGAAGGAGGCTAAGGAGGAGAGGCCCTTGAGGTAGGAAGAAAACCAGGAGAAACTGGTGTCTCAAAAACCAGGAGAAGATCGTGTTTTAAGGAGAAAGTGGTCAACTATGTTAAATGCTGCTAAGAGATTAAGAGGAAGCATTCTAAACAAAAAATGGCAATGCCTTACATTTTTGTAGAATGTTTTTGTTTTTGGAGTTCTCAAATATGTTACTTCATACCTCAAGCGATATCATTAATCCATTCAGTAAATAAACATCATTGAATATACAGTCATGCATTGCTTAATAATGGCAATATGTTCTGAGAAATGCGCCATTAGGCTTTTCGTTGTCATGCAAACACCATTATACTCATACAAACCTAGATGGTGTTACCTACTGCACACCTAGGTTGTATGGTATAGCCTCTTGCTTCTAGACTACAAACCTATCTAGCGTGTTACTATACTGAATACTGTAGGCAATTGTAGCATGATGATTAGCATTTGTGTATCTAAACATAGAAAAGATAGTGTGCTCTGCTACAACATTACGGTGGCTATGAGGTCACTAGGTGATAGGAATTTTTCAGCTTTATTATAATTTTGTGGGACCACTGTCCTATATGTAGTCTGTTGACCGAAATGTCATTATGCGGTACATGACTGTATGCGACATGCCAGGCACAGCGATATAAAAAGCTTACAGTACAGTACAGGGATTCTTTTTTTTTTTTTTTTTTGAGACGGAATCTTGCTGTGTCACCCAGGCTGGAGTGCAGTGGTGCAATCTTGGCTCACTTCAAGCTCCGCCTCCCGGGTTCACACCATTCTCCTGCCTCAGCCTCCTGAGTAGCTGGGACTACAGGCGCCCGCCAGCACACCCGGCTAATTTTTTTGTATTTTTAGTAGAGACAAGGTTTCACCGTGTTAGCCAGGATGGTCTCGATCTCCTGACCTCATGATCCACCTGCCTCGGCCTCCCAAAGTGCTGGGATTACAGGCATGAGCCACCGCACCCTGCCAGGGATTCTTAAACTTTAGTAAGTATAAAAGTCCCTCGAGAGTTTGTTAAAAGACAGATTCCTGGGCTTCATTCCCAGAGATTCTGACTTAGTAGGTGTTTCCAGTATCTACTTCTAACAAGTACCCCTAGGTGATTTTGGCGTATTCCTTGGACCACACTTTGAGATACCTGGACCGGTGGGAGATAGTAAGACATTAATTTACTTTTATTTGTGTGCATACAATCTGCTTACTTTCATAAATAACTTCAGATAGTGTTTAATAAATATTTTTAAATTAATTAAAAAATTTAGGATTAGCAGCCAGGCGTGGTAGCTCACACCTGTAATCCTAGCACTTTGGGAGGCCCAGGTAGGCAGATCACCTGAGGTCAGGAGTTCGAGACCAGCCTGGCCAACATGATGAAACCCCGTCTCTACTAAAAATACAAAAATTAGCTGGGTGTGGTGGCGTGTGCATGTAATCCCAGCTACCCAGGAGGTTGAGGCAGGAGAATCGCTGGAACCCGGGAGGCGGAGGCTGCAGTGAGCAGAGATCGCACTACTGCCAGCCTAGGCAACAGAGCAAGACTCCATCTCAAAAAAAAAAAAAAAAAAAAAAAATTTAGGATCAGGAAAGATAGAGATAGAAGGATACCCTGTGTTCAAAGGGTAACACAGACAAAATAAGCAAACATGTTTGGCTCTTCCTGGCAACCAAACCAAAAAGAAATGTAATAATGCAATAAATAAATAATAGCTTCTATTTGTCAAAGTTTTACTACTAAACATACTGCCTAGTACTTTTCATTAGAAATATGAGTAGATAGAAAATTCATGTTTTTTGTGAGAGACTTCAAATTCCCAAGAGAAATAAATGTTTATCATTTCTTTTTTGAAAAAAGTATATGAATAACAGTAGTAGTATAAAGATCAGACAGCATATTATTGCTTCACTTAGAATATCTCGTGTAACGAGGTCAGGAGATCGAGACCATCCTGGCTAACACGGTGAAACCCCGTCTCTACTAAAAATACAAAAAATTAGCCGGGCGTGGTAGCGGGCGCCTGTAGTCCCAGCTACTCGGGAGGCTGAGGCAGGAGAATGGCGTGAACCCGGGAGGCGGAGCTTGCAGTGAGCCGAGATCGCGCCACTGCACTCCAGCCTGGGCGACAGAGTGAGACTCCGTCTCAAAAAAAAAAAAAAAAAAAAAAAAAAAAAGAATATCTCGTGTAATCCATCATCTAACCCAATGAGGTAGATATTAGGCTCGCTTCATAAATAGGAAACTAAAGCTTAAAGAAATTAAGAAAGTTTTCTAAATTGACAGAACTAATACATGGCAGAGCCAAGATTTGAACCCAAAGTCTGTGCTCTTAATCACTATACTCAACTCACTGCACATTGTAGGACATTTAGAAATCAAAGAAGTGCATAAAGAAGAAAATAAAAATCAACCATAGTTCAGGTACTGTTAGCTGCTATTAAAAATTTAGGTATGGGCCAGCTGTGGTGATTCACACCTGTAATCCCAGCACTTTGGGATGCCAAGGCAGGAGAATTGCTTGAGCCCAGGAGTTAGAGACCAGCCTGGGCAACATAGCAAGACCCTGTCTCTACAAAAAATTAGCCGGGCATGGTGGTATGTGTCTGTAGTCCTAGCTACTCAGGAGGATGAGTCAGGAGGATTGATTGAGCTCAGGAGGTCAAGGCTGCAGTGAGCCATGATTATGCCATTGCATTGCAGCCTAGACGACAGAGAGACCCTGTCTCAAAAGAAAAAAAGGTATGTCTTCTTCCAGTCTTTATAAAAATTGCTTTAATTATAGAAGTAGGTATGCTGATTTTAAAAGTCTTTGGGAAAAGAAAGGAAACAAAAATCTATAATTTTAGAATTTAGTGATAAACATTTCAGTATTTTGGTATGTTTCCTAATAGGCATGGGCTTATGCTTTTCTGTTAATATTTGTTAGGTTGGTGCAAAAGTAATTGCAGTTTCAGACCATGAATTTTGAATCCTTATAACTAGGCTCAAACACATCTTTATTAATCAAAAGAAGAACCATTACAATCAACACATTTTTGCCAACAAGAAATACGTTTGCTTATTTCTGTAGGGTAAAACTCTGTGCTTCGGGATTTGGCAAACTCTTGGAAAGCATTTTCTGCATCCAGCTAGTTGTGAAAACGTTTTCTCTTTAAAAAGTTGTTGAGATGCTTGAATAAGTGGTAGTCAGTTGGCAAGAGGTCAGGTGAATGTGGCAGATCAGGCAAAACTTCATAGCCCAATTTGTTCAACTTTTGAAGGATTGATTTTGCGATGTTCGGTTGGGTGTTGTCTTGGAGAAGAATTGGGCCCTTTCTGTTGCCCAGTGCTGGTTGCAGGCGTTGCAATTTTCTGTGCATCTCATCGATTTGCTGTGCATACTTCTCAGATGTAATGGTTTTGCCAGGATTCAGAAAGCTATAGTGGATCAGACTGGCAGCAGACCACCAAACAGTGACCATGACCTTTTTTTGGTGCAAGTTTGGCTTTGGGAAGTGCTTTGGAGCTTCTTCTGTGTCCACCCACTGAGCTGGTCATCGCCCGTTGTTCTATAAAATCCATGTTTCGTCTCACGTCACAGTCTGATAGAGAAATGGTTTGTTGTGTAAAATAAGAGAAGACGACACTTCAAAACAATGATTTTTTTTAATTTTTATTTTCGCTTAGCTCATGAAGCACCCACTTATCAGGCTTTTTCACCTTTCCAGTTTGCTTCAAATGCCAAACGACCGTAGAATGGTCGACATTGAGTTCTTCGGCAACTTCTTGTGTAGTTGTAAGGGGATCAGCTCCGATGATTGCTCTCCATTGGTCATTGTCAACTTCCGATGGCCTGCCACTACGCTCCTCATCTTCAAGGCTCTCATCTCCTTTGCAAACTTCTTGAACCACCACTGCGCTGTACGTTCGTTAGCAGTTCCTGGGCCAAATGCGTTGTTGATGTTGCGAGTTGTCTCTGCTGCTTTACGACCCATTTTGAACTCAAAGAAGAAAATTGCTTGAATTTGCTTTTTTTTTTTTCTTTCTTTGTGAGACAGAGTCTCCGTCTGTTGCCTAGGCTGGAGTGCAGTGGCGACATCTCTGCTCACTGCAACCTCCGTCTCCTGGGTTCAAGCAGTTCTCATGCCTCAGCCCCACGTGTAGCTGGGATGACAGGTGTGCGCCACCATGCCCGGCTAATTTTTTGTATTTTTGGTAGAGACAGGGTTTCACCATGTTGGCCAGGCTGGTCACGAACTCCTGACTTCAAGTGATCCGCCTGCCTCAGCCTCCCAAAGTGCTGGGATTACAGGCATGAGCCACTGCACCCAGTTGAATTTGCTTTTTGTCTAATATAATTTCCCTTATCTAAAATAAATATAAAATAAACAGCAAGTAATGTCATTAGCAAAAAACATAAAGTGAGAAATGTGCATTAAAATGATGTATAACATAACCATATTTATTTAAGAATGTATTCCAATATCAAACAGCAAATTTCAACAATGCAAAAACCGCAATTACTTTTGCACCAACCTAATACATGCACATTTTTTCTTGACGATAATGGAACCTGATATACGTGAAGTTTTGTATCCTTCACAATATATTGGTGAGCTTTTTCTTGTTAAAATTCTTTGGAAGTATAATTTTTTTCTGGCAGCTTAAAATTCCATTTCATAGTTTTACTATAATTGAATCATTTGTAACTGTTGGATGTTTAGGCTTTACTTATTTACTTACTGCTATAAAGCTGTGATGAGCACATTTATTGGCAAAAAACAGACACTCTCCACTGCTGGTGGTGAATTATGTTGATATGATTTTTCTTCACATATTAAATGATTTGAAAATGTTAATGTCCTTTCCAGTAATTCAATTTCTAGGAGTCTCTCCAAAGGACCCCAAACTTTTTAATTATATTCCATGCTTTGAACTGTCTTTTCCTTAGGATCTAAACGCTCTTCCCACAGCAATGCTTATTTTTATGGCTTCTTCAAGAACAAGCGAATAGTTTTGTTTGACACTCTACTAGAAGAGTACTCTGTACTAAACAAAGACATCCAGGAGGATTCTGGCATGGAACCCCGCAATGAGGAAGAAGGGAACAGTGAAGAAATAAAAGCTAAAGTTAAAGTGAGTTATTTTTTCCTAAGAGATTCTACCTTAGTTTTTATACACAGTTCCTGTGACAACTCAAAATAACATCAATTTCTAGGCAGTGAGTGTTGAATTCAGGGAGACTATCAGATGAAAACCATGGCTCCTTTATAGTTCTGGTATTTAGGAGAGATCACCACTATTATTACATGCTAACTACCTTGCAAGCTTTTATAGAATGTGGATATTAAAATTGGAAGCTCTTATAAGAAAATTCATATGATTATAAGCTATCTTTAAAACAGGAACTTGTGTGTATATATATATATGTGTGTGTATATATATATATAATTTCTTATGTGTTTATGATCAAAGAATTCCCACAAGCAAGATAAAGAGAAGATAAACATCTAATTTTTAGCTTTATTAAGACAGTAATTGTAGGCTTTGGCAATGGAGAGACTTGGATTTGAATCCTGGTTCTGTCATTTAGTAGCTTTGTATCCTTGGATACGTTGTGTAATTTAGTCTGTTTTATTTGTTTAACACCCATTTATGAAATGTATACTCTGTGCTGAGAGACTTTACTTGGCACTAGGTACACAAAAATAAAAAGGAATACCTTCCTCTTAAGCTTACAGTCTAAAGGGGAAATAGTCATGCAATCACAGTACAATACGTGAATTGCTACTGTCAAGCTTTAGATTCTAGATATAGTAACTGGAGCACAAGAAAAGACATTTCTCAAATCTGACATGAGAGTCTGAGAAAGCTGCTTCTGAATCCTTTTCGTGGATAAGATTGACTGATATTGATTAGCAGAATTTAAAGTATCAAGACTAAATGGGGGAGAGGGGACAATGATAAGAAACAATACAAACTGTCAGAAATGATCATCAGTATTTGTATGTGTGATGGAATGTGCCATTGCCTTTGGTGTCATACAGAGATGATTTTAGATGCCTGTTCACTCACTGTCTGTGTAACTCTGTGCAAGTAAGTTAAGCTTTCATTTATTTATGTATTTATTTATTTTGAGATGAGGTCTTGTTATGTTTTCCAGGCTGGTCGAACTGCTGGCCTCAAGTTACCCGCCTGCCTTGGCCTCCCAAAGTGCTGGGATTATAGGCGTGTGCCACCGCACCCCGCCAAGCTTTCTAAATCTTTGATTTCTTAACTGAAAGATGAGGCCAGTAGGGTTTCTCAAGCCCCACGCTATTTTTTTGAGCCAGATAATTTTTTTGTTGTGGGAGGTATCTTGTGCATCACAGGATGTTTAGCAGCATCCCTGGTCTCTCCCCACTAGGGGCCATTTCCCCTACAACCTCTACAAATTGTAACAACAAAAATGTCTCAGAATATTGCCAGATGTCCCCTAAAGGTAGCGGTGGGGCCGAGTCTCCCCTGGTTGAGAAATACTAGGCTAAAGATACCTACATTTTAGGGTTTTGAAGATTAAATGAAATAATATGTGTGAAATACCTTGTACTCTCTACCCAAATGTAGAGAGTACCAGAAAATGATTAGCATCTGAGCATCTGTTTTGACACTAAAAACAGGTTCTAGTAAAGTACCTAGCCTGTTATAAATACGTAGATGAAATAAAATTCTGTGAAGGGATTAGAAGACATCTTAAAGTCATCTTATAAATAGGAAAACTGAAGTCCAGAAAGAATAACCCAGTGATAACACTAGAGAATCATGCAAGTTTAGAAAGTTAATCTGCTTATGGTCAGGCACTGTGGCCCATACCTGTAATCCCAGCACTTTGGAAGGCCAAGACAGGCAGATAACTTGAGGCCAGGAGTTCGAGACCAGCCTGGCCAACATGACGAAACCCCTGTCTCTACAAAAAAATACAAAAATTAGTTGGGCATGATAGCGCACGCCTGTAATCCCAGTACTCAGGAGGCTGAGGCACAAGAGTTGCTTGAACCTGGGAGGTGGAGGTTACAGTGAACTGAGATCCTGCCTCTGCACTCCAGCCTGGGTGACAAAGTGAGACCCTGTCTTAAAAAAAAAAAAAAATTGCTGATCCTTTTGTTACTTTTTTTGTTTTTGTTTTTGTTTGCTTTTCTGGAAGTTTGTTAGATCTTTCTCTGTTTCAGTGTTCTAAAATTTCACATACCTTGATGGGGATCTGTTTTCATCTACCATGTTATATGCATCACACTGTTTTCATCCACTGTAATATATGCATTAGGCCCTTTTATTCTGGAAATCGAGGTCCTATGGTTGTAAGAAATTTTCTGAAATTATTTTGTTGATTTTTCTCCTCTCCATTTTTTAAATTCTGTGTTTTCAGGGCTCCTCTTACTCGAGTGCTGGATTTGTTATACTGAACTCTCCTATCTTTTTAACCCTCTTTTCCATTTTAAATATATCTCTTTCTGCTTTCTAGAATTCCCTCATCATCTTCCAATCCTTTATTGTATTGAACTTTCTTTCTTTTTTTTTTTTTTTTTGAGATGTAGTCTTGCCCTCTCGCCCAGGCTGGAGTGCAGTGGCGCGATCTCAGCTCATTGCAACCTCCTCCCGGGTTCAAGCAATTCTCCTGCCTCAGCCTCCTGAGTAGCTGGGATTACAGGTGTGCACCAGCATGCCCAGCTAATTTTTTTTTTTTTTTTTTTTTTGGTATCTTTAGTAGAGACGGGGTTTCACCATGTTGGCCAGGCTGGTCTCAAACTCCTGACCTCGTGATCCACCTGCCTCAGCCTCCCAGAGTGCTGGCATTACAGGCTTGAGTCACCATGCCTGGCCTTCAGCTTGGATTTCTAATAATTTTTTTATCTGAATTTTCCAATTTACAGCATTTCGTTACTTTTTCTTAGGTGCAATGTCTTAATTTTCTAAACTTTCTCTTTATATAATTTATTTCATGTTGCTTTTTTTGTGGATCAGATCTTCTGTGTTAACAGCTTACCTCATATATCTGGTAAATCCTTGGTTATTTGCTCCTTAGTAAGAGAATGGGACTAGGCCCCACACAGCGGCTCATGCCTGTAATCCCAGCACTTTGGGAGGCCAAGGCAGGTGGATCACCTGCAGTCAGGAGTTCGAGACCAGCCTGACTCACATGGTGAAACCCTGTCTCTACTAAAAATACAAAAATTAGCCGGGTGTGGTGGCATGCGCCTGTAATCCCAGCTACTCAGGAGGCTGAAGCACAAGAATCACTTGAACCCAGGAGGTGGAGGTTGCCGTGAGCCGAGATCGTGCCGTTGCACTCCAGCTTGGGCAACAAGAGTGAAACTCCATCTAAAATAAATAATAATAACTACTGTTAACATTTGTATATACTTTCAGTCTACTTTTTATATTTGTATATTTTTATATACACATTCACATTGTTTCATAATTAGAATCATACTATATATTTTTAGTTTGTGTCTTACTTTCTTCACCTAATCATTTTCCAATGTCAAAACATCATCCCTTTTTTTTTTTTTTTTGAGATGGAGTCTCACTTTTTCACCTAGGTTGGAGTACAGTGGCGTGATCTTGGCTCACTACAGACTACGCCTCCCAGTTTCAAGCAGTTCTCATGCCTCAGCCTCCTGAGTAGCTGGGATTACAGGCATGCACCACCATGCCTGGCTAATTTATTATTATTATTATTATTATTATTATTTTGAGATGGAGTCTTGCTCTGTCTCCTAGGCTGGAGTGCAATGGCGTGATCTCAGCTCACTGGTGATCTCAGCTCACTGCAGCCTCTGATTCTCCTGCCTCAGCCTCCAGAGCAGCTGCAATTACAGGCGCATACCACGATACCCTGCTAATTTTTTGTATTTTGGTAGAGACAGGGTTTCACCATGTTGGTCAGTCTGGTCTCGGTCTCCTGACCTCGTGATCCACCCACCTTGACCTCTCAAAGTGCTGGGATTGCAGGCATGAGCCACCATGCCCAGCAATATTTTGTATTTTTAGTAGAGATGGGATTTTGCTATGTTGGCCAGGCTAGTCTGGAACTCCTGGCTTCAAGTTATCTGTCTGCCTCGGTTTCCCAAAGTGTTGAGATTACAGGCGTGAGCCACTGCAATTGGCCCTAATCTTTGAAAACAAAATTTCTAATGATTTTGTAATATAATGTGACTGTCATATAACTTTATCATGATTTATTTAACTATTGTCCCATTATAAAGATTTCTATTTCTTCCAGTTTTTTTTTTCCTAATCTAAGTTAGTCTAGACTGTGAGCTTTATGTAGTCTGGGAATGTCCATCTTGTTCGTCATTCTATCTATCTTCAGTGCTTAACCCACTGTCTCATGTGGAGCAGTGGTTCAGGGAATGTTTTGTTAAGACAATCAACAGTTTTGAACAAAACTGATTATTTCTTTAAGTTAAAATCTATGAAGGGCTATTACTGGGTTAAAAGATAAAACTTTTTAAAGGTTCTCAATAATTTATTTTTGATTTTTTTTTATTCAGAATAAGAAACAAGGATGTAAAAATGAGGAGGTACTCGCTGTACTAGGCCATGAACTGGGGCACTGGAAGTTGGGACATACAGTCAAAAATATCATTATTAGCCAGGTAAGTGTGGAGTGACAATTCTTTTTTTATGGCATGATAGTCAAATTAGAACTATGGCAGGCATGAGAGGTCATATAAGAGAGGCCAAGGCAGACACCACAGCCAGGCTACCTGGTTTCCTATCACAGCTCCCTGACTTACTACCTGTGTGACCTCAGGCAAGTTCCTTAACCTCTGCCTCTGTCCCCTCATTGAATGATAATACCTCATAGGACTGGTTAAGAATTAAGTGAGTTAATACATGTAAAGAGTTTAGACTAGCACCTGGAACATGGTGAGTACTATATAAATTATTGTTATCACCACCATCATCACCTCCAGAGTAAGAACTTGGAAAATCAAAAGGAACAAGCCTAGATAAGTTGGACATTAAAATGCTTTTTAAAATTAAATTAAAAAAATTTTTTTTGAGACAGAGTCTCGCTCTGTCACCCAGACTGGAGTGCAGTGATGTGATCTCGGCTCACTGCAACCTCTGCCTCTCAGGTTCAAGCGATTCTCCTATCTCAGCCTCCTGAGTAGCTTGGACTACAGGCACCCACCACCATCCCTGGCTAATTTTTGTATTTTTAGTAGACACAGGGTATCACCATGTTGGCCAGGCTGGTCTCGAACTCCTGACCTCAGGTAATGCACCCACCTCGGCCTCCCAAAGTGCTGGGATTATAGGCGTGAACCACTGTGCCCACCCTAAAATGCTTTTTTTTTTTTTTTTGAGATGGAGTTTCACTCTTGTTGCCCAAGCTGGAGTGCAATGGCGTGATCTCGGCTCACTGCAGCCTCTGCCTCCCGGGTTCAAGCAATTCCCCTGCCTCAGCCTCCTGAGTAGCTGGGATTACAGGCACACGCCACCACACTTGACTAATTTTTTTTTGTATTTTTAGTAGAGACGGGGTTTCTCAATGTTGGCCAGGCTGGTCTCGAACTCCTGACCTCAGTTGATCCGCCTGCCTCAGCCTCCCAAATTGCTGGGATTACAGGCATGAGCCACCACTCCCGGCCTCTAGAATGCTTTTTAAAAAACATTTTTTTCTTTTTCTTTTCTTTTTTTTTTTGAAATGGGGTCTCTCTCTGTCGTCCAGGCTAGAATGCAGTGGCGTGATCTCAACTCACTGCAACCTGCACCTCCCAGGCTCAAGCCATCCTCCAGCCTCTACCTCCCTAGTAGCTGAGACCACAGGTGCATGCCACCGCGCCCGGCTAATTTTTTTGTATTTTTGGTAGAGACCGGTTTTCACTATGTTGTCCAGGCTGGTCTTGAACTCCTAAGCTCAAGCGATCCACTCGCCTTGGCCTCCCAAAGTGCTGGGATTACAGGCATAAGCCACCGTGCCCGGTCTAAAACATTTTTTTCATTTAAAAGTTATTGCCGGCGTGGTGGCTCATGCTTGTAATCCCGGCACTTTGGGAAGTTGAGATGGTGGATCACTTGAGGTCAGGAGATCGAGACCAGCCTGGCCAACATGGTGAAGCCCTATCTCTACTAAAAATACAAAAATTAGCCAGGCGTGGTGGCACGCCTGTAATCCCAGCTACTTGGGAGGCTGAGGCAGGAGAATTGCTTGAACCCAGGAGGCAGAGGTTGCAGTGAGCTGAGATCGCCCCAGTGCACTCCAGCCTGGGCGACAGAGTGAGACTCTGTCTCAAAAAAAAAAAAAAAAGTTGCCATATATTCATTGGAAATTGTAGAAAATACAAAAAGAAAGCAATCCCAATAATGTTCCTCTTCTCGGTTCTAGAACCTCTAAACCAACAGATGTTTAGGCTTTGGGTGAAAAAGCACTATATCATGTTGACTAGTTCTGAGCATATGTGGCCTTAACTGAATCTTCAGTGGATTTTCAGACCTTTAAAAAGGCTGGCTGAGCAAGGCATGGTGGCTCATGCCTGTAATCCCAATACTTTGGAAGGTTGACGAGGGAAGATCATCTGAGGCCAGGAGTTTGAGACCAGCCTGGGCAACATAGCGAGACCCCCTTCTCTCCAAAAGGTTAAAAAATTAGCTGGGCTTGGTGGTATGCACCTGTAGTCCCAGCTACTTGGGAGGCTGGGATGGGAGGATGGCTTGAGTCCAGGAGATCAAGGCTGCAGTGAGCCATGATCACACCACTGCACTTCCAGCCTGGGTGACAGACCCTGTCTCTAAAAAAAATTAAAATAAAAAGGCCAGCTGGTTCTGGGTGATGGATTATATGGGAAGACTTGTGAACTCCTGTGGGCACTTTCCTATATCTTTAGGTATAGAAATGCATTCCTTGGCCTGAAGCTATGTTGTGTGGATACATGGCACTGAGTAAGATTAAATAAGTCCAGGTCCAAGTTCAATTGAGTTTTCAGTCTAATAAGGAAAATCACTGCCCCTTCCATGAGGGAAAGGGTTCCAATGGAATCAGCCTACCACAAGGTGGCTAAATGGTCCCTGAGATGTGGTACCTTATCAAGGCTGGGATTGATTGCTTCTCTGGACAGATTGGGCATATGGCATGCGCCAGTGAGGAGGGTATCTGTGTTGACTAATACATTAACTCCATCTTTGTCGCTGTGGCCACTCTATTCATAAGTCCCTTGACCAAGTCATGGAGCGGCTACAGAGAAAGGCTAGCTGACCTTCACAGAGCAGGTGTCTTCCCCACTTGACCAAGAGCCTCCTTGACCATGGGACTCTTTGGGTGAACATTAACATTAGGCCAACTGTAGTCAAACTCTATAGTCCAAACAGTAATTTTGGAAGTTTTTCACATACCTCTTTTCCAAATCTCGTTAGCCATCCTCTACTTTTTTCCAAGGCCCTAATAATTCAGCCGAACCATTTTTTTCCCACTGCCAATAAATTAGGATATATATCCTTGCCTCAGGCTCTCTCTCCTCCCAGGCTGAGTAGACAGTGAGATATACACCTTAAAGTTCACCTCACCGAGAGTAATTCCCTTCACCACTGCCTTCCAAGACCATCCCTGAGTGGCTCTGTAATACCACAGCAGTCCACTTTCATCTGGTGCCAGCATATTGTATTAAGTTATTGTAAAATAGGCTCTGATTTTGTTCCTGTTCAACTAATTGATTATAGGGAACAGCATATGAGTAAGGGTTGGTTGAGGGTTGTTGGTGGTAGGAGTTGGTGTACTAGAGTATGAGCCATCTGCTTATTTAACTTACTGGTGCCTTCATAACTTGCTTCATTTCCACTCTTATATCTACCACTTGTCCTTGATGATGAAGTGCTTCTGCGCATAGCAGTTTCCTGGCTAGGCAGATTAACAGATTAACATAGCACCCAGTTCAGAAGGGATAGTTCAGTTTGCAGGATCACAGTATCCCATGGCCAGGAATTCAGTCTGTAGTAGGGCCCAGTAGCAAACCAAAAGTTATTTTTCAAAAGGACAATGGTTACTTGACAAAAGTGGATGCATAGATTATAAGTGTAGGAGACTTCACTGAGTTTTCTGTTGGAGCTTGTCATATTGGATCCACTGAGTTATAAGGATGAGTGTCGAAGCTGCTTGTCCTGGGGCAGCTGGTGAGCCTTCTTATGCTCTAAGCCCCATTCTAAGCTGACAGCTTCTTGGGTCATCTCGTTTGGGTCAAATGGTTTGAAGCAACACACTTAAATAAGGTACATGTGGCCTCCAAGATCCTAATTTGCACAGAAAAAGAATGTTGTGTGTTCTCCAACCTTACTCCAAGAGGTTGTATTTTGGTATAGATTTTTTATTTTTTTCTCCTCTCATTTATTGATCAAGATGGATCTACTTTTCCCCCTGACCTTTCTAACTATCTGGTACAGCTCCAGTGGGCCTAGAGAGGATTCAAGGGAAGCCTGTTTCTTTGGAGCCTCCGCTTCAAAGTCAGGTGGGAGGCGTTGTATCTGATTACAGTGTTATAAAACAAGGCCAGAATCCATTCTAGCCCTTCACCCTTTTACAGAGAGAAAATATCCCATTGCTATTGACCACTTCAAACCCTCAATGATAGGAGCCTCAACTTAAGCTTGCCCTTATAGAAAATGATACAGTTTATACATTTGGGAACATTTTATTTTACTTTTGAAATAAAAGTGAAACTAAAAACTACTGGCGGGGCAGTATGGTTCATGCCTGTAATCCCAGCACTTTGGGAGGCCCAGGTGGGTGGATCATCTGAGGTCAGGAGATTGAGACCATCCTGGCTAACACAGTGAAACCCCGTCTCTTCTAAAAATACAAAAAATTAGCCGGGCATGGTGGGGGGCGCCTGTAGTCCCAGCTACTCGGGAGGCTGAGGCAGGGGAATGGCGTGAACATGGGAGGCGGAGCTTGCAGTGAGCCGAGATCGTGCCACTGAGCTCCACCCTGGGCGACAGAGTGAGATCTGTCTCAAAAAAAGCTACTTAAATAATTTGTTCTGTGATCACACTAATACCTTTCTTAAAATCACACTATGAATTTTTTTTTTTTTTTTTTTTTTTTTTTTGAGATGGAGTCTCACTCTGTTGCCCAGGCTGGAGTGCAGTGGCGCCATTTCAGCTCACTGCAAGCTCCGCCTCCCGGGTTCACGCCATTCTCCTGCCTCAGCCTCCCGAGTAGCTGGGACTACAGGCATCCGCCACCACGTCCGGCTAATTTTTTCTGCATTTTTAGTAGAGACGGGGTTTCACCATGTTAGCCAGGATGGTCTCAATCTCCTGACCTCGTGATCCACCCGCCTTGGCCTCCCAAAGTGCTGGGATTACAGGCGTGAGCCACCGCGCCCGGCCACACTGTGATTTCTTATACTTTATGGATGCTACTGATCCCATAGTGAAATCAGCTTGGTAATAACTTAGAAATTTCATGTCCTTCTTTCTAGATGAATTCTTTCCTGTGTTTTTTTTTATTTGCTGTATTAATTGGTCGAAAGGAGCTTTTTGCTGCATTTGGTTTTTATGATAGCCAACCCACTCTTATTGGACTATTGATCATCTTCCAGTTTATTTTTTCACCTTACAATGAGGTAATGTATGATCTTTAAAATTATCACACATATGCTCTTGCCTGCTTCAAATCTAGAGCTTTCAGGATAGTGAAAAAGGAAATAGAACAGTACAGTTTTAACAAATAGATGAAACAAAGTCTTTTAGTCCCCTGATTCACTGGTCAGTATGACAAAGTAGCAGAAAAATTCAAGCCCAAATAAATAAACGTTTGCATACTCTTAGGAAAGTATAAGTAGAAAACTAGACTTCAGTGGTGAACACCTAAAAGGACTCGGTAGATGGAGATTAACTATTGGAATGTTGTGTCCTAGGCCACATATTCACCAGTGCTTGGGTAAAAATCTTATGTGTATGAGGGGACAAAGCAAACACTAATTGGTACAGCTCAGTAAGGGAGGCTTAGTGACTGTTCCTCTGCTCCATGACCACCTGCCTCCATATAGCCTGAGGGATCCACCCAAACCCACAAAATCAAAATCGGGTATTTTGTGGTAAATGAAACTTAAGAACATTGCTCTGTGTTAGCTCATTAGGGGTATTCCGTGTGAGTGATAATACATAGGTTAATGTGAGACTATATAACAAACCTGACAATGGCATCATTTCATGATGTTTGGTAAGGCTTCCAAATTAAGCTAAGAAATAATATTGAAGATCTTGAGGTATCTCCATTCAGAAGAATTCTTTCTTGGGATAGATTGTAGAGTTAAGATGAGCTAAATGAATTATATTTTTCTATTATGTATGGTGGGGACACCAGGAAAGAAAAATGGAGGGGCATAGATCATATTCATATAGCATTGTCCACATAAACAAAAATAAATTTGGCAGAGAACTGAGATGTATTATCTTAAAACTCTTTTTTTTTTTTTTTTTTTAAGATGGAGTCTCGCTCTGTCTCCCAGGCTGGAGTGCAGGGGTGTCATCTTGGCTCACTGCAACCTCCGCCTCCCGGGTTCAAGCAATTCTCCTGCCTCAGCCTCCTGAATAGCTGGGACTACAGGCACCCATCACCACGCCCAGCTAATTTTTGTATTTTTACTAGAGACAGGGTTTCACCATGTTGGCCAGGTTGGTCTCGAACTCCTGACCTCAGGTGATCCACCTGCCTCAGCTTCCCAAAAGTGCTGGGATTACAGGTGTGAGGCACCACACCCGGCCTGAGCATGACTTTTGAGTCTCATGTCAGCACTCAAAAGTTTCAGATTTTGGAACATTTCAGATTTCAAGTTTTTGGTTAGGGATGTTTAACTTTTATATGTGTTTCTGGCCTGTTTGCTTGGGGGAGAATAAGGCTCAATTTATAATTTCCTCACCCTAGGTCCCCTAAATATTAGTGATCTTTCTTTTGTCCTGCCATTCCTCTTATCCCAAGCCAAACTTCTCTACAGTCTCAGCTCATGGAACCTTTAGTAACAACAAAGAGGTGGGCAGTGGCTAAAACCCTTTCATTTTCTTTTTCAGGTTCTTTCTTTTTGCCTAACAGTCCTAAGCCGCAGATTTGAGTTTCAAGCTGATGCATTTGCCAAGAAACTTGGGAAGGCTAAAGACTTATATTCTGCTTTAATCAAACTTAACAAAGATAACTTGGGATTCCCTGTTTCTGACTGGTTGTTCTCAATGTGGCATTATTCTCATCCTCCACTGCTAGAGAGACTTCAAGCTTTGAAAACTATGAAGCAACACTGAGATGTCCAGGATCTGTGACTGAAGACATTTCTGATTATTTCTGTCCTGGCAGCATGTTCCAGCTCTTGATGTTTTTAAACTTTTTTTTAGAAGAAAAATTAAGTACAGAAAAGCCCAGATTTAAATACATTTAATATGTCATTTTAAAAATGATTTTAATAATTCATTTCTTAAAACACTGAATGAATTTTGAAGCTTAATGTTTTTAAAGGCATAGTTTTATCTTTGACATCTAATTTACCATCAAGTTGTAAAATTATTTGGAAAAATACAGAACTCGTTTTATTTGTATACTTATATGGAATCTGCATGTGAGGTGTTTGAGGGCATATGTTTGAAAGAGGGAGCATCACCACAGGAATCCTTTCTGTGAGGTGGAAACAGTGGTCCTGAATCATTGTGCTCACACCTAACTTGAAATCTGGTCTTACTTTCATGCTGTTATGATTTCACCTGGTGAATCAGTGTTTTAAATAAGAAAGGTAATAGTTGGTAAGGCCAATGTTATTTAAATGAAAGTAGTTAGAAAAATGCTCTCCTATTCTACCAAATTTTTAATTTCTTTCTTCCCTTTCTTGCTACACAGTGATCAAGAGTTTCTCATAGTGCTTTGAAGTTAGAAATTATGTATAGGATATTTTAAATCA
Organism: Homo sapiens; assembly: GCF_000001405.40. Lineage (NCBI taxonomy): Eukaryota > Metazoa > Chordata > Mammalia > Primates > Hominidae > Homo > Homo sapiens. The sequence continues at coordinate 40,293,317 of NC_000001.11, forward strand.
TTGAGTTTTGTGGGGTTTTTTTGTTTGTTTGTTTCTTTTGTTTTTTGGAAAATCCGTGTCTTTATCTTTTTTTCCCACGTGGTAGATATGATCCCATTGGAGGTAAATTGTAGCTTCTTCTCATTCATGCAGTAAATAATACATCCTTTCACTCAGCAGAGATGGCCATATTAAACACGTTTTGCTATGTTAAAAGTGGCAGAACAGGAAAGACGAATTAAAAATAACATTTTTTAAGCGACATAAGGATGAAATACTGATGAATCTCTGTGACATTACAGGGAAAAAAATATAGTTTTCTATCTCTTTCAAGGGCAGAAGAGTTTTCATTTTTATTTTTGTAATTTTATCTGTAAGTCATAAATATTACTTAATCAGGCCTGATTCTACTTTTGAAAATTACAGTTCTTGAAATGCAGATAATGTTTACTTTGAAAACAAATGTCATGAATGATTTCCAGTTTTTAAAGCTATATGTTTCACTGCTTCATATCTCTGTCCACTTTCTGAATGAGAACTTATTTTGTGCCTAGAGCTCTCACTCACTGATAATGCTTATTACCTTCTGGGCATTTATTCCAAAGTGGGATCAACTGTACGCCTTTGGTATCTGACCATAAAGTCTTTTGCTCCGCTGACATTTGGGTGATGTCTTCACATGGAAATATAATAAAAATAAAAATCTAGTTTAATACTGCATTATTTATTTTCCTAAGGCTAAAGAGGAGCAGTCCTATGCTTTTATTCAGCATCCTTTATCTGTGACTTCATGCTCTGATAACTGCCTTTCCTTCCTTCTGTGCCTTTGAATACAAATTTCAGTTCTGCAAAAGTGAAACATTAAACATTGCCAACGCAAATGTATGTACTTTGTCTTTAGTTTGATATTTGTGTATCATTTTTTTAATTTGTGTATCATTTGTTACCTGAACATATGTTTATTACCTGAGAGGAACTGGGTGCTAGCAATGAAGAGTGGAATGAAGAAATAGCCCTAATGATGAGTGGTGTCAGTGCCACCACTGTGCTTTACACAGAGTCTCTTCAGTGTCTTGCTCCTGCTTTGCTCCAGAGTATCACCAGTTCTTGCAGATATTTCCTTGGAAGCTTCATTTGGAATCATTCCTTCTCTATTTTTATAACCTCAAATTGTTGGGCCTGCCTGGTCTGCTCCAGCTGCCTCTTTGGTTTTCCTTACATATGGTGGCAGTAATTAGCTTTTAAATATGTGACTGACTTAGTCACCCACACTTTATGGATGGCAGAGGCATAGGGATGGCCAAAAGGATACTGGTAGGTTCCTAAGAAATTGACCAATCAAGGGAAGAGTAGATAGGCCCACCAACGAAGGAATAGATGGCACTCTGCACCCTAAGAAAGACCTGGTGGATGTGCAGCAGGGGCAAAATTGAGTAGGTCAAAGCCTTGGGTAAAATGGCACAACTCCAGCAGAGTTAAGCTCTGAATCTAAGGTTGAATCTCTGTTGTGTGTATATACTGGCTTTATCTGAGTTGGCCCTTTGCTGAGGTCTGAGAACTGCTTGTAAATTCTGCCTCTGTTTAGGATAGGAGAATTCCCAGGATCAGTTCAGTGGTTTTAGTACCAAATGATGGTCCCCGCTTGCCCTTATATTTTATATGCTCACTGTTACCCCTGATCCTACATGTGATATTCCCCTCCCTGTGGAAACCTTCTACTTGCTTTTTTTGTTTTTGTTTTTTTTGAGAAGAAGTTTCTCTCTTGTTGTCCAGGCTGGAGTGCAATGCCCCGATCTCAGCTCACCGCAACCTCCGCCTCCTGGGTTCAAGCGATTCTCCTGCCTCAGCCTCCCAAGTAGCTAGGATTACAGGCTTGCGCCACCACGCCTGGCTAATTTTTTGTATTTTTAGTAGAGATGGGGTTTCACCATGTTGCCCAGGCTGGACTGCAATGGTGCGATCTCGGCTCACTGCAACCTCCACCACCCAGGTTCAAGAGATTCTCCTGCTTCAGCCTCTTGAGTAGCTGGGATTACAGGCATGTGAGCCACCACATCCGGCTAATTTTTGTATTTTTTTCTTTTCTTTCTTTTTTTTTAAGACTCTCTGTCTCTCTGTCACCCAGGATTGAGTGTAGTGGCATGATCTTGGCTCACTGCCACCTCTGCCTCCCAGGTTCAAGTGATTCTCCTGCTTCAGCCTCCCGAGTAACTGAGATTACAGGCATGGGCCAATACACCTGGCTAATTTTTGTATTTTTAATAGAGACGGGGTTTCTCCATGTTGGCCAGGCTGGTCTCAAACTCCTGACCTCAGGGGATCCGCCCACCTTGCCCTCCCAAAGTGCTGGGATTATGGGGTGAGCCACCGTGCCCAGCAAATTTTTGTATTTTTTAGTAGAGATGGGGTTACTCCATGTTAGCCAGGCTGGCCTCAAGCTCCTGACCTTGTGATCTGCCTGCCCTGGCCTCCCAAAATGCTGAGATTACAGGTGTGAGTCACCACTCCTGGCCATGTTCTTATATACTTTCTATATCTTTGATGGTTTTGAGTATTCTGCCATCATTAGCAGAAAGCTAACTACCACTTAAGGGCCTTACGTTCTATCCTAAGGGCAAAACAAAGAAAATTACAGATAATTTGTAATCCAAAACTTTTATCCAGAAACATTTTAAGACCACAGTGATGTGAGCAAGTAACTTGAACGATGTGTGCCAGGCTGAGTTCAGTTTTGTGGGAAGGCAAATATAATCCATTGTGGAATGGGATAGTCCCATTTAGACAATATGGATAAGGAAATCTTGGGCTCTTCTCTGTTATCCAGGATGATTTCCAGGGAGGAGGATTTCCTAAACAGTTTGACCAGAAACAGCTAGGAAGATACCTCTGTGTGTTCTAAAAACCTGTGAAGCCGGGACCGCCAATACTCAGGAAGCAGATTTGCCTTACTCTGCCCTTGGCTGAGTCCGAGCTCCCCTCTGGCTCTCTGGATGATGGTCAATAACAGGTAAAGTATTAGGATTAAGCCTGGGGCTCTATAATCCAACATGCCACTTACTAGTAAGACTTTGGGTAAGAAACTTGACCGAGACTGTATTTCTCCATCTGTCCCCACTCTACCAAGCGCTGCTCTAGGTGATGGGGAATACATGGTAAACAAAAGGTACAAAAATCCGCCACGTCTTGGAGTTTACATTCTAGTATCAGGGAGAAAGACAACTAAAATGTATTTATATGGTGATACATGTTTTGGAAAAAAAGGCGGGGGCTGAGGTGTTTGGGTGGGGGTAGGAGCTGCAATTTTATTTTATTATCTTTTATTTTTTTGAGATAGAGTTGCACTCTGTCGCCCAGGCTGGAGTGCAGTGGCACGATCTTGGCTTACTGCAACCTCTGCCTCCCGGGTTCAAGCGATTCTCCTGCCTCAGCCTCCCAAGTAGCTGGGATTACAGGCATCCACCACCACACCTGGCTAGTTTTTGTGTTTTTAGTAGAGATGGGGTTTCATCATGTTGGCCAGACTGGTCTCGAACTCCTGACCTCAAGTGATCCACCCGCCTTGGCCTCCCAAAGTTCTGGGATTACAGGCATGAGCCGTGCCTGGCCAGCAATTTTAAATAGGGTGGTCACAAAAAGGCATCACTGAAGGTCACATTTGAACCAAGACCTGAAGGAAATGAAGAGTGAGGTGTTCTAGGGAGGTGTCTGAGGGAAGAGCATCCCAGACGCTAGATTTTGCAGGGCCTTGTAGGCCACTGTAAGAATTCAGGCTTTTCCTTGAGTGTGGTAGGAAGCCATTGTAGAGTTTTAGGCTAAGGAGTGACATGATCTGAAGTTTTAATAGGACCACTCTGGCTTCTATGTTGAGGAGCAAAGGTTGAAGCAGGGGACTAGTTGGGAGAGGCTTGCAATCCTTCTTGCAAGAAATAATGGTGCTAGACTGGAGTGGTAGTCAGGAGGTGGTAAGTGGCTGGATTCTGGATATATTTTTAAGACTGAGCCAACAGGATGTGCTGATGGATCAGATGTGGGGTCTAAGAGATAAAGTGGGAGTGGAGGATGACTCCAGTGTATTTGGCTTAAATAACTGAAAGGATGGAGTTGCCCTTGGGTGAGATGGGAAAGATCGCAGGAGGGGGGATTCTGGAGGGGAAGATCAGGAATTGTTTCGGACATGTTAAATTTGAGATGCCCATCAGACATCGAAGGGGAGATGTTGAGTAGGCAGTTGGATCGACGGATCAAGTTAAGCAGCGAGATCTGGACTGGGGATATATAGATAAAGTTTAAAGCCATGAAACTGAATGAGATATGAGAGGAGCCAGAGAAAAAGATGTGGTCCAAGGAACAAGTGACTTTCAGATACTGGAGACATGAGAAATCAGCGCAGGAATCTGAGAACAGTGTGGTGAGCTAAAAGCCAAAGTGAGACCAACCCTCCCCATAAAAGGGAGCAAAAATTTGGGATAGTATCTACAGGTGGGATTGAGACAGAGATTTTATTTTTTAACATGGCAGATGGGGTAATACCTACTTTACAGGGCTGTGGTAGGGATAGTATGAGATAATGTTTGCAGACACTTAGCACAGTATCTAATAATATAAGAGCTCAACAATTGATACTTGTTGGTGATATTAATAATTCACCCTAATTGCTATGATGTAAATAAGCACAAAATTAAAATGTTTCTGGGCCGGGTGCAGTGGCTTAAGCCTGTAATCCCAGCACTTTGGGAGGCTGAGGCGGGTGGATCATGAGGTCAGGAGATCGAGACCATCCTGGCTAACACAGTGAAACCCCATCTCTACTAAAAATACAAAAAAATTAGCCGGGCATGGTGGCGGGTGCCTGTAGTCCCAGCTACTCGGGAGGCTGAGGCAGGAGAATCACTTGAACCTGGGAGGTGGAGCTTGCAGCGAGCTGAGATCACGCCACTGCACTCCAACCTGGGTGACAGAGTGAGACTCTGTCTCAAAAAAAAAAAAAAAAAAAAAAAATGTTTCTGACCCAGCTGGCCTTCAGGGTGAGGAGAGGATTGCCAGAGAGATGAAGTTTGAAAGAAGAGTCAGCAGCAGCAGGTGTGGGACTCTCCCCACAGGCTGCATTCTAGAGGTGCAGTGTGGTGTTGAACCTTTGCAAAGGGGCTGGGCTGTCTTGGTGCAATGCCCTTTCTGTTAAGCTTCTAAATCCCCCTTTTCCTAATTGTAAACAGGGGAATTGAGTTCCTACTTTTTTTTTTTTTTTTTTTTTTTGCATCAGACTGTTGCCTCCCAAGATTCAGCTGTCAAAGGGCAGGTCCCTGTTCTCAGTAGGTGAGGGAATAAAACTCGGACACTGGGCCATCTCAGAACACATCTCAGCCACACACAAGTGGAGACCAGATCCCTTCCTTCCTGGTTTGATGATTGGTGGGATCTTCCTCTGAGCATCCTGAACATATTCATTTAATAAATATTTATTGAGCACCTGCTGTGTGCCAGGCACTGTTTGATGTGCTGCAGAATAGAACAGCAAATAAGAGCAAAAGTTTCCACCCTCGTGGAGCTTATATTCTAGTGCTTTATGTTGAATAGTGCTAAGTGTGGAAGACAAATAATAAAGCAGAATGGTATTCTGGAATATCAGGGTAAGGATGAGGTCAGTTTTTGAATAAAGACCTGAAGCAAGGTCACTGGCAGTGATATTTTGGGGAAGAACATTCCAAACAGGGCATGGCTTGTGTGTTGTACACGTGTTAGAGGGACAGCATAGGCTGGTATGGCTGCAGTGGAATGTACCAGAGTCTAAGCACAGAGTTGAGTTTAGAAAGGCATATAGGAGATTCGTAGATCACAGCAAATGGTCTGAGTGAAATTTACCCACCAGGGAGTCTTACGTAGGCTACCAACCACTGGTCCTTAGGGATTAGCCCCCTTTCAGCCCCTTCAAATTGCTGTCAGAAGGAATGAGGTGTAACTGCATGAGATTTGTGAATCATCAGCCTCTCTGTGGTGCTGAAACCCTCCAGTGGACCATCTCTGGGAATGCTGCAGAGAGGGATAAGGAAAGGGCCCCAGGTAAGGTGCATCAAGAGACTTCAAGGAGTAGAGTGGCTCTCTAAACCTAAGGTTCCAGGCACTAGGAGCAAGTGAGGGATCCAGCCTAGGGAAGGGAGAACCCTCCTCCCCACCAGGTATGTAATACCTGAGAGCCTGCCCAAGGCTTGGCTTCAGCTGCCTCCTGCAGCTCACATCCTCTCCCTTCCTCCTCTGTGCCCTGCACTCCAGGGGGCCCTTGGCGGCTACAGTGGCAGCATGGCCTTCTCTGGGGACTGAGATGCTGTAACTTGGGAATTGCCCAAGCACTGAGGGTGAAGCCACATCAGTGGCCCTCAGTCTAACCCCACTGTGTCCCTCCTGTGTCCCTGGATTGGGGTAGGGGGGGCTGAGATGTCACTAGTGATAAATGTGTGTTGAGGGGAGGAGGGAGGAGGGAGGATGGGCTAGTGGAGGGCAGTGGGGAGGAGGAGGAGGGCAAGGATGCGTCAGCATAGAGGGGACTTGGAGCCAAGTTTGTGGTAAGGTGGGAGGGTCTAGGCTTCCGCACATGCTTGGACTTCAGGCTGGAGTCCCCGAGCCTCAGCCCCTTCCCCCCCTTCCCCTCCTCTTCCTCCTTGAAGGCCTACAGAGCTATGGGCTGGGAACCCCCAGGTGGTACAGATCAGATCTGAGCTAGTCTCTCCCGGACTTTTTTCATCCAAGTCCATATCTGTTTTTCTCATGAACCTGGAAACCCCTGGAAGGCAAGAACAAGGTCTTCCAATCTTTCACTACCAGCTCCTACCCCAGGGCCAGCACACCGTGGGTGCTGAAACTCACAGAGGACCTTCCAAGTGGCAGACCCCGGCGAGACACTGGGTGTGCTATACTGGCATGAACAAGATACAGGTGAGTCCTTGCCACAGTTGTACAAAGGCTCAAAAGGGATTCACCCAAAGTTACACAGCAGGTCAGCATCCTGCTTCCATTCCTAGGTTCCTCCCACAGATGTTCCTCAAAACTGCCATGCTATCCTAATGCTCAGAATTCAGGTGCCCAGAGAAAACGCCCCATCCTTCCCTCCCCCTCCAGAGCCTCTGTCCTTCCTGCCTGGGCAATGGAGGCCCAGCAACAACTGCCCCATCCACAAGAAGAGAAGCCCAACAACTCCTCTATCCTAGTTAACTCCAGGATAGAGTAACTCCAATATCCTGGTTTGTACCCAACTTGGGAGCTTTTATTTACAGAAAGGCCTGGGTGGATCGGGGAGAAAGGGGTGGGGAGTTATGCGAGAAAGAGAAGGGAGATGATGTTTAAATACTGAGCTGGGAGGCAGGGAAGGAAGTAGTGGGGCTGGCTTAAGGGTATAGCCGCCTCAGGGGAGTCACCCAGCAGCAGTCACCTGGTAGGTCCAGAGAGTGAGATGGGATCAGGAACTGGCATAGACCTCAGTCATTGGTCCTCAAGCTGAGGGGTGGAACTGTAGCTGGGCAGGGCCCGGGCCTCCCGAGGTGCCCATGTCCCACTGACCCAAGGACAAGATGGCCAGTGGAGAAAGGTGCAGATTAAGATGTTTGTTTTGGTAACAGCCGAATGATGCTCGCTGGAAGGAAAGCCGCCCTATTCCTTCAGCGCTTCGACTCCATCGACACCACTTGCCCTGTGTGTTGGCCTCACTTTTTCACCCATCAGTGCTCTACCTCCCCTTCCCCCATGTTTTAGAATTCCTTTTCCTTAGGACTCCTGAGTCCCAGACAGAAGGTCCTGGGGGAGATGGTTTCCTGGACTGGGGATGGGTGCATGTCCACCCAGAGGGGACCTGGTCCTTCCCGCCAGGATGCCTGCCAGGCTCTGTCTGGGCCTGATGCTCAAGGCCCCTTGATGGATCCAGGCTCTGTAAGGCGGGCAGAGGCATAGGCCGAAGCTCCAAGGCAGGCGGCAGGTTCACAGAAGCCCGGCAGCCCCACGGGGCCTGGCAGGCCAGGTCGACCTGCCTCTCCTGGAGCCCCTGGGGACCCTCGATCTCCATCCTTGCCGTTGATTGCCTGGCCAGGCCGGCCAGGGAGTCCTGTGAACAGGAGAAAGTCAAGACATTAGGGGCACCTCTTGTCTCAGGCCCAGAATTTTGAAGGTGGGGAAACTTTTCAGATGGAGAAAATGAGGCCAAAACACCATAGGAGAAAGGACTCTGCCCCAGAGGCAGAGATTCTGTGATTGTCCCCTACCCCCAGCTCCCAATCAGTGAGCTTTGGGAGCAAACATCCCTTCCATCACCTCTGTGAAGTGATGGTGGTGGATCCTGGGAAGTCCTGAGAGGCCCAGCTTCCAGAGCTGGAACCACCCAGAGACTCCGGGGTGCTCCAAAGGGGTGCAGAAGCTGGGTATCAAGGACTGAGCTGGCTGAGCGTGAGGCCGCCATGGAGGAGACCGCAGTGTCCACACGTCATTAATTCCCAAGCTGAGGAACACACTGCAGCTGGGCAGGGCCAATGGCTTACCTGGGATCCCTGGGGGCCCAGGCATCCCGGGGTGCCCCCGTCCCACTTCTCCTGGATCACCCTTCTCTCCACGTTTTCCTGTAGACAAAAAAGGAAATCTTCATTTTTCAGAATTGGAAAATGCTTTTCCTCTATTTTTTGCTATGTTTCACGCAAAGAAATTATTCCTGTTTTGTGCTAGTTTGTAATAGAGGAAAGTTGGAAATGGTCACGCAGGGCTTGTTAAATAAAGGAAGGTGCAGACAAAGGATGGAAGATTATGTAACCAATAAAGTTTATTACAGGAAAGCAAGCATAACAATATCTAGCATTTACTGTGTCTCAGTGAACTAAGACAAACTCTATGTAAACTACTCTAAGGATAGTCCTCACTGCCACATGATGAGGTTGGTACTTTCAGTGTCCCCATTTTACAGATAGTAAACCTAAGGCCCAGGGAAATTAGCAGGTAACTCGTCTGAGAGCCACGATGAGAAAGGGGAGTCTGGATTCACACCCGTGTGTGGCTCCAGCCTGCCTGCTTTACTGCTCTGCTGGTCTGCCGCCCCATCTCTATTGACATGGAAAGATGCTTATGGGGTACCACTAAGCACATTCAAAAACAAACCCCAGAAACCCCGAGTGATAACATAGTACATTCATTGCCATCCGTTTGCTACTAGGAAAGAGCCCAGGAGTGTCTCCTGGACCATGTGGCTGAGGAACCGGGGAAGGGTCTGTATGTCATCCTGAGAAGGGAATGGGGAAAGGGCCGGCCTGGACAAATCCTCACTGCCTGGCCCCCATGCCCACCGCAGAGGAGCACTCACCCTTGGGCCCCGTGTTGCCGATCTGACCCACGGCTCCCACGATGCCAGGAACGCCCCGAGGGCCAGGGTGCCCATGGGGGCCCTGCTTGCCTGGGTACCCAGGGGGCCCAGGAGGTCCTGGAGGACCCATCATGCCCACCGCACCCAGGGCTTCCCGCTTGGCACTCACGGCGACCTCTGCCAGTTGCTCTGGAGGGAGGGAGGGAGGGAGGGAGAGGGAAGTCTATGAGATGGGTGTCAGCAGTAACACTAGGGGAGGCAGAGCATTCCGATGGGCCCTGGCCCCTAGGTTTGCAGACAGAAAAGCACCACCTTCCGTGGGCTCTGTTTTGCGGAAGTCAAAGGCCCAGAGTGACTTATTCAAGGTCCCAAAACCCTTCAGAGACTGGACTGGAAGGAGCCCCCAGGACTCCAGATTTTCAGACAAGTGAACACGTGGAGGCTCCGGGAGGGGGTGAGGGGGCGGCGATGCCCTCGAACTGACTGTGAGGAGGGGTTGCTGCCCCTCACCTTGCAGCATCTTCAGCGCCACATCCACGATGTGCTGGTCAGTGGCATCCCGGCCCTGAAAGCAGAGGCCTTTCAGGAAGAAGCCCCTGGCTACAAGGGCCCACCGCTCCTATCCCACCTGGCTGAGCGTGAGGCCGCCATGGAGGAGACTCTGGTGTTGAGTCATTAATTCCCAAGCTGAGGAACAGATTGTACCTGGGCAGGGCCAAGGGCTTACTTGGGAAGGTCGCGGGGTAATCCCTCAGGCTGCACTCACAGCCTTCCTGTCTGCTCTGGGGCTTGGAACCAGTCTCGGGGAAGTCGGTGAGTCTCTGGGAATCCCTAGCCTTTGGCGGGTAAGCCGCACCCCAGAACAGATCTACCTAGAAGAAGCACCTCCTACCCCGGGGCCCGACTCACCTCCACGCCCTGTCTCCCGGGCTGTCCTGGCACGCCTCGGTTCCCGGCCAGTCCTCGAGGGCCGGGGGGACCAGGGTAGCCCTGAACCCCTGGGGCGCCCGCATCCCCGCTGGGGCCAGGGTAGCCGGGTTCTCCACGTACTCCTTGCTGCGGGGGGATGGGGGTGGGAGCAGAGCCGGGTGAGAAGGCGCCCGGGTGGGCGAGAGTGGGGGGTGGGGGTCGAGGAAGGGAGTGGCCGCCCAGGAAAGTCGGAGAACGCCGGGAGGGGAGGACTCACCTGTCCCTTGGGCCCCGGCTCGCCGGACTCGCCCTGCAGGCACAAGGAGCAGCGGTCACGAAGCCGCGGGGACCCCGGGGCCAGCCGCCGCTCCCCGCCCTTCCCTAGGCCGCGCGCTCACCTTCTCGCCTTTCTCTCCGGGGAGGCCGGCCACCCCTGGGTCACCCTGCAGAGAGAACCACGGGTCAGACGCGCGGTGGCGGCGGGGACGCAGAGCAGGGTTGGGGGTCGCTGGGAACAGGGGTGCTGGAACTCACCACTTTGCCGCGGGGCCCGGTCTTCCCTGGGGAGCCCTGGAGAAAGCGGGCAGTGAGGGGTTTGGCGAGCTCCCCCCTCCACGGGGTCCCCCACCTAACTTTCGGCCACACCCCTCTTTCCAACTCCGCCTCGCCGACCAGACCAGAACCCTGAGATCCGCAGGTTTGGAGGCTCCGGAAGGATCTGAGTCCTGCCGACCCCACTCCCCCTGTTATAGGGCCCCTTTCCCAGGTGTTTCCCAGCCCCATCTGGCACCTTGTCTCCTTTGACGCCTGGCAAGCCTTGGGGCCCTGGAATTCCGGGGGGGCCCTGCTCCCCCTTAGGGCCCTGAGGAGAAAAGAAACCAAAGGAATAAATGGAATGAGGGGCCTGGATATGACGCCCTGCCCACCTTAGCTGGCCTGCACTCACCTGCCTTCCCTGAGGGCCTGGTTGCCCCACTGGACCCCTCTCGCCTTGGTCACCCTGAAATGGAAAGAGAAGGTCACAACCTCAGCAGCTCTCAGCAGGGGTAGCCTCCCGCACCGAGGCCTGGCACCGCATGGTCAGGGTGCCCTCCATTCCTGCTGTCACTGGCAGGGGGTCCTTTCTCCACTTGGCAGACCAGCAAAGCAAACCTAGGCCCTGCCTGGGGAGGCATCTCACGGGCTGCACGGAGCAGATGCTGTATCCAGCAGTGCCAGCTGCCGCAGAGGCCCCCGGGGAGGGGCCATTGTGCCAGGCACTTACCTTCTGTCCCATGATGCCCTGGGGACCAATTTCTCCTCGAGGCCCTGGCTCTCCCTGGAGGAAGGAGAAATTGGGGCTAAGCGTTTGACCTGGTGGAACCCACCCTTCCACACCTGGCCAGCCCCTCCCTACCCTGGGTCTCAGCTAATTTGCTTCATCAGGGAAGGTTTCCCAGACCACCTGTTCCATGGTTTTGGGTCCCTGTAGTTTTCTTTCAAAGGACCCAACACAATTTGAATTACTTATCATGTGATCATTTCTTTCTTTCTTTTTTTTTTTTTTTTTTTTTTTTGAGAGGGAGTCTTGCTCTGTCACCCAGGCTGGAATGCAGTGGCGCGATCTCCGCTCACTGCAAGCTCCGCCTCCCGGGTTCATGCCATTCTCCTGCCTCAGCCTCCAGAGTAGCTGGGACTACAGGTGCCTGCCACCGCCCCAGGCTAATTTTTTGTATTTTTAGTAGAGACGGGGTTTCACCGCGGTCTGGATCTCCTGACCTCGTGATCCACCCGCCTCAGCCTCCCAAAATGCTGGGATTACAGGCGTGAGCCACCGCGCCCGGCGTGATCATTTATTTCATGTCTATTTCTTCCATTAAACTATACCCTCCATATGAAGAGGAGACTCATAGTTGCAAGTGTTTAGTGAATGTTTATGCAATGAATAAATGAACGAACAACTCTGCCTGTTGGATTCCCAGCCCATCAACTTGGCCATCTAGGAAAGTCACACTCCAGAACAGAGCCAGTCCCCACCCTCCCTGCAATGTACATAGGGAAACAGGCCCAGGGAGGAGAAAGAGCTTCCCTGAATCATTGGGTCAGGGCAGAGCCAGACTAACTCGGAGCTCTCCCTAGGTTAGGGCTCCACCCCATGGCCTCACCCTAAAGCAGGAACCCTTGTGTCAGTGCAGGGGGCATTTACCTCTTTCCCAGGGGGACCAGAGAATCCAGGAAGGCCCTGCGGGCCCGGCTCACCCTGCAGGAAAACAGTTCTCAGGTCAGTCTGGGTGGCCCAGTCAGGCCCTTGGCCTCAGGGAAACCCAACGAAGCCTAAACAGAGCCTGGAACCAGATGAGCTGGGACGGGGGAGAGGGTATTCTTGGTTCAATCCTCTTGGCTCCTGATTTTCCTGTTTGTTTCTCCTCTGGATTTTAAGCCATGCCATCCTATCTGCACTGAGGCAGGCTGAGGAGTGCATGATGGGTGGGAGGTGGCAGGAGGGAGGTGGTTAGGCCCAAGGGGCTTATGTTCTGGCTGAGCCTCTGAGACTTGGCTGAGGCCTGGGCCTTGCTGTCTTCCTGGCCCCAGACTTCCTTGCTCAATTCTGTCCCCAGCTTGGGATCGCCTCACCTGGTCTCCAGGGCCTCCTTTTGTCCCAGGCTGGCCTGGCACACCCTGCAGAAAGAAGTTGAAGTCAGTTTCTGCCCTGGCATGAGGGAGCCCCATGCACCTGCTGCTTTGCTTCCCATCCCCAATCCAGATTTCCCCCACCTGTGGGAGCTGAACAACAGAAGGTCCAGCCACGGCATGATGAACTTAACTGTACATTCCCACAGTGGTGGCAGAGGAGTGGGGCACAGAGAATGGCCTGTCTTCCAGGACCTGGGGTCTACGTGGAAGAGATGGATATGTGCTCTCAGGTGCCTGAGCCCATGTGAGTGCACGCAGGAACACAAGTCTGCATGTGTGCACAGAAACAGGTTTGGCCACTCAGTACCCCCACAGGGAGGGAGGGCAGGCTCCCATGGACTGGACTCCAGGAGGTATGGAATGGAGATGGCCCTGAACGATAAGAAGGCACAAAGAGACCAGAAAGGGCATTTCAAACAGAGGGACCAGCAAAGGCCTAAAGGTGTGGAGGCAGAAAAGCCAAGGCCTGTTGAGAAGGGAAAGGACAGAGAGGGGCCATTGCTGATATGGCAGGAGGGGCAGGTTGGGGTCAGATTATGGTGGTCATTGAATGGTAAGATGAGCCATGAAGACAAAGATTGCATCTGTCCTATTTATAATTGTTTACCTGCCACTTAGTATACCTCAGATACTCAATAACTATTTTTTTTTTTTTTTTTTGAGATGGAGTCTTGCTCTGTTACCCAGGCTGGAGTGCAGTGGTGTAATCTTGGCTCAGTGCAACCTCCGCCTCCTGGGCTCAAGCAATTCTCCTGCCTCAGCCTCCTGAGTAGCTGAGATTACAGGCATGAGCCGCCACGCCCAGCTAATTTTTGTATTTTTAGTAGAGACGGGGTGTCACCACATTGGCCAGGCTGGTTTTGAACTCCTGACCTCAAGTGATCCACTCAGCTGAGCCTCCTGAAGTGCTGGGATTATAGGCATGAGCCACTGCACCCGACCTCAATAACTACTTATTGAAGGACTGGACTGAATGACTTTTTCCTGGAGGCGGTGGGGAGCCATGGAAGGTGCTATAGTGCAGAAATGGTCAGATCCCATTTAGCCAACATGGAGGACTGGAATGGCCAAAGAGAAGGCTAGAGTAATTGTCCAAGTAATGAAGCCTTCGCCAGGCCAGGGGCCACAGAGTTGGTAACAAGGCAAGAGGTGGTGATTGAGCAAGAGCCCCGGGTGTGTGTGGATTCTAACCTCATCAGCCACTAGCCCCTGGCCAGCCCCTGTGGCTCCACCTGACACTTACCGCTAGGCCCTGGTGGCCTGGACTTCCGGGCTGTCCCGCCTGTCCTGCACTGCCCTGGGATAGACAGATAACCAAAGATACAAATTAAAGCTCCAGCCAGAGGGCCATGGCTTCTACCCAGATGCAGGTAGGGAAACTGAGATCCAGAGGCAAGAAAGGGCATGTCCATGACCTGAGGACCCCAGGCTCTTGGTGTCTAGAATCCAGGACTCAAGGTCCTGCCCCTGCCCCAGTCCCATCAGCAGCCCCACTCCTACCTTCATGCCAGGCGTGCCTGGGGTCCCATCCTTGCCGTTGATGCCTGGGGGGCCCTACCCAGGAGGAAAGTTCAAGGGAGAGTGATAATGCGGAGATGTCTGGGGTCTGGCCACCCACCCCTGTTCCTCTGAGACAGCTGCAGTGTGCAGGGAGGGAGTGGCTCTGGTCATCCCAGGAAGCCCCACTGGCCAACTGGGGGAGGGGAGTTGAAGTGGGAAGGGGATGAGGGTCACGGAACACAGTCCTTCCCTAGTGTGGAGGGTGGTGTCCCCGACTGCTGCAAGCTCCCCATGACCTCCCGTATGTCATCACCCCTGTTTACAGGTGAAGAAACTGAGGCACAGAAAGGGAGGCATTTCCTGAGGTTATGGAGCCAGCCCACCAGTTGCAGAGTTCAGACTAGCATCCCAGGCTTCTCTTCTGGGGGTTTGGACAAAGCAGCTGGGCCCTGGCCTCTGTCCTGGTGGGCCTAGGCCTCTGGCACCTACCGTTGCTCCTTTCGGGCCTGTGATCCCCTGGGGTCCACGAATACCTGGGCTGCCCTGCAAAGCGGAGAGAGATCAGGTCACCCTCAGGATGTTGGGCCCCTGTCTGGCTGTGCAGAGAGGGGAACCACTGAGAACAGTGGCCTCTAGGTCCCAGAGTTCCTCTGGCACAGGCCACACCATGCAGGGGCCGGAGGAGAGAGCCTTGGGAGTACCCTTCCTGCCCTGGCACCAGCAGGAGGGAGGAGAAGTCAGTGCCAGGAGGCCAGGCTGGGCTGAGCCAGAGCAGGGGTGGGAGCCAGAATCCACTGAGACCTTGGCCAAGGCCCCACAATCCACTCAGCCAAAGGAACACAACAACCGAATGCAGTGTGTGGATGCTGTGTGAGTCTTGATTTGAACAAGAACCAGGAAAAGACATTTTTGAGATAATTGGGAAAAACTGAACAGAGACTGGCCATTAGATGATGTTAGGGAGTACTTGTTTATTTTGTCAGTTGTGATAATGTGATTATGTGAGAATGAGTGCTTATTGTTTAGAGATATGTACAAAAGTATCTAGGGCTGAGATGATAGGATGTTAAGGATTTACTTGAAAACATCAGAGCAAAGCAATAACAAAATCAAAGGAAGGAGGGGTCTGGGGGATAGAGGACACAAGACTGACAAAATGTTAATAACTGAATTGGAACCTGTGATAGGTACATGGGGATTCTTTATATCACTCTCACTGGTTTTCTGTATAGTTAAAAAATTGCATTAAAAAACTAGATATTGCTGGGCGTGTTGGCTCACACCTGTAATCCCAGCACTTTGGGAGGCCGAGGCAGGTGGATCACCTGAGGTCAGGAGTTCGAGACCAGCCTAACATGGTGAAACCCTGTCTCTACTAAAAATACAAAATTAGCTGAGCATGGTGGCGCATGCCTGTAATCCCAGCCACTTGGGTGGCTGAGGCAAGAGAATCTCTTGAACCAGGGAGGCGGAGGTTGCAGTGAGCCGAGATCGCACCATGCACTCCAGCCTGGGCAACAAGAATAAAACTCCATCTCAAAAACAAAACAAAACAAAACAACTAGATGATCTCTGCTGTCTAATAGAAAAATAAAAGTATAAGAATTTTTTAATTTTTAAAAAGAAAAGAAAATAATTTAAAAAACTAAATAATAATAACAGTTAACTGTGTTTTCTGCTCCATTTTTCTGTAAACTTAAAACCGCTTCCCCCAACAGGTCTATTAATTGGGAAAAAAAAAAAAAAAGAGTTAAGAGAACTGGGATCGAGACCAAATCCCATTAGCCCCATGGCTGATTTGCTGGAATCTCATTGTCTGGCCCCAGTGACCATGGGACTGGATCCCAGGGCTTCGCCTAAAGTCTGAATTTGGGCTGACTGGGCTCTTGGCACAGATGGTCCTCCCCAGCAGGTCACCCACTTGGGCAGACACACACACACTCACTCACACACACATACATACACTCACAGTCACACACACACACTCAGAGATATCCTCACACACTCACATACACATACTACACACACTCACAGACAGCCTCACACATACACACTGTACACATACACTCATATACACACAGTCTACACACACACACACTACACACTCACACACACTACACATTCACACTCACGCACACACTCATGCACTCTCACACACACAGCCTTAGGGGGTGCCTTGTCCTGCCCAGTACTCCCCAGGGGTCCTGACTGAACAATGGGTGCCTGAGGACTCACCTCGTCACCCTTCTCCCCAGCTCGGCCTGGCGGTCCCCTAGGACCTTCCTCACCCTGGCAAGAAAGACAAGCAGGAATCCAGGTCACACAGGCTCAGGGGGAGCCATGCCCACTCTGTGGCTGTAGCTGTAGGAGCTCCAGCCTCAGGGGTAGGGGAGCAAAAAGAGGCTTACCGGTGGCCCAGTGGCACCGATAGCGCCCACCATGCCTTTATATCCATGAGGGCCCTGGGGAGAGGAAAGGGTTGCAGGTCAGTCCTGGCTGAACTCCAGGGGCCAGAAGGCAGCTCCTGGAAGCTCTTGTAGAACACCCCAAGATTCACTTACCGTCTCTCCCTTGGGCCCTGCCATGCCTGGGTAGCCCCTGATGCCCTGGGGACCCTGTTGAGAAAGAAAAATGACAGCAATGGCAATTGCAAGGCCCACTTCATGATACCTTGTCTGATGCCCACCTTCAATCTTACAGTGCCCTTTTGAGGTAGGCAGCAGAGTCTCTGTCTCATGGATGGGACATGGAGGTTCAGAGATGAGGAGGGACTCACTGCATTACTCAAAGGGACAGTGGCAGACCTGGACCTCAGCCTGGGCTTCTTGCTGACAGCTTTGGTTCCTGTCCCTCATTCCTGACAATTTCAGCCTCCATCTCCCCATCCAGAGATGCTCCCAGCTAGACACAGGTGTCTCTTTTACAAGCTAGAGGCCTGAGCAGGGGAATGACTCCATGAAGGGCTCCTGGGGTGAGGGAGAAGAGGGCCACTGAGGCAAGGTGTTCCTTACCGGTGGTCCAGGGATGCCTTGCTCTCCAGAGGCACCCACATCTCCCTTGGGACCCTAAAGGGCAGGGATGAGCTGTCAGACAGGCAGGCAGATGGAAAGACACATATACAGACAAGCAAAGATACCACCTCTTTTCCCCAGCACAAGCAGACGGGAGGGACTACTACGAACCCTACAGTCCTGTGTTACAGATAGAGAAAAGCCAAGCAAGGAGACATGACCAGAGACATGCCGACCTGGAGCACAGGCCTCCAGCCCCCGGCTCAAGGCTCTGTCCCCAGAACCCACAGGGGAAGGGGAAGGGACGAAGAAGGGGACAGAGCCCTGTAGGACCATCTCCACGTATCCCTGACCCACAGCCCTCAGCCCTTGCACTCACCGGCTTCCCCTGGTGGCCAGGATCACCCAGAATCCCGCGTTTGCCCGCATGCCCCTGAAGGGAAGGAGAGAGCTCAATACGAGGTCCCCTCCTGTCACCTGCACCACCCTCCCAAGATTCAGGCCAGGAGCTCTCACCTTCACTCCCTGCAGCCCTGGGGGACCTTTCATTCCGGGTGGACAGTTGGTTGGACACTGGAAACAGAAAATCCCACAGGGTCCTGTGATCAGCTGGGCAGTGCGCCCCCATCTCTCCAAGCCCCGTGCTCTCCTCCGCCTCACCTGGTGGAACCCCTGCACTGCAGCCCCTCCCCATCTCTCCAGACACCCCCATCTCCGTGGCCCCGCCTCCCCATCTCTGTGGCCCCGCCCCCCTGTGTTAGCCCCGCCCCAGACCTCGTCTCTCACCAGGAAATCCGCACTGCCTTCCAGACCCTGGATGGTTCCCGGGCGACCCTGAGAGGAGACATGAAGATGGAGCTTGGCCTGACCCTTTCCCGCCGCAGGCTTGCTCAAAGACCCTTCTCCTTCCCCTGCACTTTGCCATGTCGGGGGTCTGGGGACACTTACAGGTTTCCCAGGGGGTCCTGGGGGCCCCGATGGTCCATCTGGTCCAGGGTCCCCCTGGAAGCAAAAGAAGCCCAAATCATACCCCTGACCAGCCCTTACCAGCTTACCCTAGTGCCCTCCTCCAGGTCCTGCCTCTGCCCTCTCCACCCTGTCTTCCCGGTCACTTTGTGAGATCCACCATCTTGGGAGATGAAGGCCTGATTGACAGGGGATGGGGCCAGCGGCGTCCCTAAAAGACCTAGTGCCGGGTGGGCTCATAGGAGGGGTTTCTGCCCCAGACCTGGAGGAGTTTCCCAGTGGCCAGGAGCAGGCCCAGGAACTTCCAGAAAGACCACCCAGCTTGCCAGCTTGGAGATAGAAGGCAGGAGGCAGTGAACAGAGGGTGGCTGAGGCTCACCTTGGGGCCTCGGATTCCAATCTCACCAGGGAGGCCAACAGGTCCAGGAGGCCCCTGGGGAGCAGAGAGTTGATGGTCAGGATGCCTCAGAGGGTCAGATACCCTGGGCACAAAGGTAGAGACAGGCACCCAAAGCCCGTTTCTCCACTTTTACTTTTTTTTTTTTTTTGCCAACCCCAGAGAGACTGACAGACTGAGGCTTTAAGGACCAGAGAATTGCAGAGCCAGTGGACAGGCCCAGAGTGGGCTGGCCCTGGGTCTCTGGCAGGTCCACTTATTCCTGACACTATCACAGCAAGCTGGCTCCTTCCCATGGTGGCCATTCCCTCGAAGCCTTTCTGTTGTCCCCTCCTTCCCTGGGAGTTCTGGGGATCCTGCCCCATCCCTGAGGACTTACAGGAGGTCCAGCAAAACCAGGGCCCTGGAACAGAAAGAAAGAAAATTGGCTTCATGGCTCCCTCTGCAGGTCCCCTCTCCCCCAAGAGTCCCTCGAAGCCCTTGCAGGTTGTACTCACCGGAAGGCCAGGAGGACCAGGAAGCCCGGGCTGGCCCTGCAGAAGCAACGAGAAAGGCTCAGAGGCTGGGGTTTCCCCGGCTCCTACTTCCTCTCTACAGCCACTCCCAAACGCTGGCCCTAGATTGCCCACGCTGAGGCCCCAGCAGGCCCCTTACCTTGACTCCAGGGATCCCCATGGGGCCAGGCTCCCCCTTGGCTCCAGTTAAACCCTGGGGAAGAATGAAAATGTAGGATCAATGAGGGCCAACCTGCTCCCTGACCCACAGAGCAGGGCAGGTTCAAGGGTCCCTCCTGGGTGGGCCGAGGCTCCTTTTTGCCACACCTCATGAAGGCCTAGGAACCTCCACACCTTTCTTTCCTTTTCCCCAGTTCCCATAGTAACCCTAGGAGGCAGGCAGAACAATTCCCTTCTTTTGAAAGATGAGAAACCAAAGCCCAAAGATTTGGCTTTATGCCAGACCCAGGCTTCATGCCTCCGGGTTCAGGAGTCTAGAAGACCTAGCCATGGGTCAAGATTGGTCATTTGCTTGATGTCCTACCTTGACAACTTTTTCATTTTCTTTTCTTTTCTTTCCTTTCTCTTTTCTTTTTCTTTCTTTTTTTTTTCAATTGAGACACAGTCTCACTCTGTTGCTCAGGCTGGAGTGCAGTGGCACAGTCTCAGCTCACTGCAACCCCCGCTTCCTGGGTTCAAATGATTCTTGTGCCCCAGCCTCCCAAGTAGCTAGGACCAGGGGCATGCGCCACCACGCTTGGGTAATTTTTGTATTTTTAGTAGAGATGGGGTTTCGCCATGTTGGCCAGGCTGGTCTTGAGCTCCTGACCTCAAGTAATCTGCCCACCTCGGCCTCCCAAAGTGCTGGGATTACAGGCATAAGCCACCACGCCAGGCCATTGGCAACTTTTTCTGAGCCTTAGTTTCTCATCTGGGTGCCTCTCTGGGTGGATGTGAGAACTGATGCAACATAGAAGGCAATATGCCTTGTAATCGTTGCAGGGTGTGGATGAGTTTGAAGGGGTCCTGGTGACTGTCCCAGCCCTGGTCACACCTCATGAGCCAGCAGGGCAGAGGCAAGTCATGGGGGTTTCTCCTTTCTCCCATCTTTCAGTGACTGACCCAGTGTAACCCCCATCAGATGTTGTCCTCATGCCCCTGGGGCTGGCTGTGTTCAAGAGCCTGTGACCTTGGGGGCCCCCTGGGAGCTCTGTGGTATCAGCTAAATGATGTTTCTCTCCTGAGTCATGCCTGGGGCTGTGGGTAGGGGTCAGGGGAAGAGCGGAGGAAAGGACAGGGCACACAAGGACAGCCCCACCCAACATATTCAGCCTGATCCTTGGAGGCCAGAAATGTGAGACTAAGTCCTGACTGCTGAGGGGTAGCAGGAGGAACCTGCACCTCCCAGAAAGCAGACCCTCTCTCTGGACCCCGGTTGCCTGCAAATCAATGACCCTGGGTGAGAGTGAGGTTCCAGGAAGGTCACAAGTCATATCAAGGTGAGGGGGGCTCACAGCTGGAGAATCTCCATCCTGCTGCCCATCTCTGAACAGATCAGTGAAGATGCCAGAGCCAGGCCCTGGAGGTCAATTGGCAGAGCCCTACCCTGCCCCACCCGACACTCAGCTACTCACATCAATCCCGGGCTTCCCGTCTGGCCCATCTGGCCCAGCTTTGCCAGGCTCGCCCTTGGGTCCCTTGAAAACAGAGATGGAACAAACATGAGCCAGAGGAGGGCAAGAGCAGGAAGGGTCAAAGGCCAAAGAGGATAAAGCACTCACCGGAGGGCCAGCTTTTCCAGGGGGCCCATTGTCACCCTGCAAGATACAAGTTGGTGAGACAGCACACTACGGCTCACACTACCCCAAGTGGGCACACACAGGCCCTGGCAGGCCGCTCCCAAAGGCTCTCCTCACTCTCCTCTCTTCTGTCCAGGTCCCCTAAGCCTTGCAATCTTTGGGAAAAGAGCCCCCTTTTCCTCAAAAATAAAAACCAAAAACAAATCACAGGAGCATGAGAATAACCCTGGCCGGGCTGGAGAGGGTGACAGCAACATGCAAGAAGGTACAGACATGCTGATGTCATGAGGTGCCAGCTGTGAGACCCACTACCAGGGCTGGGGGCTCCAAGCTGATGCCTCTTGGATTTGGGCACGTGTGGGAGGAAGGTTGGGGCTTTTAGAGAAACGTGAAGGGGGATGAGCGAGTTGGGCAGCAGCTCTATTCCAGACTGCAGGGCAGGAGAACGGGAAGCTGAGCCAGTGGCAAGGACCAAGGGGGACTGCAAGGGGGAAATTCAGTGTTCCCAAGGAGGGAAGGACCTCCTTCCAGTGCCAAAGGACCCTTGGTGGTGGGCAGGCAGGGCCGGTAGAGTGCGATTCAGCCCCAGAGAGGCCTCCAGGCATTTCAGAGCCCTCAGCAGCCAGGGCCTGGCCGGGGGCCCAGCATCCTGTGTTTGGGGGGTGGGGGCACCAGGTTGAATAGAAGTCTGTCCAGACTGGTAAACATCAAGCGGCCCTCCTGCGGGAGCTTTCAGAATGAGGTATTTAACCCTCACCCTGCAGGGAACAAGCCCAGCTGATTCTAAATCGGGGAGAGAAAACCGAAGGGAAGAGACAGGAGTCTGGCCCAAGCTGGTCGGTGGTCTGGCCAAGGCTCCCAAGCGAACCTGAAGAAGCGTCCAGATGTGCCAGAGGCAGGGTGAGGGGTTGAGTCGCCTCCTACCCCACAAGGAGGGGAAAGGAGAGGAGGGGGATGAGGCCTCGCTGTGAGCTGCGGCCGGCGGACTGAACAGCAGCTCCTTGTCTGTCGGCGGCTATAACGGGCTCCGCATGTCAGGGCTGGTTTGAGGTTTTTGCAGAACAAACGGCGTCCTTGTGGTGCGGGCCGGCGCCGCCTATTGGCGACGAGGGGCACTACATCTCCGGGCACCCCGAAGTCCCCACCCCCACCACAGCGCTCACAAAGTTCTCCTTTGTCTGCCGCCTCCCTCCCGCCCTGGTCTCAGGTTAGAGACTTACGTCGATGCCGTCGGATCCAGGCACTCCCGGCGGTCCCGGGGGACCCGGGGGGCCCCGCTCTCCCGGTGGACCTCTCTGAAAAACACACACGGGGTGGGGCAGTCCTCAGACAGTGCAGGAAGCTGGGCGTCCCCGGGGCTGCAAGCGACCCTGGGAGCGGGGTCCTAGGGGCGCAGCTCTTCCGCGAACTCCCACGTATTGAGAATCTTCTGTATAGCAGGCACTGTGTGCCATTACATGCATTCATTATCTTACAGAATACTCAGAACCGGGAGGCGGGCGCTATTACGGGCCCCAGTTTGCAGTCGAAGAAACTGGCTCAGAACGTGAAGGGTCCATGGTCACTGAGAGTGGGCGGCGGCGCCAGGAGTCCGCCCTGGATCTGCCCGACTCCTTCCACTGTGCCAGTTTGCCCTTGCGCGGTCGCGGTGGGGAATAGATGGAGACGTGGACAGCTCAAATAAATCACAGATGGAATGTAAGGTTGTGCCTAGCAGGCTGCCGGCCCTCAGTGAGCGGTGGCTCGGGTTGTTGTTCTTACGTGAACGACAGGCAGAGACAGCGCCTCCTCCTCTCCCCATGGTGCGGGAAAACCCGACGGGAAAGTGGGGGAGGCGCAGAGAAAGGAGGTGTAGGGAGGTGAAGCGGGTACTATCTTCCCACTCGGAGCGCCCCTTCGGCAGCACAGCTGCCCGGTCCTCCCTCTGCTAAGCCCTGACTGCTGCAGGGGAGCAGGAGGAGCCGGCACCTCCCAGAAAGCAGACCCTCTCTCTGGATCCCGTTTGCCTGCAATTCAATGCCCCTGGGTGGGTGTGAGGTTTCAGGGAGGTCACAAGTCATATCAAGATGAGGCGAGCTCACAGCTGGAGAGTCTCCATCCTGCTGCCCATCTCTGAACAGATCAGAGATCTTAAAAGGCGGCCCTTTTAAGAGGCCAGCTCGGACCCAGGCAGGGGTCCCGGTGCCCACGACCTCCCCAGGCCGCGAAGTGCCAGGCTGGCGCCCCGCAGGCGAGCTCGAAACCACACCCAGCACCCGACCGGGCCCAGTCTCTGCCCTACCCGCGCGCCCGCAGCCCCCGGCGGCCCTCGGAAGGGAGACGTGGGTAGGCGGGCAGGGCCGAGAGGCCGCCTCGGGGCGACAGCGGCGTCTGGTTGGAGCCGGCGCCCCCTGGGAGGCGGCGGGGGCGGAGGCTGCGCAGCGGGTGAATGAGCACCATTGTATGCCCCGCCACCTGGGCTCCCCGGGCTGCCAGGACCGGGCGCCAGCTCCTGCCCCACGCTGCCTGTCCCGGGCCGGGCCGCGCGTCTGGGGACGGGTCCCGTTTGACTCTCCGGCTCAGCCACCTCCATTCACGGTGCCGCGATGGGCACCATGTATGCACCCACCGAGGGGACCTGCCCGCGGCGCTGTCCTCAGGTGGCCTCTCGGGCTAGGGGTGTCAGTAGGCGCGGGACACAGGCAGAGCTCCTCCATCCCGGACTCCAGACCCCGCACCCTGGACCCTGGCAGCGGAGGGGCTGCGAAACTTACAATCTGCGCCAGAGCGAGCACTACCACCTGGAGGAGAACAAGGAGGCTGCGGGGGGAGGCCGTAGCGGCGGCCATGGCTGGCGGCGAGACCAAGGGGGACGGGTGCGTGTCCGCGCACGCACCGACGGCAGAGTCTCCCGGCGCTCCTCCAGCGCTGGCTGTTCGCGGGCAGGGTGGGCTGGGGCTCCTGAATATGCGGGGGGCGGGGCGGGGGCCGGCGTGAGCTGTCACCTGAGAGGACCGGCGGGGTTGCCGGGAGGGAGGCCGGCGCCAGGCATCCAGCTCCGCCCCGCTCGGTCCAGCCTCCTGCGCCCACCCTCTGTCCTCGAGGGGCGACCGGGGTGCGGGTCGGAGATGATGGTCCAGTTTCTTTGTGAGAAGGCATAAGGCCGTCTGAGGTTCCCCTCGGGACCTTCAGGCCCCAGCACCTTCCCCCTGACGCACAGCCTGTGCCCCATCACTTACCCTACGTCCTCTCCAGGGCCCAGGCCGAGAGCACCTCGGGCTCTGCAGATCTTGCTGCAGGCTCTCCCCAGCTCCCGCCCACCTTGCTCCCCTCTCCTCTGGCTCCTTCCTCTCCAAGCACAAACAAACAGGCCTTTTCCATATTAATATGCCACAGTCCTTCCTGGATCAGCCGTCTCATGAATACTCCATCGGCCTCTTCCAGCTCTTTAGTGGAGCTGTGTGCACCTCCCCCACCCCCGAACTTCCTCACCTCGCTTTCACCTCCCTACTCTGTCCCAACAAGCAAATCTGTCTCCTGGAGGTCTGCAGTGAAGCCCAACCCTTCTTCGGTCCTCCAGGCAGGAAGCTGTTGGCATCTTCACCTGCCCTTGAAGTCTTCCCCATCCAAGCTCCTGCCATCCAGCTCCCCTTTTTCTATTGCCTTTAATTCTCTGCAGCTGCCTTAAGCACTGGTGTGTTTAGGATTGGGCCTTCTCACTCCATGTTCATAGAAACAACTACCACTTTATTCACCAGAGTTTCCGAACCCCGCTGTCCAGCATAGCCCGACTCCAGAGAGCCTTCCCTTCCCTCCCACTCACTTAGGCAATATTGGTAAAATGCTTTGGAATCTGACTTTTTCACAATTATAGATATGACCACAGGCACCCCAAACTCTATGAAGTCTCATTTTCCTCATCTGTAAAATGGGGATACTAATAGTCCATATATATATATATATATATTTTTTTTTTAAGACAGAGTCTTAAAAGGCTCTGGAGTGCAGTGGCACGATGTCAGCTAACTGCAACCTCGCCTCGCGGGTTCAAATGATTCCCCTGCCTCAGCCTCTCGAGTAGCTGGAATTACAGGCATGAGCCACAATGCCTGGCTAATTTTTATATTTTTAGTAGAGATGGGGTTTCGCCATGTTGGCCAGACTGCTCTTGAACTCCTGACTTCAGGTGATCTGCCTGCCTCAGCCTCCCAAAGTGTTGGGATTACAGGCATGAGCCACCGTGCCCAGCAAATTGTCCTTATCTTAAAGGGTTTTTGTGGAAATTGAATGAGATGACTCATGCGAGGCATTTAACCTCGAACCAGCACATAGTAGGTGCTTGATACATTTTAGCTTTCCTTATGATTTATGGATGACTGTTTTACTAGGTTGGCATCCAATGTGGGGAAGCTGGCCACAGGCAGATCAGCTAAAATGATGAACCTAGTTGAAGCTAGAAAAGTCCAACTCCATTGGGCAGGTTAGCAAAGGGCTCTGGATTTTGAAAGGTTGTCCTGGAGCTGAGTTTGGGAGAAAGAGCTTGAGAGAATGTAATTGCTCTGCCTAACAGAGTGAAGAAGAATTTGAAGTTTGTTGGAAGATGAGAGCAAGAGGAGGAGGATGTAAGAGAGGGATGGTGGGCATTGCTTGGGGTGGGTGGGGTAAACCTATAAAGGATTTTTAGAACTGGGATGTCCAAATTCAATTTTAAGTTGTTTGTTTCACATCACTTATCTCTCCATCTTTTGTGGGCTAACCACAAGAAAGGCCTTGTGTGAGTAAGTTTTCTTTTTGTGTGTGGAAATTATGGAAAGAGGATGAGTTTCACAGTCTGGACAGCACACATTGATGTATTAATTACCTGTTGCACCATAACAAATCACCCTAACATTCAGCAGCTTAAAATGACAATTTCTTTGGATTAGGAATTTGAGAGTGACTCTGCTGGTTCGGTCTGGCCTGGGGTCTGTTATAAGGTCATAGTCAGATGGTGGCTGGGCCTGATGTCACCTAGAAGGCTTCTTCACTCACATGTCTGATGTCAGTACTGGGAAGCCTTCAACCGCTGGGGCCGGAACAGCTGGAGTTGCTTGGACAGTTCTCTCCTTTATCTCTTTGTGGGCTTTCCATGAAGTTTCTCCAACATGGCAGCTTCAAGGTAGCTGAACATCCTCTATAGCAGCTCAGAGGGAGTAGGAGAGCACCAGACTGAAGAGAATTGCCACTCAGGACCCGTCCTTGGAAGTCATGCAGTGGCACCTTCACCACATTCTTACTGTTGAGGCAATTGCAAAGGTCTGCCCATGATCAAGGGGAGGGAACAGAGACCCCACCTCAAGGATGAATGTTAATGTCACATTTTTTAATTTTTTTTTTGAGATGGAGTCTTGCCCTGTCACCCAGGCTGGAGTGCAGTGGCGCAATCTCAGCTCACTGCAACCTCCGCCTCCTGGATTCAAACGATTCTCCTGCCCCAACCTCTGGAGTAGCTGGGATTACAGGCGTACGCCACCACTCCCGGCTAATTTTTGTCTTTTTAGTAGAGATGAGGTTTCATCATGTTGGTCAGGCTGGTCTCGAACTCCTGACCTCATGATCCGCCCGCCTCGTGATCTGCCCGCTTTGTCTTCCCAAAGTGCTGGGATTACAGGCATGAGCCACCGCGCCCAGCCAGTGTCACATTTTAAGAAGAGAATAAGGGATAAAATTTATTTATTTATGTCTTTCTTTCTTTCTTACTTTTGAGACAAGGTCTCCCTCTGTCACCTAGGCTGAAGTGCAATGGAGGAATCACCACTCACTGTAGCCTCAAGTTCCTGGGCTCCTGATCCTCCCACTTCAGCCTCCTGAGTAGCTGGGACTACAGGCATGCACCGCTGCACCCAGCTAATTTTTTATTTTATTTTATTTTACTTTGAGACAGAGTCTTGCTCTGTTGCCCAGGCTGGAGTGCAGTGGTGTGATCTCGGCTCACTGCAACCTCCATCTCCCGGGTTCAAGCAATTCTCTTACCTCAGCCTCCCGAGTAGCTGGGATTACAGGCGCCTGCCACCATGCCTGGCTAATTTTTGTATTTTTAGTAGAGACAGGGTTTCACCACATTGGCCAGGCTGGTCTCCAACTCCTGACCTCAAGTGATCTGCCCACCTCGGCCTCCCAAAGTGCTAGGATTACAGGCGTGAGCGACTGCACCCAGCCATGCACCCAGCTAATTTTTTATATTTTGTAGACACAGGGTCTTGTCATGTTTCCCAGGTTGTCTTGAACTCCTGGGCTCAAACAATCCTTCTGCCTTGGACTCCCAAAGTGCTGGGATTACAGGTGTGGGCCACTGCACCCAGCCTGGGGATGCAATTTTTATTATTGATGCAACCATCTTTGGAAAATACATCCTGCCACACTTGGGGTTATAAACTGAACCAATCCAGTGGTAGCTGAAGCTTAAAGCTGGAGCCAATCAAGATAAATTTTAGGCCAGGCAAGGTGGCTCACGCCTGTAATCCCAGCACTTTAGGAGGCCGAGGCAGGCAGATCATCTGAGGTCGGGAGTTTGAGACCAGCCTGACTAATATGGAGAAACCCCATCTCTACTAAAAATACAAAATTAGCCGGGCATGGTGGTGCATGCCTGTAATCCCAGCTACTCAGGAAGGCTGAGGCAGGAGAATAGCTTGAACCTGGGAGGTGGAGGTAGCGGTGAGCTGAAAGCACGCCACTGCACTCCAGCCTGGGCAACAAGAGTGAAACTCTGTCTAAAAAAAAAAAAAAAAAAAATTATATATATATATATATATATATATATATATATATATATATATAAATTTTAGGGAAGGCTTTGGACCACAAGACATGGACTGGAGGTTCCAGCCAATTGCATATGGGTGTTTGTTTGTTTTTGGAAACAGGCTGGAGTGCAGTGGCACAATCTTAGCTCACTGCAGCCTTGACCTCCAAGGCTCAAGTGATCCTCCCACTTCAGCCTCCTCAGTAGGTACTTCTTGCATAGGACTCTTAAAGCACAGGGAGACCCTGAATAAGTGGAGAGTCATATATCTACATTTCTGTATAAGAAAACTCCATGTTGGCCAGGTGTGGTGGCTCATACCTGTAATCTCAGTACTCTTGAAAGCTCAGGCAGGAGAATCACTTGAGGCTAGGAGTTCAAGACCAGCTGGGGCAACACAGTGAGACCCCTTTCTCTACAAAAAAAAAAAAAAAAATTAGCAGGGTGTAGTGGTGTCTCCCAGCTACTTGGGAGGCTGAGGTGGAAGGATCACTTGAACCCTGGAGTTTGAGGCTGCAGTGAGCTATGATTGAGCCATGACATCCTAGCCTGGGTGACAGAACAAGACCGTCTCTAAAAACACAAAAAATAAAAATAGAAACTTAAAAACAAATGGCTAGGTATGGTGGCTCATGCTTGTAATCCCAGCACTTTGGGAGGCCAAGGTGGGAAGATCCCTTGAGCCCAAGATTTCAAGACTGGGCAACATAGATGTATATATATATAATATTTGAAATCTATGATGAAAGTATATATATTTAGTTTATGATAAAGGTTAAATTCAAGAGCAGTGAGGAAAGGGTAGACTAGATGTTGAGGTAATTGGCCATATATTCAGAAAAAAATTCAACTTAGATTTCTATATCAGCATACCAAAACTATATTCTTGAACAAATTAATTGAGGGCCCATATATAAAGATAGCAAATTATAAAAGGCCTAAAATAAATTTAAAAAATAATTTTTTTTGTCATGGAAAACATTTCTGGGCAGTACACAAAACCTAAAAAAGATAAGAAAAATGCTTAAAGTTGACTTTATCACACTTTTCTACACTTTATCACACTTTTTAAGTTTTTTTACAATAAAAATTACAGATAAAATTAAAAGTCAGAAAAGTTGAGAGTCATATATCTACATTTCTGTATAAGGAAACTCCATGTTGGCCGAGTGTGGTGGCTCACACCTGTATTATAATGTATATTTACAATTACATATATATATTACATATACAATTACATATCTAAATATATATTTAGATAATATATATTATATAAATTATATAATTTACAGTATACATTACGAGACAAAGCATTAATATGGAAAACATACAAAGAACTCTTATAAATCAATAAGACAAGCTCTATGAAACACTTAAAAGAATACCTGGCAGGGCGCGGTGGCTCACGCCTGCAATCCCAGCACTTTGGGAGGCCAGGGTGGGCGGATCACCTGAGGTCAGGAGTTTGAGACCAGCCTGCCCAACATGGAGAAACCCAATCTCTAGTAAAAATACAAAAAATTAGCCAGGTGTGTGGTGGGCACCTGTAATCCCAGCTCCTAGGAATGCTGAGGCAGGAGAATCGCTTGAACCTGGGAAGCAGAAGTTGCAGTGAGCCGAGATTACGCCACTGCACTCCAGCCTGGGCGATAAGAGCGAAACTCCTTCTCAAAAAAAAAAAAAAAAAAAAAAAGAATATCTAATTCAAATATTCTACAAACTTTTTAGAGAATAGAAAAATAAAGAACATTCTCAAACTCATTAATGGGGCTGATATAAACTTGATACCCAAACCAGTGATAGGCAGTAAGAGAATGGAATATTAAAGGCCAATCTATTTTACGAACATAGATGCAAAAATCCCATATAAAATATTAACAGATTGGGCTGGGCACGTTGGCTCACGCCTATAATCCTAGCACTTTGAGAGGCTGAGGCAGGTGGATCTCCTGAGGTCAGGAGTTTGAGACCAGCCTGGCCAACATGGTAAAACCCTGTCTCTACCAAAAATACAAAAATTAGCTGGGCATAATGGTACACACCTGTAGTCCCAGCTACTCAGGAGGCTGAGGCAAGAGAATTGCTTGAACCTGGGAGGCAGAGGTTGCAGCGACCCAAGATCACGCCACTGCTCTCCAACCTCAGCAACAGAGCAAGGACAGAACGGTTTCAAATGAGAAAATCTATTAATGCAAAGAGTTTAAGATCATATCAAGATACACACAAAAAAGCAACTCAAATGTCTGTTTTTGCTCCACCTACCATGGTAATTTTTTCTGCAGGATCAAGCCTGAAAATGAGGACCTAAGAGGCCAGGTCCCAGACCAGGAGGGAGCATAGACACCATGCCCTCCCCAGCCTCATCCCTTCTCCCAAGGAACAATTTACAGAGTCTGGCCACACCCTCCTAGGGACTAGAGCAAAAAATAGGGAAGATAAATGTCCCTTCTATTTCCTTTTTATTAGAATTAACTCAGGATTTCTCTTCTTTCAATACAATTTTAAGTTGTAGTCATAGAGATATTTTATATTTGAACAGAGATTGAATCTGATTCATCCCCTGTGCTCCCCAATTGCAGAAGTCCTTCGATTTTGTTTTAAAGAGACACGATCTCATTATGTTGCTCAGGCCAGACTGGAACTCCTGGGCTCAAGCAATCCTCCCACTTCAGGCCCCTGAGTAGCTGGGACTACAGGCGTGTGCCACGGAATCAGCAAGTAACAGATCACTGAATCAACCCCCAACCCACACTAGGCTGAGCCTTACTTAAGGACCTTCCCTAGCTGTGCCCTTCTCTCTCAGGGGCAGGTTCTCAGAGCTCAGTTTGGAGCTCACGGACTAAATCTTCTTACACCTTGCCAAATGCACCAGGCTCACATCATTTCCTTGATCATCTCCCAAAATCTCTCTCCTTGCTGTTCTGTTTTCCCTCCCCTGACCCAGCATCCAAGTTCTCTGCCAGTCTCCCATCCTAACCTTCCCACGGTGTCTTCCGGAACATGGGTTCAACAATCAGCCAGCTTCCTTACTGTTCTCAATTTCCAGGAGCGTGTCCTCTGCCTCCAAGCCACAGAACTCAACATGATCTCTGACAACAGTCCTTCCCTGCAGCCCTCTTACCCGGAAGCTGATTATCCTCTCACACCACATCCCTCAGGGACAGGGGGTGGAATCAGTGTCCACATTGTTTCTTGTAAAAAATCATATATTTATTTATTTTGAGACAGGATTTCACCCTGTCACCCAGGCTTCAGTGCAGTGGTGCCATCAGGGCTCACTGCAGCCTCAACTTCCTGGGCTCAGACCTCCCAAGTAGCTGGGACCACAAGCGTGCACCACCACACCTGGCTATTTTTTATTTTTTGTAGTGGGGCTGAGGTGTCTCCCTATGTTGCTCAGGCTGTCCTCAAATTCCTGGACTCAAGCCATCCTCCTGCCTCGGCCTTCCAAAGTGCTGGGATCATAGGCATGGGCCGGACTGCACCCGGCCTCCACATTGTGTCTTTAGATATTTTTCCAGACATCTGATTATAGAAATCCCTATTCTCAGGCATACGCCAACTGATTCCTTTTTTTTTTTTTTTTCTTTGAGAAGGATTCTCACTCTGTCGCCCAGGCTGGAGTGTGGTGGCACAATCTCAGCTCACTGCAACCTCTGCCTCCCGGGTTCAAGAGATTCTCCTGCCTCAGCCTCCTGAGTAGCTGGGCTTACAGGCATGTGCCACCATGCCCAGCCAATTTTTGTATTTTTAGTAGAGACGGGGTTTCACCATGTTGGTCAGGCTGGTCTCGAACTCCTGACCTCATGATCTGCCCGCCCCACCCTCCCAAAGTGCTGGGATTACAGGCATGAGCCACCGCGCCCGGCCGTTATATCAACTGATTCTATCATCCCTCCTCCTTGTTGCCATCATCCTGTTTTCCCTGGGTCACTGTCTCTCACTCACTAGTGATTTGGGCACCTGGATCATATCTTCCCCTCCTCTCAGAATCCTGCCATCACCTGGTGCACTTCAATAACTTCTTCTTCTTCTTCTTCTTTTTTTTTGAGACAGAGTGTAGTGGCATGATCTCAGCTCACTGCAACCTCCAACTCCTGGGCTCAAGCAATCCTCCCACCTCAGCCTCCCAAGTAGCTGGGACTACAGTCATGCGCCACCATGCCCAGCTAATTTTTGGTATTATGAGTAGAGAGGGGGTTTCTGCCATGTTTCCCAGGCTGGCCTCAAACTCTTGGACTCAAGTGCTCCACTCACCTTGGCCTCCCAAAGTGCTGGGATTAAAAGTGTGAGCCCCCACTCCCGGCCTCAACCACTTCTTCTTCTTCTTTTTTTTTTTTTTTTGAGACAGAGTTTTGCTCTTGTTGTCCAGGCCATAGTGCAATGGCCCGATCTCGGCTCACCGCAACCTCCACCTCCCGGGTTCAAGCAATTCTTCCGGTTCAGCCTCCCAAGTAGCTGTAATTACAGGCATGCCCCACCCTGCCTGGCTAAGTTTTCGTATTTTTAGTAGAGACGGGGTTTCTCCATGTTGGTCAGACTGGTCTCGAACTCCTGGCCTCAGGTGATTCGCCCGCCTCGGACTCCCAAAGAGCTGGGATTATAAGCGTGAGACACAGTGCCTGGCCATCAACAACTTCTTTAGGCCGGGCGCGGTGGCTCATGCCTGTAATCCCAGCACTTTGGGAGGCCGAGGTGGGTGGATCAAGAGGGCAGGAGATCGAGACCATCCTGGCTGACACGGTGAAACCCCGCCTCTACTAAAAATACAAAAAATTAGCCAGGCGCTGTGGCAGGCGCCTGTAGTCCCAGCTACTTGGGAGGCTGAGGCAGGAGAATGGCGTGAACCCAGGAAGCGGAGCTTGCAGTGAGCTGAGATCGCGCCACTGCACTCTGTCTGCCTAGGCGACAGAGCGAAACTCTGTCTCAAAAAAACAAAAACAAACAAACAAAAAAACTTCTTTAACGACCCATTCAACAGCCTGCATTCTCAGTTTCTTGACTATTTCCTTTCTAGTGACCATCTCTTCAACTCTTCTTCAGCAGTATTTTTAAGGAAGGCTATGCCTGGGGTTTGGTATCCTCCAGAAGTGTCTCACCTCTGAAATATTAAAATCAAACAAGAGCCACTGTGTAAGATGTCTGACACCCGTGTCGGGGAAACCACGTGGAGAGGCCCTGAGACTACATGGAGAGGGAGAGGGGCCAAGCTGAGCCCTGCTTTCCAGCTGTCCCCACCAAGGCACTAGCCATTTGACTAAAGCCATTTTAAACCTTCCAGACCAACCGCATCACCAGCTAAATACCTCCAAAAGCCCGAATTGACACCAAATGGAGAGAAAGAATCGCCCAGCCAAACCTTGCCTGAATTCCTGATCCACAGAATAGTGAGGTATTAAAAAATATTTTTAAGTTTTTATTTTGAACTAATTATAGATTCATAGGAAGTTTCAAAAATAGTACAGAAAGGTGCTAAAGACCTTTTATCCAATTTGTCTCAGTGATAGCATCTTTCATAACTGTAGAGCAATTATAAAACCAGGAAACTGACAATACAATCCACAGACTACATTCAGATGTCACCAGTGTTACATGCATTCATATGTGATCGCATGCATGTACAGTTCTAAGCAATTTTATCACATGTGACATTAGCGTAGCCACCACCACAATCAAGGCACAAAACTATTCCATTTCTGCAAAGATCCCCCATGCTACCTTTTTCTGGTGGCATCTCTTTCTCCTCCACTTGCCCCTTAAACCTTGGTGACAGTACTTTGTTTCTATCTCTATAATTTTGTCCACTACGAAAATATTACAGAGATGGAACTGTACAGTACACATCTTTTTGAGATCGGCTTTTTTCTTTTTTTCTTTTTTTTTGAGACGGAGTCTCACTCTGTTGCCCAGGCTAGAGTGCAGTGGTGCGGTCTCGGCTCACTGCAAGCTCCGCCTCCTGGGTTCACACCATTCTCCTGCCTCAGCCTCCTGAGTAGCTGGGACTACAGACACCCGCCACCATGCCCAGCTAAATTTTTTTTGCATTTTTAGTAGAGACAGGGTTTCACCGTGTTAGCCAGGTTGGTCTTGATCTCCTGACCTCATGATCTGCCCACCTCGGCCTCCCAAAGTGCTGGGATTACAGGCATGAGCCACCGTGCCTGGCCGAGATCGGCTTTTTTCATTCACCATACTTCCCTTGAGAAACACCTACCTGTTGAGTGTATCAGTAGTTTGTACATTTTTACTGCTGAGTAGTATTCCATGGTATGGATGTACCACAGTCTGTTTAACCATTCACCCACTGAAGGATATTTGGTTTGTTTCCAATTTGGGGCTATTAAGAATCAAGTTGTTATGAACATTCATGTACATATTTTTGTGTGGACCTAAATTTTCATTTCTCTGGAATAAATGCCTGGAAGTGCGATTGTTGGATCATATGGTAAGTGTATATTAAGTTTTGTTTTGTTTGTTTTGTTTTGTTTTAGACAGGGTCTTGCTCTGTCACCCAGGATGGAGTGCAGTGGTGCAAACACAGCTCACTGCAACCTTGACCTCCCAGGCTCAAACAATCCTCTCACCTCAGCTTCCTGAATAGCTGAGACCACAGGCATGCACCATCATGCCCGACTAATTTTTTTTTAATTTCTTCTGTAGAGACAGGGTCTCACCATGTTGCCCAGGCTGGTCTTGAACTCCTGGGCTCAGGTGATCCTCCAGACTAGTCTTGAATTCCTGGGCTCAAGTGATCCTCCAGCCTTGGCCTCCCAAAGTGCTGGGATTATAGGCATAAGCCACCATGCCCAGCCTATATTAAGTTTTTTTTTTTTTGAGATGGAGTCTCACTCTGTCACCCAGGCTAGAGTGCAGTGGTGCGAACTTGACTCACTGCAACTTCTGCCTCCCAGGTTCAAGTGGTTCTCCTGCCTCAGCCTCCCAAGTAGCTGGGATTACAGGCCTGTGCCACTGTGTCCACCTAATTTTTGTAGTTTTAGTAGAGACGGGGTTTCACCATGTTGGCCAGGCTGGTCTTGAACTCCCAACCTTAGGTGATCTGCTCGCCTTGGCCTCCCAAAGTGCTGGGATTACAGGTGTGAGCCACTGTGCCTGGCCTATATTAAGTTTGTAAAGAAACTGCCAAAATGTTTTCCAGAGTGGTTGTGCTATTTTATATTCCTACCAATGATGTATAAGAGATCCAGTTTCTCCATAAACTTGCCAGCATTTGTTGTTCTTGCTATTTTTATTTTAGCTGTTCTATTATTTTATTTTATTTTTGAGACAGGGCCTGGCTCTGTCACACTGGCTGGAGTGCAGTGGCGTGATCTTGGCTCACTGCAACCTCCACCTCCCGTGTTCAAGCTATTCTCCTGCCTCAACTTCTCGAGTAGCTGGGACTACAGGCACGCACCACCATGCCCAGCTGATTTTTGTATTTTTAGTAGAGATGGGGTTTCACGATGTTGGCCCAGCTGGTCTTGAACTCCTGACCTCAGGTGATCCACCCGTCTTGGCCTCCCGAAGTGCTGGGATTACAGGCATGAGCCACTGTGCCTTGCCTCGTTCTGTTGTTTTAAATGTGTGATAATATCTTGCCATGATTTGAACTTGCATTCTCCTAATGGCTATTAATACTAAACATCTTTACAAGTGCTTATTTCCCATCTGTATATCCTCTTTGTTTGAAATGTCTGTTTATGTCTTTTGCCTATTTTCTAATTGGATGCATTTGCGACTTCTTTATATATTCTAGATATGAGTCCTTTGTTAGACGTATAGTTTGCAAGTATTTTCTCCTATTCTGTAACTTGGCTTTTTATACTTTTAAAATCAGGCCTTTGGCAAAGCAAAAGATTTTAATCTTGATGAAGTTCAATGTATTGATTTTTTTCTTTTACATATTTTGGTTTTGGTATCATGTCTAAGAACTTGCTGAGCCCTACGTCCAGCAGATGTTCTCTGTCTTAATAATTTATAGTTTTAGGCCGGGCATGGTGGCTCATGCCTGTAATCCCAGCACTTTGGGAGGCTGAGGCAGGCAGATCACCTGAGGTCAGGAGTTCGAGACCAGCCTGATCAACATGGAGAAACCCCATCTCTACTAAAAACACAAAATTAGCCAGGCATGACAGCACATGCTTGTAATCCCAGCTACTTGGGTGACTGAGGCAGGAGAATCGCTTGAACCAGGGAGGCGGAGGTTGGGGTGAGCTGAGATCGCACCATTGCACTCCAGCCTAGGCAACAAGAGCGAAACTTTGTCTCAAAAAAAAATAATAATAATAATAATAATAATTTATAGTTTTACGCTTTACATTTGAATTATGATCCTTTTGAGGTAAATTTTGTATAAAATATGAGGTTTATGCCATGGTTCATTTTTTTGCCTATGGATATCCAATTATCCTTCAATCACTAAATTATTTTTCAGTTTAAATGGATCCTAGTGGTAGATGGATCTCAAGGTAGGTGATTCCTCCCACTTTATCATTTTCCAACTGGCTTTAGATATTCTTTTTTTAATTATTCTTTTTTGTTTATTCTTTTGGTTTTAGATATTCTAGTTCCTTTTTGCCTTCCTATATAAATTTTAGAAAAACCTTGTCTGTGTTTACAAAAAAAATCTTGTCTTGATTTTTGATAGGAATTGTGTTAAACCTGTAGTTCAACTGGCATTCTTTACTATATTGAGTCTTCCAATTCATGGACATGGTAGATCTCTCTATTTATTTAGATTTGCTTTGATTTCTCTCACCAGCATTTTGTAGTTTTCAACATATCAGTCCTGGACATTTTTTTGTTAGTTTTGTCCCTAAGTATAGCATTTTCAGTGATTATGATGGCATTTTAAATTTTGTTTTCCACATGTTCATTGCTAATATACAGCAATAAAATTGATTTTTGTATGTTGATCTTGTGAGGTTTTTGTTTTGTTTTGTTTTGCTTTGCTTTTTTTTGAGACAGGGTCTCATTCTGTCACGCAGACTGGAGTGCAGTGGTGCAATCACAGCTCACTGCAGTCTCAACCTTCCAGGCTCAGGTGGTCCTTCCACCTCAGCCTCCCAGGTAGCTGGGACTACAGGTGAGCACCACCATGTCCAGCTATTTTTTTTTGTATTTTTAGTAGAAATGGGGTCTCACTATGTTGCCTAGGGTAGTCTCGAACTCCTGGGCTCAAGCGATCCATCCACCTTGGCCTCCCAAAATGCTGGGCTAACAGGTGTGAGCCACCACACCTGGCCATTTTCTGTTTTTTTGATAGCAGCCATCCTAATGGGTGTGAGATGGTATGTCATCATAGTTTTGATTTACATTTCCCTGACAGTCTACCTAGAAGTAATATTATGTCGCCTGATACATAATGTAAGAACCTTCCAACAGTACTATTCCATTGCCACTCCTCTTGTTCATTGCACTGTTTCGGTCATATATTTTATTTCTCCATATGCTTTTGAGCCTACAATACAGTATTAATATTTCTGCTTTAAAGAGTCCATTGACTATTTTTAAAGAGAAATAAACAAAAATGCTTTATTTTTACAGGAACCTATAACATTCGTATTTTTAGAA
The DNA here is from genome assembly GCF_000001405.40 of Homo sapiens. Lineage (NCBI taxonomy): Eukaryota > Metazoa > Chordata > Mammalia > Primates > Hominidae > Homo > Homo sapiens. The sequence continues at coordinate 40,330,706 of NC_000001.11, forward strand.
TTAAATCCCAATAACACATTTAATACTGTCTTCTATTCCCATTTCAGCATGGCTACTATTGGTTTTGTGCTTGCCTGGAATACCATGATTCCTTAAGTTGTTTCTGGAGTCCTCATCAAGGCTTTTTGGACTATATGCTGTTGTTAACTCAGTATCTCTATGGGAGAATGAAGTCTGGGGCTTCCTATTCCACCATCTTGCTGACATTATGCCCCAAGAGTCCACTGACTTTTAAAGAATTTAAGAAAGTAAAGAATAATATCTTTCACATCAACCTATGTACTATTTTCAGTGTTCTTCCTTTTTTCCTGGAAATCCAAAGTGCTATTTGGTGTAATTTTCCTTTAAACTGAAGCCCTTTCTTCATCATTTCATACATTTGGTTCTGCTGGTGACAAATTCAACTTTAATTTATTTGAAATTCTTCATTTTGTCTTCATTTTTGAAATACATTTTCACTGGATATTAAGTTCTAGGTTTGCAGGTTTTTGTGTTTTTGTGTGTGTGTATGTTTTTACTTGAGCACTTTATTTTATTTCATTTTTTTGAGAAAGAGTCTCGCTGTGTCACCCAGGCTGGAGTGCTGTGGTGCAATCTTGGCTCACTGCAGCCTCTACCTCCCAGATTCAAGCAATTCTCATGCCCAGCTGCCTCCTGAGTAGCTGGGATTATAGATGTGCACCACCATGCCCAGCTCGTTTTTGTATTTTTAGTAGAGACAGGGTTTTGTCATATTGGCCAGGCTGGTCTTAAACTCCTGGTCTCAAATGATCCTCCTGCCTCAGCCTCCCAAAGTGCTGAGATTACATGTGTGAGCCACTGTGCCCAGCCTACTTGAGCACTTTAAAGAAGTTGTTCCAGTGTTGGCTGGGCTCCACTGTTTCTAGTGACAAGTCAGCTATTATTCATGTTTGGTTCCCTGTAGGTCTTTTATCTCTGGCCACTTTAAAGTTTTTCTTTTTCTTTTTTATTTTTTTTGAGACAGAGTCTTGCTCTGTCACTCAGGCTGGAGTGCTGTGGCGCAGTCTTGGCCCACTGCAACCTCCACCTCCTGGATTCAAGCAATTCTCCTGCCTCAGCCTCCTGAGTAGCTGGGATTACAGGCACACACCACCACGCCTGGCTAATTTTTGTATTTTTAGTAGAGACGGGGTTTCACCTTGTTGGTCAGGCTGGTCTCAAACTCCTGACCTCGTGATCCACCCGCCTCAGCCTTCCAAAGTGCTGGGATTACAGGCGTGAGCCACTGCGTCCAGCCTAAAGTTTTTCTTTATCCATAACAGTTTGACTATTACGTATCCCAATATGGTGTTATTTGTACTTATCAAATTGTGGGTTTCTGATCTTCTGGTCTATAGATTGCTGCTTAGAAAAAATTAAAGTTGGAAAATTTCTGCTAGTATTTCCTCAAATATTTGTTGTTCTCCACAATCTCTCTCTCTTATCTTTGTGGAACTCCAATTATATATGTATTAGATCTTTCAACAGTGTCCAATAGGCCATAAAGATTGTGATCACTTTTTTTTTCAATTTTTTCACTCTCTGTGCTTCAGTTTGGTTGATCCTATTAACTAGTATTTACACTTATGGGTTATTTCTTCAATTATGTCAAATCTATTCTTAATACATCCAACACATTTTAAATTTCAGATATTGGCTGGGTGCGGTGGCTCATGCCTGTAATCCCAGCACTTTGGGAGGCTGAGGCAGGCAGATCACAAGTTCAGGAGATCGAGAACAGCCTGGCAAACATGGTGAAACCTTGTCTCTACTAAAAATACAAAAATTAGCTGGGTGTGGTGGTGTGTGCCTGTAATCCCAGCTACCTGGGAGGCCGAGGCAGGAGAATCATTTGAACCTGGGAGGCAGAGGTTGCAGTGAGCCGAGATTGTGCTATTACACTCCAGCCTGGGTGACAGGGTGAGACTCCATCTAAAAATAAATAAATAAATACATACATACATAAATAAATAAATTTTAGATGTTATATTTTTCCTTTTTAGGATTTTCATTTGGTTCTTTTCTACTACTTTCAAGTCTCTCTTGATAGCTTTCATTTTTTTATTTTTGTAAATTATTTTATTTCTTCCTTGATGATTTAGAGGCCCTGTCTTCAAACCAGTACAAATATTTCATACATAATACCTGGCCATTTTCTAACCAATTGAGTAATTTGTTGCACAATAAGCTACCTCATGTCTTTCAGCAAGAAATACATTAAATTTGAACAGTAAAGACATTGCATAATGAATTAGGACACAATTAAAATTTCCTTTAAATATTTCTTTGGGGGAGAGGATACTACACTTCTACTCAATGAAGAGAAACATTTTTACAGTCCGGAAGTCTTCTATTTTTTTTTAACACCTATTATGCCATGAATTCATAGGGAATAGTTTCCAGCAGCTCAGGCTCCTTCCCATTGGTTCTCACACACTGTGCTTCTCTGGGTGGAGCAGGCTGGTGCTTCCGTTGAACCCAGGTAACTTTCTCTTTGGCTTCTTTCTTTTTCTGATCATTTTCCTTCACACGTTTCAGGAAGCTATCTCGGCTTTTAGAGTGCTTAATGTGCTCAATACACACATTAATTCTCTTGGCAAGAATCTTGCCCTTAACTTGTTTGTTTACAACAATGCCAACAGCATGCTGGGGAACATTGTAGACTCTTCCAGTTTTGCCATGGTAACACTTGTGGGACATTCCTTTTTGAACAGTACCCATTCCCTTGATGTCTACAATATCACCTTTCTTATAGATTCGCATATACATGGCCAAAGGAACAACTCCATGTTTTCTAAAAGGCCTAGAGAACATGTATCGGGTGCCTCTCCTCTTTCCCTTTGTGTTTGTCATTTTGGCGAATTACTGGAAGGTGGCGTTTCTGGCCGTAAGGCTGATATTCTTCATTTTTAAACCCAATATAACCATCCTTTCCTGTAGACTCTTAAGGACAATTTGTCATGGTTACTTTAAAGTTTTTGATTCCGAATTCTGATATTTGAATTGTCTGTGGCTCTGTTTCTATTGACTTTTTTTCTCTTGTCTATGGGTCACATTTTTTTGTGTGTGTGGTTGTTGTTGTTTTGCATGTCTAATAGTTTTTATTGCACATTGACCATGAGTGATACGTTACAGAGATTCTGAATTCTGTTATACTCCTCTGAATAGTGTCAATTTTTTTTTTTTTTTTTGCCAGCAGTTAAATTACTGGTGGATCATCTCAAACTTGTGGGTGTTTGATTTTACTCTTTGTTAGAATAAGTCTACTTTATTTATTTATTTATTTATTTATTTATTTATTTTGAGACAGAGTTTCACTCTTGTTACCCAGGCTGAAGTGCAATGGCACGATCTCGGCTCAGGGCAACCCCCATCCCCTGGGTTCAAGCGATTCTCCTGCCTCAGCCTCCTGAGTAGCTGGGATTACAGGCACCCAACACCATTCCCTGGCTAATTTTGTATTTTTAGTAGAGATGGGGTTTCACCATGTTGGCCAGGCTGGTCTCGAACTCCAGACCTCAGGTGAACCACCCGCCTTGGCCTCCGAAAGTGCTAGGATTATAGGAGTGAGCCACTGCGCCCGGTCTAAGTCTAGTTTTTATTTTGCTCCTGGTCATAGGCTATATCTCTTAACTCAGGATACAGGGTTTTCTCCTTAGGTATAGTCCTTTTGGGGTTTTGATGGACTGTCTTTTACCAAGCCCTGATAATGTGGCAGAATTTCAACTTCAAATTGTCTTCCTTGCAGTGAGCAGCAGCTAAAATCTTTGCTCATTAATTTCATCCTTCCAGCTATTGGTTTCCCCGCTGAGTGACTTGGAGTCTTATTTGTGCATGTGCGATTCAAGGCTTAGCTCAGGATTTGAGGAAGTTTATGTGCAGATTTTTGGTTATTTTCTCTGGATCTTTTGTTTCTGGGGTTTCTCCCTCAATTTTCAGTCACTGTAACAGCCTGAACTCTATCTTCTGATTTAATTGACAAATTAAGTTCTGAATTTCTGCTCGAATTCTAGCTTTCTGCGCTGTGGAAACTGAAGAATTTTCCCTGGTGGAAAATCCATATAAATGTGGATCATACCCAGTGTGGTTCCCTTATTTGAAACACGGAATCTCCTTCCAGCTTATGCCTGGTTTTCGTCACTTTACAGTGCCTTAATTCAGTTTTTATTTTTTATCATTGCCAAATATTTTTAGCAGAATTTATAGTTGTTATCTATGAGGGAGTTAGTCAGATACAATCTACTCTGCCATTACCAGAACTAGAACTCAGCCCAGTTTAAGAACTAACAAAATTTAGTGAGCACCTTCTTTGTACTAAATATGTACAACATTGGTCAAAATAGATACAGCCCCTAGCTTCACAGAGCTCACACTTAGGGTAGGGGTTCAGATAAGACAGAAGTGTGCTGACAGCTACATTAGAGGAAACTTGTGGGACTATCGGGACCTAAAGTGTAGTGATATCAGCTCTCTAAGAAACATTTTGGGCCAGGCGCGGTGGCTCACGCCTGTAATCCCAGCACTTTGGAAGGCTGAGTTGGGTGGATACCTGAGGTCAGGAGTTCAAGACCAGCCTGGCCAACATGGTGAAACCCCCGTCTCTACTAAAATTACATAAATTAGCTGGGCGTGATAGTGCACACCTGTAATCCTAGCTATTCAGGAGGCCGAGGCAGAGAATCGCTTGAACCTGGGAGGTTGCGGTGAGATGAGATTGCGCCATTGTACTCCAGCCTGAGCAACAAGAGCGAAACTCCGTCTCAAAAAACAAACAAACAAAACCACGTCTTGCTAGAGATCCTATTTGCAGCCTGTCTCAGAGATCCTTAGCTCAAATTTAAAACCTCCTTGATGAGTTTCAAGTGAAGGCTAAGTTTTAAAGGAAAAAATCTTAAGGTTTTTGTTGTTGTTTTGTGTCTTTTTTTTTTTTTTTTTTTTTTAAGAGATAAGGCCCCACTATGTTTCTCAGGCTGGTCTTGAACTCCTGGGTTCATGTGATTCTCCTGCCTTGGCCTCCCAAAATGTGAGGATTACAGGCGTGAGACAGTGTATCAGGCCCTTCTTGAGCTTTTCTTTCACTCCTCTCTTCTTCCTCTTCCTTCTTTTCTCTCTTTTCCCTTTCCTTTCTTCCTCTTTCCCTTTCTTCTTTCCAAAGTATTTACCGAACACTTTCTCTGTTATCTAGGCACTGTTCTGTTTAATATAGAAGGTGCAATTATCCTCAGCAAACTCCTGTTGATCCTTAAAGACACCACATCCAGAAAGTCTCTCCAGGATCAACAAGCTGGATTAACACAGAGAACATGAGTGAAAACTATTTTTATTTTTTTATCCTACAAATATTTGTTGAGGACGTTATGTGTCAGGCCTGTAGTGTGAGAAGATAATTAAATGATGTCATCATGAAGGCAGCAGCTAAGAACTACCATTTATTATTATTATTATTATTATTATTATTATTATTATTATTTTCATTATTTGGAACCAAATCTCACTCTGTTGCCCAGGCTGGAGGGCAATGGCACGATCTCAGCTCACTGCAACCTCGGTCTCCTGGGTTCAAGCGATTCTCTGCCTTAGCTTCCCAAGTAGCTGGGACTACAGGCCTGCACCACTACGCCTGGATAATTTTTGTATTTTTAGTAGAGATGGGGTTTCACCATGTTGGCCAGGCTGGTCTTGAACTCCTGATCTCAGGTGATCCACCCGCCTCGGCCTCCCAAAGTGTTGGGATTAGAAGCGTGAGCCACTGCGCCCGGCCGAGAACTACCACTTATTATTAATGGTGATCATTAATTTTTTTTTTTTGAGACGGTGTCTTGCTTTTGTTGCCCAGGCTGGAGTGCAATGGCACGATCTCGGCTCACTGCAACCTCTGCCTCCCGGGTTCAAGCGATTCTCCTGCCTCAGCCTCCCGAGTATCTGGGACTACAGCTGTGTGCCACCAAGCCCAGCTAATTTTTTGTATTTTTAGTAGTGATGGAGTTTCATCCTGTTAGCCAGGATGATCTGGATCCTCTGACCTCGTGATCTGCCTGCCTCGGCCTCCCAAAGTGCTGGGATTACAAGTGTGAACCTCACCCAGCCTATCTTCAGAACTTCTATCAGATTATTTTGAAGGTGTGTGAACATATTTTTATTTGTTTGTTAAACCTTGAAGGTGGATTGGATTTGAGAAATAGCTACTAGTTGTTCAAGACCAAGTTGGGTGAAAGATAATGGGTCAGAAATTATAATCTGGTAGTCCTCAATTTTCTTTGATTTGCTTATAATGTTTTTTGAGATGGAGTCTCACTCTGTTGCCCAGGCTGGAGTGCAGTGGTGTGATCTCGGCTCACTGCAACCTCTGCCTCCTGGGTTCAAGCAATTCTCCTGCCACAGCCTCCAGAGTAGCTGGAATTACAGGCACCCGCCACCATGCCTGGCTAATTTTTTTGTATTTTTCATAGAGACAGGGTTTCACCATGTTGGCCAGGCTGGTCTCGAACTCCTGAACTCAGGTGATCCTCCCGCCTCAGCCTCCCAAAGTTTTGGGATTACAGGCGTGAGCCACCACGCCCAGCAGTGACTGTTAATTTTGTGTACTGATTTTACGTGTCATCTTGACTGGACTAAGGGATATTAGCTGGTAGAACATTATTTCTGGGTGTGCCTTTGAGGGTGTTTCTGGAAGAGTTAACGTTTGAATCAGTAGACTGAGAGCAAAGAAGATCCACCTTCATCTATGTGAGTGGGCAGCATCCAGTCCATTGAGGGCTTGAATAAAAAGGCAGAGGAAGGGTGAATTCTCTCTGTCCTTGAGCTGGGACATCTATTTTCTCCTCCCCTTGGACATCGGAGCTCCTGGTTCTTGAACCGGTTTCCCTCCCCAACCCCACTCTCAGGCCTTCCACTGGGGACTAAATTACGCTACCGGCTTTCCTGGTTCTCAGCTTGCAGACAGTTTATCATTGGACTTCTTGGCCTTTGTAATCGCATGAGCCAACGCCCGTAATAAATTTCCTCTTACGTTATCTATATATATCCTATTGGTTCTGTTTCTCTGGAGAATCCTGACAAATACAACAATAATGCTTATCATTTAAATATTTATATTATCATAATTATTGTGTTTATAACAATATTTATTAAGCACTTGCTATATGACAGATATTGTATCAGTGTGGTACATGCATTTTGTCTTTAACTCCTCACAACCGCTCAACGAGGTAGGTCCCTTGATTATCCTCATTTTATTTATTTATTTATTTTTAATAGAGAAGAGGTCTCACTATGTTGTCCAGGCTGGTCTTGAACTCCTGGGCTCAAGCGATCCTCCCACCTTGGCCTCCCAAAGTGCTGGGATTACAGGCGTGAGCCACTGTGCTGGGCCTATCCTCATTTTATTTACAAGAAGACTGAAGCTTAGAGGTGTGAAGTGATTTCCCCAAGGACACACACCTGTTTTCCCACAGTTTCTAGCTCTGGATAGGTCTCAGTAACATACATTTTCCCCACTTTCCACTACAGCCACAGCATAGGGTTGTGCATTTTAGGATCTGCACAAAAAGGGAGGACAGAGGAGTGGGGCTGAGACCCAGCCTGGAGATGTTTGCCGCAATATTTTATTTTGCTGGTTCTAGCTTTCTTAGAGAACTCTTAGGATCTTCTGTTTGACTTGAGCCCTGGGCTGCTCCAGTTTACACTCCTCAGATCTCTAAATTTATTTATTTATTTATTTATTTTTTGAGACCAGCTCTGACTGTTGCCCAGGCTGGGGTGCAGTGGCGCCATCTCGACTCAGTGCAACCTCTGCCTCGTGGGTTCAAACCTCAGCTCCTGCCTCAGCCTCCTGAGCAGCTGGGATTATAGATGTGCACCACCACGCCCGGCTAATTTTTGTATTTTTAGTAGAGACGGGGTTTCACCCTGTTGGCCAGGCTGATCTCGAACTCCAGGCCTCATGTGATCCACCTGCCTCTGCCTCCCAAAGTGTTGGGATTACCGGCGTGAGCCACGACGCCCGGCCAAATCTCTAATTTCTAACCTTCCAATCTTCCAGTCGTTTCTTCCCACCTCCGATAGGAAGGAGAGGTGGGCTGCAGGGCAGGAAGAAAAGGCCCAGCTCCCTTCCCCACCAGTTGCTCCTTTAGACCGACTCCAGGTGAGCAGTAAATCAGGCTGGCTGGTGCTCTGGCGGCACCTAGTGGTCCTCTGCGGCAGCACACCATGATGACAGCTTGACAAGACGAATTAAAAGCCCCTTTCTCCAGGAGCTGCTAGCGAGATGAAACGGGCATAGAGGCAGATAAAGCACTGTGGGAACCCAGCGAGGGAGCAGTCGTGGTTTCTGGGGAGTTAGAACTTAGAATTTGGATTCAGCTAGACTTGGATCCTGGTTCTACCACATACTGACTGTGACCTTGGGCAAGTCATTTCATCTCTTTAAGCCTCAGTTTCCTCATTTGTGAGATGGGGAGAATAGTGTCTCTTGATGACCATGAAGTACTTAGCACAGTGCCCAGAACGCTTTGGATATTTGTTTTCGGCAGAAGGGAACTTCGTTTTGTTTGTTTGAGATGTAGTTTCGCTCTTTCGCCCAGGCTGGAGTGCAGTGTCGCAATGTCTGCTCACTGCAACCTCTGCCTTCCGGTTTCAAGCGATTCTTCTGCCTCAGCCTCCCAAGTAGCTGGGAATACAGGCGCCCGCCACCACACCCGGTTAATTGGCAGAAGGAACTTTGTAAGAAAGGCAGGGAGTGGGATGAATGTTCAGAAAACAGAGTAGGTGACAGATGATCCCCCTTCCCTGCTAGAGAAGAGCAAACACAGCTGGTCAGTCCCGTGGAGCAAGTTGGGGCAGGGGCTGAGTCTCTTAATTACAGCACAGTGAGACGACCTAGAACCCCTTCCTGGAAACAGCTGCCCATTCTGGGCTGAGCCAGAGTGCTAAACAGGTTTGCTCACCTGGCCTCTGGCTGCCCTCTTATGCCTGGCAGAAAATACCAACCATCAGCTTCCCACAGGTGCTTCTCTCTCCAGCTAGAACAGAGCAACTCCAAACTCCTCAGAATTGCCAATCCTGACCCTGGTTTCATCTGACCTCCCACTTGTTCCATCTGATTCCTTCCCAGTGCTGGTCCAACACTGATAAGCTTTAGTGTCCGCTTACATGAACTACACTCTCCTGGCTTTCCTCCTACCTCTCCAGCTGTTCTTTCTCAGGCCCCTTGCAGATTTCTTTTCTCTGCACACCCTTACTTAGCACTCTACAAGGTCCTGTCCTATCTTCTTATTCTTTATACTCTTCCTGGGCCATCTTATCCATCGGGTTGACTTTAACTGCTGCCTATATGTTTTCCTGAGTCTCAGACCTGCTTATCCAACTGCTTCTCAGATGTTCCACAGGCACCACCAAACTGACATGTCCCAAATGAAATTATCTTCTTGCCCACAAACCTGTTCCTCTTCCTGTGTGGCCTACACAGCCAGTGGTCCCACCCTCTGCCCTATTGCATAAGCCAAAACTATGGATGTCATCCTGGAGAAGAGACTTCCCTCTCTCCTCCCCGAGAAATATTATCGCCTTGTCCCAGTGACTATACCTCATAGGTGTTTAATCCATCCACCTCTCTCCATCCCCACTGCACCTACCTTATTCAGCATACCATCCTCTTTTGCTTGGGGGTATTGCAACTGCCTCTTATTTTAACTCCTTGCTTCCAGTTTTGCTCCATTGTTTTTCCTCTGTGTTCCTTTCTGGAGGCTCAAGGAGATAACTCATTGCCCAGCCTTTCCCACCTTCTAGAGGCTTCCCACATTTCTTGGTTTCCCCTTCCTCCATCTTCAAAACCAACAAAGTTACATCTTACTGACCATACTATAGTAAAATCTCCCTGTGCTTCTCTCTTCTGTCTTCCCCTTCCACTTTTTTTTTTTTTTTTGATGGAGTTTCACTCTTGTTGCCCAGGCTGAAGTACAATGGTGTGATCTCGCCTCACTGCAACCTCCGCCTCCCAGGTTCAAGTGATTCCCCTGCCTCAGCCTCCTGAGTAGCTGGGATTACAGGTGCTTGCCACCACGTCTGGATAATTTTGTATTTTTAGTAGAGACGGGGTTTCACCGTGTTGGCCAAGCTGGTCTTGAACTCCTGACCTCAAGTGATCTGCCTGCGTCAGCCTCCCAAAGTGCTGGGACTACAGGCATGAGCCACCACGCCCGGCCCCCTTTCCACTTTTAAGGACCTTGTGATTATATTGGGCCTATTAGGTAATGTAGGATAATCTCCCTGTCTCATAATCCTTAATTTAATCAATTCTTCAAAGTCCCTTTTTGCCATGTAATGTAACAGATTCACAGGTTCTGGAGGCATCTTTGGTAGATCATTATTCTGCCTACCACAGACCATTCTCTGGCCCCAGTATTCATACCTGTCTCACGAACAAAATGCATTCACCTTATTCCAAGGTCCCTAAAAATCTCAGCCCATTAAAGTATCAACTCAAAGTTCAAAGTCTCATTTAAATCTCATTAGCTCAAGAGTTTCAGATTTATCATGGATATTATCTAAATTAGGTTTTGGATGAGACTCAGCATAATCTATCCTGGGGCAAAGTTTCTCTCCACCTGTGGACGTGTGAAACTAGAAAATAAGCTTCTGCTTCCAAAATACGATACTGGGTCTAGCATAGGATAACACTAATAGACATTCCCATGTAAAAAGAGAGAAAGGAAGAAATAGAGGAGTCACTAGTCCCAAGCAATTTCAAAATTAAGTTAGACAAACTCCATTAGGTTTCAAAGCCTGGAAATAATACTTTGCAGCTCAAAGCTCTGCCCTCTGGGATCACAGCTCTGTCCTCTTAGTCATTCTTCCTTTTTCATGAAAGGTTCAGCACATGGCTGCAGCTGGGTGGTTTTATCAACTTGTTTCCTGCCTGTAGAATTTGGGGGATCTTATAGCCTTCTTTCATTTCATACCCTCTCTATCCTGTACAGTCCAAGCTCAAGTGTTTCTGCTGGTATAAAATTCTCAAGAACCCCGTGGATCTCTCATGTATGTCACTCCATTAGACAAAATGCTCCTTTGCAGATCTTCGCTTGATAAGCCCGTTTCTATTTCTGTCTTCTGTTGAGGTAGCTGAGGGGATATATGAGTCTCACACTTAATCTCTTCAAAAAACCTCTTATGTGACAGAATACTCTGAACTTTTTTTTTTTTTTGACAGTGTCTTGCTCTATTGCCCAGGCTGGAATTCAGTGGTGCAACCACAGTTCACTGCAGCCTTGACTCTCCAGGCTCAAACAATCCTCCCACCTCAGTCTCCCAAATAGCTGAGACTACAGGCAAGCACCACCTACCCAGCTAATTTTTGTTGTTGTTGTTGTTGTTGTTGTTGTTATCTGTAGAAATGAGGTCTCCCTATGTTTCCTCAAGCTGACCTTGAGCTCCTGGGCTCCAGCGATCCTCCCTTCTCAACCTCCTAAAGTGCTGGGATTACAGGCCTGATACTCTGACCTTTTGATCTTTCTGAGGTATTAGCAAAAGGTTGTCCAGCCACGTTCTTGGCTTTTTCTCTAAAGCACACTTTCCTGACAGTGAATTTCATCATTTTAACGTCTTTTGCATCTGAATAGGCTGAGAATTCCCCCAATCATCAAGTTCTGTTTCATTTTTTGTTAAACATTTCTCTCAAATTATCTGTTTCCTCTCACATTTTACTGTAAGCAGCAAGAAGAAACCAGACCACACCCTTCAACACTGCCTGGAAATCTCCTTAGCTAACTACCCAATTTCATTGTTTTTTTGTTGTTGTTGTTTTCTTTTTGAGACAGGGCCCCACTCTGTCACCCAGGTTGGAGTGCAGTGGCACGATCTCGGCTCACTGCAACCTCCACCTCTGGGGTTCAAGCAACTCTCCTGCCTTAGCCTCTCTAGTAGCTGGAACTACAGGTTCCTGCCACCACGCCTAGCTAATTTTGTATTTTTAGTAGAGATGGGGTTTCTCCATGTTGGCCAGGCTAGTCTTGAGCTCCTGACCTCAGGTGATCCACCCGCCTCAGCCTCCCAAAGTGCTGGGATTACAGGCATGAGCCACCTTGCCCGGCCTCAAGTTCATTGTTTATAAATTCTGTGTTTCATATAACTTCAAGGAACTGGATAAGCTTTTTGTCACTATGTACCAAGGATCCTCTTTCCTCCAGTTTCCCCTAACATATTCCCCATTTCTTTCTCAGCCGTCACCCATAGCACCTTTAACAGCCATATTTCTTCCAAGTCCGTTCATGTTCTCTAAATTGGTTGATATTTTCTTGACTCTGCTCATTACTGATTCCAGAGTCCTCACTGTCCAAGCTGTTAGCATTCACATTTCTCCCAGCAGTCTGATCAAGGCCATACAGGCTTTTCCCATCATGCTCCTCAGTGTTTTTCCTGCCTCCTCCCAAAGTTCAGTTCCAAAACCACTTCTACATGTTTAGGTATTTGTTACAGCAGTAACATAATCTGTATTCGTTTTCTGTTACTCCTGTAAGAAATTACCACAAATGTAGTGGCTTAAAACAATACAAATTTCTGGCCAGGAATGGTGGCTCACACCTGTAATCCCGGCACTTTGGGAGGCCAAGGCAGGTGGATCACAAGGTCAAGAGATCGAGACCATCCTGGCCAACATGTTGAAACCTCGTCTCTACTAAATATACAAAAATTAGCTGGGCATGGTGGTGGGTGCCTGTAATCCCAGCTACTTGGGAGGCTGAAGCAGGAGAATCGCTTGAACCCGGGAGGCGGAGGTTGCAGTGAGCCGAGATCACGCCACTGCACTCCAGCCTGGTAATAGAGCGAGACTCCGTCTCAAAAAAAAACAAAAAACAAAACAAAAAAACCCCAACCAAACAAACAAACAAAAAAAACACAATACAAATTTGTTACTTCTAGCTCAGTAGGTAAGAAGTCCGAATGACACGGGGCTAAAATCAAGACGTGAGCAGGGCTGCACCCCTTTCCTGAGGCTCTAGGGAAGAGTCTATTTCCTTTCCTTTTCTCTTTTCTAGAGGCTTTCTGCATTCCTTGGCTTGTGGCTCCCTTCCTCCATCTTCAAAGTTAGCAATGTGACATCTCCTTGACCACTCTTCCACAGTAAAATCTCCTTTGCCTCTCTCTTCTGTCCCTACCTTCCACTTTAAAGGACCTTTGTGATTACATTGGGCCCATCTAGTTAATCCAGGATAAACACCTCATCTCAAAATTCTTAACAACACCTGCAAAATCTCCTTTGCCATGTAAAGTAGCATATCCATAGGTTCCAGGGATTCGTATGTGGTCATCTTTGGGGGGTCATATTTCTGCCCCCCCCCCCCACCACACCCCTCTAAATCTTGTAGCCGATGTGGTCTGTCCAAGCAAACTCAGTCTTGTTAGCCTCCTGCTTAAAACTCTCCAATGGCTTTCCATGGACTCTAGGATGCAGAACAAATTCTTACCGTGGCTATTACAAAGCAACGTTTGTGAGTTGGCCCTTCTTTCCTGTGGAGCATCATGTTGCTCCTTTTTCCTCTCTCCTGCCTCCAGCATCCTGCATTGCAGGCATGCTAAACTGCCTGCAGCCTCACGGTGTCAAGGCTGCCATCACCCATCCTTTCTAATATTGCTCCTACTTGCTCTTCATCTAGTTCTCTCTTACTTGTTCTTAGATGACATCTAAACTAGACATCTAAGCTAGACATCTAAACTCTTCTGGAATCCTGCCCTGTCACTCTCCCCCGGGCCCTCTGGTCCCAGTCTGGCTATGTGCCCCCTCCATTGTTCTCCTGTCAGGGTGTATTGTATGCTACCGGAACGATTCATTTATTTTTCAGTCTCATCTACTAGATTATAAACTTTAAGAGGGCAGGGGCTGTATCTGCCTCACTGTTTATCCTCAGTTGCTTAGCAAGCGTCCAGTATGAAATAGAAACTGAGTATTTGCTGAGAAAATAAATGGGCAAGATTCCTTTGAGCTCACACAGTCCGTTCTGTGAACCCTCATTGCATGATTTGCTGGAGGATTATGGCAGAGACGTCCAATGCAATCATCATGATAGAGGAAGTGACTTGGAGCTCAGGGTGGGGGCGGCAGAGGGAGAGAGTCGAGCAGCCAGACCATTGCCTCACTAGTGAATGGCAGTGATTCCAGTTCATTCCTAGCTCAGAAAGCAACGTTTTGAGCCACAACTGTCACAACTCCAGGTTAGTCCCTAAGAAGATTTCTTTCTTTCCTTCTTTTCTTTTTTTTCTTTTCTTTCTTTCTTTCTTTCTCTTTCTTTTTCTTTCTTTCTTTCATCAGGTGTAGTTGTGAGAGGAGTTTCTTTTCTATTGATGCAAAAGAGACAACTCAGCTCTAAAGACTGACATTTATTTGCTTTTATTTTTTGTTGTCATTTGTAAAAGGCAAAATAAGGGCTGGGCATAGTGGCTCACACCTGTAATCCCAGTGCTTTGGGAGGCCAAGGCGGGAGGATCACTTGAGACCAGGAGTTTGACACCAGCCTGGGCAACATAGCAAGCTCCATCTCTACAAAAAATTAAAAAATATATCTGGGCATGGTGGCACACACCTGTAGTCCTAGCTACTCCCTGGAGGCTAAGGAGGGTGGAACAGTTTGAGGCTGCAGTGAGCCATGATCGTGCCACTGCACTCCAGCCTAGGCAAGACCCTGTCTCTAAGGAAAAAAAAAAAAAGTAAACAGCATCTATGCTTCCATCTCTTAAAAACGCTCTATCAATTCATCCACACACACCCCCACCACACACAAGCACAATTTTCATTTTTCTTTTTTTTTGAGATAGGGTCTCACTATGTTGCCCAATGCCCAGGCTGGTTTTGAACTCCTGGGCTCAAGCAATCCTCCTACCTCAGCCTCCCAAAGTGCTAGGATTACAAGTGTGAGCCATGCACCCAACCTTTTATTTTCATTTTTAAACCTTTTTTCACAATTTTCTTTTCTTCAACATGTCGTGAATTTATTTCCTGATCAGCATATAAAGATCTCTCTCATTGTTTTTTAATATTTTATTTTAGAATACATCTATTGTGTATTATAATATAACGTTAAATTTGCATTTGGCTGGAGGAGAAAGGAGGGGAAGGTATTATGCTGGAGTTTCTGGAGTTTCTTTCTTTTCTCTTATATATTATATTATATTATATTGTATTATATTGTATTGTATTATATTATATTATATTATATTATATTATATTATATTATATTAGAAAGTAGTCTTCAGACCTGGTATTTCTATCACTTTTTTTTTTTTTTTTTTTTTTTTTTTTAAGAGACAGGTCTTGCTGTGTTGAGACCCAGGCTGGTCTCAAATTCCTGAACTCAAGCAATCCCACCTAGGCCTTCCAAAGTGCTGAAATTGCAGATGTGAGTCACTGCACCCAGCCACAATATACTTTTAAAGTCACTTTTATATCTGTTAGTAGCTGATATGCCCACCAGAATCAAGGAGCTAGATGACGATGAAAATGCAATTGGTTTCCCTGCTCTCACCCTTCACCCCTATATAAATACATTATTTAACCAGCCCCTTTGTTTACAAAAATATGAATAATACTGTGAAGAAAGTTACTACACATAATGCATTGTGCATTTAATAAATTGTGTCCTTTGGATACTGCTAGAATAGGTTCTCAAAGACAAGAATAGGATTTTTTTTTTTTGAAACAAAGTCTAGCTTTGTTGCCCGGACTGGAGTGCAGTGGCATGATGACAGCTCACTGCAGCCTCAACCTCCCGGCCTCAAGTGATCCTCCTGCCTCAGTCTTCCGAGTACCTGGGACTACAAGTGTGCACAACCACACCTGGCTAACTTTTTAATTTTTTGTAGCCATGGGGTCTTGCTATGTTGCTCAGGCTAGTCTCAAACTCCTGGCCTCAAGAGATCCTCCAGTCTCAGCCTCCCAGAGTGCTGGGATTACAGGCATGAGCCACTGCACATAACCAAAAGTGTGATTTTTTAAAAAATCATTTAATATATTGCTGGTGTTTCTCAGAAAAAAAAAAACTTTTAACCAATTTAAACTTCCAAGTAAATGAAAATGCATAGTTCCCTGTATATTCAACAACATTAGGTATTATAATTAAACTTCTTTTGCTGGTTTGATAAGTTTTTTAAAATCTTGTTTCATTTATTTTTAATTTTTTTAGAGACAAACTCTTGCTGTGTTGCCCAGGCTGGAGTGCACAATCATAGCTCACTGCAGCCTGGGACACCTGGGCTCAAGTGATCCTCCTGTCTCAACCTCCCGAAGTGCTGAGACTACAGGCGTGAGCCACTTGGCCTGGCTTAAAAATCTATTTATTTATTTATTTATTTATTTATTTATTTATTTTTGAGACACGGTCTCACTCTGTTGCCCAGGCCAGAGTGCGGTGGCATGATCTCGGCTCACTGCAGCCTCTGCCTCCTAGGTTCAAGCGATTCTTCAGCCTCAGCCTCCTGAGTAGCTGGGACCACAGGTGCACCACCACGCCTGGCTAATTTGTGTGTGTGTGTGTGTTTGTGTGTGTGTGTTTTGTTTTTGTTTTTTTTTTTTTTTTTAAAGCAAAGATGGAGTTTCACCACGTTGGCCAGGCTGGTCTCGAACTCTTGACCTTAGGTGATCTGCCAGCCTTGACCTCCCAAAGTGCTGGGATTACAGGCATGGCTCCTGGCCAAATCTCATTTTCATATGTATTTCTTTCATTGGTAATAAGGCTAAATATTTTTCTTATGTTTATTAACCACTTACACTTTTTCTGTGAATTGTCTTCAGACAATTCTTGGGTTTTTGCTATTGTTTGTTTGTATTTTGAGACAGAGTCTTGCTCTGTCACCCAGGCTGGAGTGCAGTGGCACAATCTCAGCTCACTGCAACCTCCACCTCCCAGGTTCAAGTGATTCCCCTGGCTCAGCCTCCTGAGTAGCTGGGATTACAGGCATGAGCCACTGTACCTGGCCTGTCTTCAGATAATTCTTTGTTCATTTTTTTGTTGGAGGGTATTTTTATTGGTTTATAGTATAGCATACACATTTTTAGTGTAGTGTTTTAGGATATTAACAATTCGGCATATTTGTGGTACATATTCTTCCAGCTAGTTGCTTTCCTTTAAATATATTTTATGATCTTTAAAAACATACATTAAATGTGTGTGTGTGTGTGTCTGTGTGTGAGATTTATTCCATTCCATGGATTTTATGCTTAGAAAAATTTTTGGTCATTTATTCTACATACTCATCTATTTTTTCAAATTTATTTTGGTGTGTTTTCAATTTCTCACTATTATAAATAATGTTTTAAAAATCCTAGCTGGGTGCAGTGGCTCACACCTGTAATCCCAGCACTTCAGGAGGTCGAGGCAGGCAGATTGCTTGAGCTCAGGAGTTCAAGACCAGCCTGGGCAACATAGCGTGACCTCATCTCTACAAAAGAAAAATAATTTTTTAAAATAAATAAAACATTTTAAAAAATCCTTGTATTCAACTATAATTATTGCTTTAGGATGAATTCTTGAAAGCAAAATATCAGACAGAGTACACAATATTCTAAGGCGTTTGATATGTATTTCTGAATTGTTCTCCAGAATTGAGTTAACAAATTACAACCCCCTCCCTGCCAGCATTATACAAGGTTACCTGCTTTCTACTTCCCAGCCCAGGGAGTATTAAAAGTCTTTGCCAACATGGAGGTTGAAATATAATTTTAGGCCAGGCACAGTGGCTCACGCCTGTAATCCTAGCACTTTGGGAGGCCGAGGTGGGTGGATCACCTGAGGTCAGGAGTTTGAGACCAGCCTGGCCAACACGGTGAAGCCCTGCCTTCACTAAAAATACAAAAATCAGCTGGGCATGGTGGCGTGCACCAGAGAATGAGTCAAGAGAATCGCTTGAACCCAGGAGGCAGAGGTTGCAGTGAGCAGAGATGGCGCCGCTTCACTCAAGCCTGGGTGACAGAGGGAGACTCTGTCCCCCCTCAAAAAAAAAATTAATAAACTTATGAAAAAATTTGCTCTCACTAGAAATCAAAGAAATACAAATCAGTAGAAGAATAAAATACTATTTCTTTCTTTCTTTCTTTCTTTTTTGAGATGGAGTCCTCTGTCGCCTAGGCTGGAGTATAGAGGTGCAATCTCTGCTCACTGCAACCTCCGCTCCCCAGATTCAAGCGATTCTCCTGCCTCATTCTCCCGAGTAGCTGGGACTACAGGCACATGCCACCAGACCCAGCTAATTTTGTATTTTTAGTAGAGGCAGGGCTTCACCATGTTGGCCAGGCTGGTCTCAAACTCCTGACCTCAGATGATCCACCTGCCTCGGCCTCCCAAAGTGCTGGGATTACGGGCGTAAGCCACCATGCCTGGCCTCATTTTTGTTTTTCTTTAAAGTGCTTGCTCATATTATCTTCTCTATTTTCCTATTGGGATGTTTAATTTACTAAATTCTCTCACAATTTCATTTCTGTGAATTTTTCTTAGATTATTCTTTTTGCTTTTGGTTGCTGATGTTGTGAAGTTTTGTAACGTTAATGATAAAGCTGGGGTCAAAAATAGGCCTGCTGTTCATAGTCAATAATAACGAAGGTACCCCCTGTTGAGCACGTACAGTATCCCAGGTACTTCTCAGACACCTCTCATCTATACAGCTTCTAATTTTCACAACCACCTTTTTATCCTCATGTTACAGATGAGGAAACTGCGGCACATAGAGGTTAAGTATCTTGCCTCAAGTCACACAGCTAGTAAGTGGCAGAGCTTTTTATTATTTTGAATCCTCATAACAGCTGGTACGAAATTATTTTCTTTTTCCTTCTTTTTTCTTTCTTTTTTCTTTTTTGATGGAATCTCACTCTGTCACCAGGCTGGAGTGCAGTGGTGCCATCTCTGCTCACTGCAACCTCCACCTCCTGGGTTCAAGTGATTCTCGTGCCTCAGCCTCCCGAGTAGCTGGGATTACAGGCACGTGCCACCACATCCAGCTAATTTTTTTGTATTTTTAGTAGAGATGGGGTTTCACCATGTTGGCCAGGATGGTCTGGATCTCTTGACCTTGTGATCTGCCTGCCTCGGCCTCCCAAAGTGCTTGTATTATAGGCGTGAGCCACCATGCCCAGCCACAAGATTATTTTCTCTGCAATCCCAGCATCAGTGTTCCATTCCTTCTAAGTTGACTTGCAGAAGCACCTTGTCCAACATGTTATCTCCAACATTGAGTCAGTTGGAAATGGCAGAGAGCAGGTGAGTCAGACAGAAGGCAAGAATCATCTCCCACCTTTCCACAGAGTCAAGGTTGGCTAGGGAGACAGTACTCCCAGGCCTCCCGGAGGCTGTGGGGTTGAATCTCCCACCAGTGAGGAGAGCAGGTTTGTGACCATGTGTTCCCAGTATCAAGAAGCTATGGAGTAGCTGCCCAGCAGAGTACTCTGAGGTCATGGAATAGGTCATAAGATGAAGCCAACAGCTAGATAGCATCAGTGCCAGAGACTAGGCCAGGTGAGCCAACAGAGAGGCAGTCACTGGTTTCCTGAGTCATGGCCTTCAGGAGGGGTCAGTAGAGTACCCAAACAGAACAAACAGGACATCCCCAAGTGTGCCTCAGGGTATACAAGTACCAGACACATAGGAATCAGATCAGACCCACCAGATCTTGTTGGGGATTAGCAAAGCGTGCACGAGGAAGAGTGCAAACCTGAGGTCCCTATTGCGTGACACCATAAAAGCATGACCAGAAGAGGTTCAGGAATCAGTGAGAACTTCCAGAACAGAAGAGGGTGGGCTGGCAACGATGGGTGACCCATCTATTTCTCAGTAAGAGACAAAACCAGGAGGAAACTGTATTACTGGTGCAAAACTGAATTTGTCTGGTGATTTGCAAATCTGGGCTGCTTCCTGTTCAGGATCCAGTTATGTAAATCATATATTTCAGTTAGTAGGGCCCCAACCTGTGAATCCAGGGAAGTTGCCACTTAAATCAATGGCCCTAGCAAGGGCCTCTTGTGTCTATTTGGATGAAGATTTCAGGTATGTGGCACCTAAAGGCTTCTTAAACTCAGGAATTAATTGGAAGGAACCAAACTGACACCATTAGTGAAGAGGTTTAGTCATGTGAAGAAATTTCTATATCTTTTTCTAAAATAAGCATTTTAAAATTATGTTGTTCACTGGGATTTTTACAAAATCATTTATCTTTGGATTAAGAAACCTGTGATACTATTCTGCCCCATTCTGCTCATTAACTCATTACAAATAATAATTGTAAGCCTCCAGAGTGGAGACTCTGAAGACTCAAAGTCAGGAGCAGATCCAAACAATCTCCCTCCTTACCCAGAATCACAAGGACCTGTCGTAGACAAGAAGTTCCCTTGTGCTTGTCCTACTCTCCTTGGAAAAGAATCCTCTCTTGTTCCATTTTCTGGTGCCTTCTGGAGCACCCCAGCTTTGATGGGGAGCTGGTGGGTCTCTCTTCACAGATGTCCTACTCCCTCCTTTCTCGTCATTTGGGAGTGGTGACAGAGAGCAGGGCTGAGAGGTTATTGGAGAGAGGAGGGACTCTGTGGCCTGACAAGGAGGGGAAAAGGAGATACTCATCTGTCTTGGCACTTGTTGGAGATTGTCCATTGCACAGATTGCACAAGAAACGCTGTGGACAAGAAGATAGAATCTCAGCTCTGGTCTGAACTCTGTCTTTTCTAGTTAACCTGGATCTAGAGTCTGTTCAGAGTATAAATTTATTCTGGTGATGAATACAGAATACAATGATTAACTCCTTGACTCCTTAAAGAAATGATTCTTTCATTTTTATTTATTTATTTATTTTTTGATACAGAGTTTCACTCTTGTTGTCCAGGCTGGAGTGCGATGGCACGATCTTGGCTCACTGCAACCTCTGCCTCCTGGGTCAAGCGATTCTCACGCCTCAGCCTCCGGAGTAGCTGGGATTACAGGCGTGCACCACCAAGCCCGGCTAATTTTGTATTTTTAGTAGAGATGGGGTTTTACCATTTGGTCAGGCTCGTCTCGAACTCCTAACCTCAGGTGATCCACCCACCTTGGCCTCTCAAATTGCTGGGAGTACAGGGGTGAGCCACCGCGCTCAGCCTATTTTAATTTTTTTTAATAGAGACATGGCTTTACCATGTTGGCCAGGCTGGTCTCGAACTCTTGGCCTCAAGTGATCTACCCACCTCGGCCTCCCAAAGTGCTGGAATTACAGGTGTGAGCCACCGTACCCAGCCAGATTCTTAAGCTTCTTTGGGTTATGCACATCCCTGCAAATCTGAGGCCCTCTCTCCCCAAGACTGCACACACCCGCACATCCATGAATTTTTTTTTCTTTTTGTAAAGTGAAAGCAAGTTTATTAAGAAAGTAAAGAAACAAAAGAATAGTTACTCCATAGGCAGAGCAGCTCCATGAAATTTTTCATACAATTTCAGGGGGTTGATATTATAAATAATGTTTAAAATAAATAGTGTTGATAAGGTGCCAAAGTCCATCTGTGGACCCAGGATAAGATGCCCTCCAAGCTTTAATGATATTAGGAACAGGGTGGAGTTCAACCTTCTCAGCACAGCATACAAGGCCTTTCGTGATCTGGCCCTCACCCTCTGTCCAGCTTCTCCTAATGCTTGCCACATGTAACCTCTCTAGCAGCTCAGAGTTCTTTTTCAGTTCTGCATTTTCATGCATTTTAATCTCTCTGCCTATAATGTTCTCCTCCTTGATTGCTCGGAAAAGAACTCCACTCTGTCAAGGCAGAGTTCGTCACTTCTTTCTCTTCTTCCTTCTTTGTTGTTTCCCTTGCTCATTTTAAAATATTTTAATTTAAAAAGTTTTTCTATTTTTTTTTACTTTTAAAGACAGGATCTTGCTCTGTCATCCAAGCTGGAGTGCAGTGGCATGATCATAGCTCACTGCAACCTTGAACTCCCAGGCTCAAGCAATCCTCCCACCTTAGCTAGGACTACAGCAGCAAGCCACCATTCTCTGCTAATTTTTTAAAAAGTTTGTAGAGACAATGCCTCGCTATGTTGCCCAGGCTGGTCTCAAACTCCTGGCCTCAAGCGATCCTCCCTCCTTGGCCTCCTAAAGCTCTAAGATTACAGGTGTGAGCCACCACACGCGGCGCCTCCTCCTCATTTTTGATGGGAAAGGATTATTTTAGCATGATGTGTAATGATCTCGACCACAATTGATAGATATTAACAACAATGAAATTTTTATGTCTGGGTACTCCCATCTGAAGAATCTGAAAGTTCTAAGACTACGTTTGCAGATGGAGTCAGGCATGACGTTTTCCATGGTCCTGACCACCATGGACTCTATGGCAGACATTGTCCGGGGTTGCCCACAGCCATGTCCAGCACCCATCTCTCTTGCTGCCTCCTGCCATAAGGGCTTTCCTGGTGTCCTTTGCAGTTAGAGGCTGAGCCATGCAACCTAGTTTTGGCCAAGGAGTCTTAAGGGAAAGACTGCTGTGAGCTTCTCGGAAAACTTTTGTTTTCCTGATAAAAGAAACAGCTAAGATTGGGGACATTCCTTTTCTCTTCTTCCTTCATTGGAAGATGATGCAATGTTTAGAGCTGTGGTGACCATCTTGTGACCATGAGGTGATTTACATGAGCAGCAGTTCTCATACTTGAATGTGCACCAGAATAGTCACCCAGAGGGCTTCTTTATTTTTTTGAGACAGAGTTTTGCTCTTGTTGCCCAGGCTGGAGTGCAATGGCATGATCTCAGCTCACAGCAACCTCCGCCTCCCGGGTTCAAGTGATTCTCCTGCCTCAGCCTCCTGAGTAGCTGGGACTACAGGCATTTGCCACCATGCCCGGCTAATTTTTTGTATTTTTAGTAGAGATGGGTTTTCACCATGTTGGCCAGGCTGGTCTCGAGTCCCTAATCTCAAGTGACCCACCCTCCTTGGCCTCCCAAAGTGCTGGGATTACAGGTCACTGCACATGGCCCAGAAGGCTTCTTAAAAGAGACTGCTGAGCCCTATCCTCAGAAGTTCTGATTTATACACCTAGAGTGGGCTGAGAATTTGCATTTCTCTCTTTCTTTCTTTTTTTTTTAACAGACAAGTATCTTGCTATGTTGGCCAGGGTGGTCTTGAACATCTGACCTCAAGCAATCCTCCTGCCTCAGCCTCCCAGAGTGCTGGGATTACAGGTGTGAGCCATCGTGCCTGGCCAGAATGTGCATTTCTAACAAGTTGCCAGGTGACACTGATGCTGCTTGTCTGGGGACCACACTTTGAGAACCATTAAACATCAGGATAAAAATACAATAGGTTGAGGATGGCAAAGCAGAATGATAAAGCCTGGGTGTTGATGGCCTTGTCCAGAAGCTGAATCAATGTAAACCACTCCCTTGCCTCTGGATTTCTTGTTCAGTGATAAAATAAACCACTCTTTAAGCTACTGTTAGTTGGGTTTCTCTTGATTCTCATTCAAAGGCCTTCTGAACTTACAGAGAGCTGGACTCTGTAGGAAGGGCACAAGCAGAGAAAAATCCAGAGGGATGCTCATCCAAGGGTGACTTCAAATGGAATAAAGACTGCCTCAACAGGAAATGTCTCAAATTATGTCCTAGAGTCCATGGGTGTTGATAATAGTAAGATTGTGAGTTTTTGTTTGTTTGTTTGTTTTGTTTTGCTTGTGAGATGGAGTCTCGCTCTGTCGCCCAGGCTGGAGTGCAGTGGCGTGATCCCGGCTCACTGATCTCCGCCTCCCGGGTTCAAGTGATTCTCCTGCCTCAGTCTCCCGAGTAGCTGGGACTACAGGCGCCCACCACCACACCCAGCTAATTTTTGTATTTTTAGTAGAGATGGGGTTTCACCATATTGGCCAGGCTGGTCTCAAATTCCTGACCTTGGGATCTGCCTGCCTCGATCTCCCAAAGTGCTGGGATTACAGGCGTGAGCCACCGTGCCCAGCCAAGTTTTTTAATATAAGGTTAGTTAATTTTTTTTAAATGAGAATTGTTTTGGATTTTATTAGCTTTAGTAGTATAACTTGTGACCAACTAGTCTGGCATATCAGAGCAGTGAAATGAACCAAAACATTGAATTTTTTTTTTTTTTTTTTTTTTTTTTTGAGACAGAGTCTCACTCTGTCACCCAGGCTGGAGTACAGTGGCGTGATCTCGGCCCTTAGCTCACTCCAACCTCCACCTCCCGGGTTCAAGTGATTCTCCTGCCTCAGTCTCCTGAGTAGCTGGGATTATAGGCACCCACGACCAAACCCAGCTAACTTTTGTATTTTTAGTAGAGAGGGGGTTTCACCATGTTTGTCAGGCTGGTCTCAAACTCCTGGCCTCAAGTCATCTGCCCGCCTCACCCTCCCAATGTTCTGCCAGCCTCACCCTCCCAAAGTGAGGCCTGAGGTGCACCTGGCCTCATTGAAGGTTTTACAGATCACCCTTATGCTGATACTGATAAAGAATAATTGTGGTTTTTGCCATTAAAATTAATGGCCATTAATAGAAACTGACCAGAGTTCTATTCTTGCTTTGCCACCTTCAGCACTCTTCCGGCCTCTACTCAGGTTATGATAGTGGTGCTTTTGCCTCTGACTAGTTTTCAAGGATAATGATGAGTATCAGTGCCTGTTTACTAAGAATTTTTGTTTTGGTCTCTTTTTTGCTTATTCCTCGTTATCACTATACTATTATACTTTCAATATGTATTTATAATTGCTTATTTTTAATTTTTAATTTTTGTGTGTACATAGTAGGTGTATGTACTTATGGGGTACATGAGATATTTTGATACAGACATACAATGCATAATAATCACATCAGGGTAAATAGGGTGTCTCAAGCATTTATTCTTCGTGTTACAAACAATTCAATTATACTCTTTAAGCTATTTTAAAATATACAATAAATTATTTTTGACTGTAGTCACCCTGTTGTGCTATCTAATACTAGATTTTTTTTTGAGACGGAGTCTCACTTTGTTGCCCAGGCTGGAGTGCAGTGGCACCGGTCAGGGCTCACTTCAGCCTTGACCTCCCAGGCTCAAGCAATCCTCCCTTCTCAGCCCCTCAAGTAGCTGGAACTACAAGCATGTGCTAATTTTTAAATTTTTTGTAGAGACGAGGTCTCACTATGTTGCCAAGGTTGCTGTGGAACTCCTGGGCTCAAACGACCCACCTGCCTCAGCCCCCCCAAAATGCTGGGATTATAGGTGTGAGCCACTGCACCCAGCAAATTCTAGATCTTATTCATTCTATCTAACTATATTTTTGTACCCGTTAACCATTCCCACTTTCCCCCACCCCCACTAACCTTCCCTGTCTCTGGTAACCATTATTCTTCTCTCTGTCTCCATGAGTTCAGTTGTTTTAATTTTTAGCTCCCACAAATGAGTGAGAACATGTGAAGTTTGTCTTTCTGTGCCTGGCTCATTTCACTAACATAATGACCTCCAGTTCCATTCTTGTTGCAAACTAGAGGATCTCATTCTTTCTTATGGCTGAATAGTACTCCATTGTATGTACGTACCACATTTTCTTTATCCATTTGTCTGTTGACAGACACTTAGGTTGCTTCTAAGTCCTGGCTATAGTGAACAGTGCTGCAATAAACAGGACAGTGCAGATATCCCCTCGATATACTGATTTCCTTTCTTTTGGATATACACCTTGCAATGGGATTGCTGGATCATATGGTTGTTCTATTTTTAGTTTTTTGTGGGTTTTTTGTTTTTTTTTGTTTTTTTTTTTTTGAGACCAAGTCTCGCTCTGTCGCCTAGGCTGGAGTGCAGTGGCGTGATCTCAGCTTACTGCAAGCTCTGCCTCCCGGGTCCACACCATTCTCCTGCCTCAGCCTCCTGAGTAGCTGGGACTACAGGCACCTGCCACCATGCCCAGCTAATTTTTTGTATTTTTGGTAGAGACGGGGTTTCACTGTGTCAACCAGGATGGTTTCGATCTCCTAACTTTGTGAGCCGCCCGCCTTGGCCTCCCAAAGTGCTGGGATTACAGGCGTGAGCCACCGTGCTGGACCCCTATTTTTAGTTTTTTGAGGAACCTCCAAACTGTTCTCCATAGTGGTTGTCTTAATTTACATTCCCAACAACAGTGTACGAGGGTTCCCTTTTCTTCACATCCTCTCTAGTGTTCGTTATTGCCTGTCTTTTGGATAAAAGCCATTTTAACTGGGGTGAGATAATATCTCATTTTAGTTTTGATTTGCATTTCTCTTATGATCAGTGATGTTGAGCAACTTTTCATATACCTATTTGACCTTTGTGTGTCTTCTTTGGAGAAATGTCTGTTCAGATTTTTTGCCCATTTTTAAATCAGATTATTAGATTTTTTTCCTATTGAGTTATTTGAGCTCCTTATATATTCTGTTTATTAAGCCCTTGTCAGATGAATGGTTTGCACATTTTTTTCCCCATTCTGTGGGTTGTCTCTTCATTTTGTTGATTATTTCCTTTGGATTGTTGAGTATTTCCAATGGACCCCATTGTCCATTTTTGCTTTGGTTTCCTGTGCTTGTGAGGTATTTCTTGAGAAATTTTGGATCACCTGAGGTCAGGAGTTCGAGACCAGCCTGGACAACATGGTGAAACCCCATCTCTACTTAAAATACAAATATTAGCCAGGCATGGTGACGTGTGCCTGTAGTCCTAGCTACTCAGGAGGCTGAGGCAGGAGAATTCCTTGAACCTGGGAGGCAGAAGTTGCAGTAAGCTGAGATCACACCACTGCACTCCAGCCTGGGCCACAGAGCGAGATTCTGTCTCAAAAACAAACAACAACCACAAAAAAAAAAAAAGAAGGAAATCTTTGCCCTGTCCAATGTCCCAGAGAGTTTCCTCAGTGTTTTCTTTTAGTAGTTTCACAGTTTGAAGTCTTAGATTTAAGTCTTAGATCAAATTTTGGTTTGATTTTCGTATATGGTGAGAAGGGTCTAGTTTCATTCTTCTACATATAGGTATGCAGTTTCCCTAGCACCATTTATTGAAGAGACTGTTTTTTCCCCAGTCAATATTCTTTGCATCTTTGCTCAAAAAGAATTCACTGTAGGTGTATGGATTTGTTTCAGGGTTTTTCATTTTGCTCCATTTGTCTATATGTCCATTTTTGTGCCAATGCCATGCTGTTTTGGTTACTATAGCTTTGTAGTATAATTTAAAGTCAGGTAATGTGATTACTCCAGCTTTGTTCTTTTTGCTCAGGATAGCTTTAGCTATTCTGGGTCTTTTGTGGTTTCATATAAATTTTAGGATTGTTTTTCCTATTTCTTTGAGGAATGTTATTGGTTTTTTTTTTAATAGGGATTGCATTAAATCTGTACATTGCTTTAGGCAATATGAATATTTTAACAATATTTATTCTTCCAATCCATGAACATGGAATACGTTTCCATTTTTTGTGTCATCTTGATTTATTTCATCAATGTTTTATAGTTTTTATTGTTAAGATCTTTCACTTCTTGGGTTAATTCTTATGTATTTTACTTAATTTGTAGCTATTGTAAATGGGATTACTTTCTTGATTTCTTTTTCAGATTGTTTGCTGTTGACATACAGAAATGCTACTGATTTTTGGCCGGGTGCAGTGGCTCACACCTGTAATCCCAGCACTTTGGGAGGCCAAAGTAGGTGGATTACTTGAGGTCAGGAGATCGAGACCAGCCTGGCCAACGTGGTGAAACACTGTCTCTGCTAAAAATACAAAAAATTAGCTGGGCGTGGTGGTGGACATGTGTAATCCCAGCTACTTGGGAGGCTAAGGCAGGAGAATTGCTTGAACCCAGGGGGCGGAGGTTACAGTAAGCCAAGATCACACCATTGCACTCTAGACTGGGCGACAGAGCAAGATTCCATCTCAAAACAAAACAAAACAAAAAACACACACAAAGTGCTGGGATTACAGGCATGAGCCACTGCACCTGGTCTTGAATTTTTAAAGACTTATTTTATGGCCTAACATATACTCTATCCTTGAGAATGATCCATGTGCTGAGGAGAAGAATATGTATTCCGCAGCTGTTGTATGAAATGTTTTGTATCTATTAGGTTCATTCGATTTTTAGTGCAGATTAAGTCTGATGTTTCTTTGTTGGTTTTCTGTCTGGATGATCTGCCCAGTGCTGAAAGTAGGGTGTTGAAGTTTCTAGCTATTAATGTATTGGGGTCTATTTCTCTCTTTAGCTCTAATAATATTTCCTTTATATATTTGGGTGCTCCAGTGTTGGATGCAGATATATACATCCTCTTGCTGAATTGATTCCTTTATCATTATATAATGACCTTCTTTGTCTCTTTTTATGGTTTGTATCTTGAAATCTATTTTGTCTGTTATAAATATAGTTACTTCTGTTCTTTTTTGTTTTCATTGACATGGAATATCTTTTTCCATTCCTTTATTTTCAGTCTATGTGTATCTTTTTTTGTTTGTTTGTTTGAGACAAAACCTTGCTTTGTTGCCCAGGTTGGAGTGCAGTGGCACAATCTCAGCTCACTGCAACCTCTGTCTCCCAGGTTCCAGCAATTCTCCTGCCTCAGCCTCCCAAGTAGCTGGAACTACAAGTGCGTGCCACCATGCCCAGCTAATTTTTGTATTTTTAGTAGAGACGGGGTTTCCCCATGTTGTCCAGGCTGGTCTCGAACTCCTGACCTCAGGTGACCCACCCACCTTGGCCTCCCAAAGTGCTGGGATTACAGGCATGAGCCACCGCACCCCTATTTGTGTCTTTATAAGTAAGTTTCTTGTATGCAACAGATCACCAGGTCTTGTTTTTTCATCCATTCAGCCACTTTATGTCTTTTCATCAGAGAGTTTAGTCCATTTACATTCAGTGTTATTATTGGTAAGTAAGGACTTATGCCTGCCACTTTGTTATTTGTTTTCTGGTTGTTTTGTGGTTTTCTCTTCCTTCTTTCCTTTCTACTTGTCTTCCTTTTAGTGAAGGTGGTTTTCTCTGGTGGTACACTTTACTTTTTTGCTTTTTATTTTTTGTTTATCTGTTGTTTGTTTTTTATTTGAGGTTACCATAAGGACTGCAAATCATCTCTTATAACCCATTATTTTAAACTGATGACAACTTAACACTGATTGCGTAAACAGACAAGCAAAGAAAAAAACTAATAAAAACTCAACACTTTATCCCCCTCCTTTTTAACTTTTTGTCATTTCTGTCTATATCTCATTGGACTGTCTATGTCTTGAAAAGTTGTAATTATTATTTTTGATCAGTAAGCAATCACAGTATCTGGTTTTAACTTCGTATTACAGAAAGAGGCACTGAAGAGGGTACAAAAGACAGACTTTTTTCTTCTTCTTCTTTCTTTTTTTTTTTTTTTTTTTTGAGATGGAGTCTCGCTGTGTCACCTAGGCTGGAGTGCAGTGGTGCGATCTCGGCTCACTGCAAGCTCCGCCTCCCAGGTTCATGCCATTCTCCTGCCTCAGCCTCCTGAGTAGCTGGGACTACAGGTGCCCACCACCACACCCGGCTAATTTTTTGTAATTTTAGTAGAGACGGGGTTTCACCATGTTAGCCAGGATGGTCTCGATCTCCTGACCTCATGATCCGCCTGCCTCGGCCTCCCAAAGTGCTGGGATTACAGGCGTGAGCCACCGTGCCTGAGCTTTTTTTTTTTTTTTTGAGATAAAGTCTTACTCTGTTGCCCAGGCTGGAGTGCAGTGGCAAGATCTTGGCTCACTGCAACCTCTGCCTCTCAGGTTCAAGTGATTCTCCTGCCTCAGCCTCCTGAGTAGTGGGATTACAGGTACCCACTACCACGCCTGGCTAATTTTTGTATTTTTAGTAGACTCATGGTTTTGCCATGTTGGCCAGGCTGGTCTCAAACTTCTGACCTCAGGTCATCCACCTGCCTCGGCCTCCCAAAGTGCTGGGATTACAGGCATGAGCCACTGTGCCCAGCCCAAAGGACAGTCTTGAATTGCTGATGGCACTGCTCCCCCATTCCATAGCAACAGCTGTGTGGCCCAGAGAGAATCAGTGTGCTTGGGAGAAGGAGAGCACAGTGATTGTGGGACTTTGCATTAGAACTCAGTGCTGCCTTGTCACAGTGGAAAGCAACCCTGGGCAGAACTCAGCCAGTGCTCCACAGGGAGCATTTAGATCAATCCTCACCAGAGGGGAATTGTCCATACCAGTGGTTGGAAACAGTTCACATTAGTCTCACCACCCCAGGCCAAAGTGCTCTGGAGTTCTAAGTAAACTTCAAAGACAGTCAAGGCCATGAGGACTGCAATTCTGGGGACAGTCCTGATGCTATGCTGGGCTTGAAGCCAGTGGACATGGGGGGCACATGACTTAATAAGACACCAGCTGGGGCTGCCAAGGTAGTGCTTTTGCCATCCCTTCCCCAATTGCAGGCAGCATAGCTTGCAGTTCCAGGAGAAAGTCATTTCTTCCACAAGAGAGGAGAGAGAAAAGAGGGCTTTGCCTTGCAACTTGGATACCAGTTCAGCCACAGTAGGATAGGGCACCAGGCAGAGTCCTGAGGCCCCTATTCCAGGTCCTAGGTTTTGGATGACATTTCTAGACACACCCTGGGTCAGAAGGGAACCCACTGCCTTGAAGGGAAGAACCCAGTCCTGGCAGGATTCTTCACTTGTTCACTCAAGAGCACTTGGGCCCCGAATGATCAGCAGCAGTACCCAGGCAGGACTCACCATGGGCCTTGGGTGAGACTCAGAGATGTGCTGGCTTAATGTGTGACCCAGCACATTCCCAGCTGTGGTGGCTGCAGGAATGGACTCCTTCTGCTTGAAAAAGGAGAAGGAAGAGTAAAGGGAACTTTGTCCTGCAGCTTAGGTACCAGATTGACCAAGTGGGCCCTTGAGGTCCCCAATTCCAGACCTTAGCTCTTAGATGGCATTTCTGGACCTTCCCTGGGCCAGAGGGGAGCCCACTGCCCTGAAGGGAGAGTCCCACACCTCGCAGCATTCACCACAAGCTGACCAAAGAGCCCTTAGGCTTTGAATGAACATCAGCAGAAGCCAGGGAGTACTTTCCGTGGGCCTGGGGCACTGGTGGCCACAGGGAGAGACTCCTCTGCTTGAGCAAAGGGAAAGGAAGAGGGGGAAGGACTTTGTCTTGTGGCTTGGGTGCCAGCTCAGCTGCTATAGAATAGAGCAACAGGTTGATTCCTAAGGCTTCTGACTCCCGGCTTGATTGTGCTGTCATTTTTGACAAAGTGTGCATGGGAGATAAACTGGTTAGGATTCCAATAGGAAGCCTGTGGCCAATGCAAAAGAGGCCAGTGAGGAGCGTTTAAAGAAGGGACCATTTTGTAAAGTGTGGGAAGGGTGAAAGAAAATCAACCAAGGGCATGATGTATCTTGGGGCGAGCAAGTGCAGATGGCTGTTGCCCTCAAAGCCTGAAGAGGCCAGGGGAGAGAGTATGACCAGAATGTGATGTGAGCCCTCGCTGTAGGAGAGGGCCACCATCACAGTCAAGAGGGCCACTGTCGCAGACACTTTGACTGTCACTGGAGGGGGGCAGTAGCTCTGCCAGTAGGGAGAAAGCAGAGAAAATAAATAACTCGACTTCTCTCTCCTCTTGCCCTCTGATTTCCCACTGTTCTTCCCATTGGTTGAACACAACCAAAAGCTGGTGTGCAGAGAAGCCAGGTTGATGCCATCTATCAAAGTTGTCTCTTAGACCTCAGAGCCAGTTGAAGGGCTGAGAGAGGATGTGGAAGCCAATGGAACACAGCCAGCGCAGGAGGCAAGATTTTGAAATCTATGGTATGTGAAACTGTCTTTATTCAACACTGCCTCTAGAATAGTAGTTTGGGTGGTACAGAATTCTGGGTTGGCAACTCTTTTTTTTCTCAGAATTTTGGAGGCAAAGTTTCATTGTCTCCTGGCTTCCAGTGCTACTGTTGAGAACTCCATGCTATTCTCATTCCTGATTCTTTTTCATGTGATTTGTTTTTCCTCTCTGGAAACTTCAGATCTTGCCTTTTCCCCCAGTGTTCTGCCATTTCACATTGATATGCTCTGGTGTGGGGCAATTTCCTATCATTACACTACAGAGTTCTTGGAGTAGGCCTTGGTCAGTTATACTTGCTCTGTCCCTCGTAAGCACCAAATCCAGAAAATAGAGCATTCAACACAGGAAAAAGAGGAAGGCTATTCCCAGGATGATAGTGAAGGGGAATTCCAGGGTGATGATTACATAGCAGCAGGCCTCCTCCAGCTTGGAGCAGCAGGGCAGAAGCTTCAGGATGGACAGCGCCAAGAATAATGAAATTTATAGCTTAGCTGATGTGTTAGAACTCACTAAGAGGAAATTCTCTTCTGTCAGAGTATTAGGAGATGAATTAATCATAGGTTCATAGAAAATTAAGCACTCCAAAGTGGAGCAATTATTGACTCCAGGAAAAACAAAAAGTTTAACCAGGAAAAAAATGCAATCAATGAATACAAAGCACAACTGTCAATAATATTAAGTCATAATATTATAAATATTGAGCATTAATTTAACAAAATATTGTCATTTAACTATACTAGGAAAATGTGGGAAAGGAAGTCTGGGGGAGTATATATAAAGAAATCTAAATCTTCATCTTCCATAGCAGGAAGTGAATAAGCAAAGCTGGGAAGGTAAATCATGGTGATAGAAACATGTTATTTGGGCAATACATAAATTGTAGAAGAAACAACTATAAGAGTTGAAAATGGTTGTCTCAGAGGAGTAGGGACCAGTGTGGGCAGAGATGGGGCAGAGGATTACTGTTTGTCATTATAAGCCTTGTATAATTACTTGACTTTTAAAACTATGTGCATGTTTTTACTTTGATTTAAAACTTAAAAAAAAAAATCTAATATCTAGGAAGGCAGAGCAAGATGGCCAAAAATAGAAGACCTCACCAATTGTCCTCCCCACAGGAACACCAAATTGAACAACTATCCACACAAAAAATCACCTTCATATGAACCAAAAATACAGTGAGTAATCACAGTACCTGGTTTTAACTTCATATTACAGAAAGAGACACTGAAGAGAGTACAAAAGACAGTCTTGAATTGCTGATGCCACTAACCCCTTCCCCACCAGCAGCCGTGTGGATCAGAGAGAGAACTGGTGTGCTTGGGGGAAGGAGAGTGCAGTGATTGTGGGACTTTACATTAGAACTCAGTGCTGCCTTGTCAC
The DNA here is from genome assembly GCF_000001405.40 of Homo sapiens. NCBI lineage: Eukaryota > Metazoa > Chordata > Mammalia > Primates > Hominidae > Homo > Homo sapiens. The sequence continues at coordinate 40,363,848 of NC_000001.11, forward strand.
AGTGGAAAGCAACCCTGGGCAGAACTCAGCTGGTGCCCCCAGAGGCAGCATTTAGACCAGCTGTAGCCAGAGGGGAATCACGAAGCTCACTAAGCTTAGTCTCACCAAGCTCATTTGCATGTGACAAATAACACTGAGCTCATAGTAAAACAGGGAGCATAATTATCCAGCTTTCTAAATGAACAGGTCATTCTATGAGTGTTATCTGGTATAGGTAAAGTGACTGGCCAGTGAATCAGAAACTGATTAACATATGGCTTAAGAGATTTTGATCTCTTAGCTATAAGATACACTAATGAGAGTTTCCTGTGGCAATAGTCCAAAAATGTTCACCATACCTCTTTCTTGGTAGTAATCTGGGCATTTTATTACTGTGGCTTCTCTAGTATAGTGGTTTTTATTTTGTCCTTATTTATGTGAGTTGGGGTTTCAAAATACTCTGATTTAAAGAAAAAAAAGAGGGCAAGCAAGGTGGCTCACACCTGTAATCCCAGCACTTTGAGAGGCTGAGTGGAGAGGATTGTTTGAGGCCAGGAGTTTGAGACAGCCTGGGCAACATAGCCAGATCCTATTTCTACAAACAGAAAATAATTTATTAAAGAAAAATAAGATGGGCCAGGCACAGTGATTCATGCCTGTAATCCCAGCACTTTGGGAGGCCAAGGCAGGAGGATCGCTTGATTCCAGGAGCTCAGGACCAACCTGGGCAACATGGTGAAACCCTGTCTCTACAAAAAATACACAAAATTAGCTGGACATGGTGATGTACGCCTGTAGTCCCAGCTACTCAGGAGGCTGAGGTGGGAGGACTGCTTGAGCCTGGGAAGTCGAGGTTGCAGTGAGCTATGTTCGAGCCTCTGCACTCCAGCCTGGATGACAAAGTGAGACCCTGTCTCCAAAAAAAAAAAAAATGGCTCAAGGCTGTGGATATCCTCCACAGGGACATCAAGGTGCTGAAAAGCTCAATAAGAATAATAATCGGTCAAACAGCTGTCAAAAAGTATAATGTCTTTTTAGCCTCAGAGTCTCTGATCAAGCAGATCCCATGAATCCTTGGCCCAGGCCTAAATAAGGTGGGTAAGTTCCCTCCCCTGCTGACACACAACAAAAACATGGTGGCCAAAGTGGATGAGGTGAAGTCCACAACCCAGTTTCAGATGAAGAAGGTGCTATGTCTGGCTGTGGCTGTTGGCCATGTGAAGATGACAGACGATGAGCTTGTACATAACATTCACCTGGCTGTCAACTTCCTAGTGTCATTACTCAAGAAAAATTGCCAAGACATTCAAGCTTTATATACTGAGAGCACCGTGGGCAAGCCCACGTGCCTGTATTAAGCCACATTCTAGGCTCATGCCTGTAACCTCAGCACTTTGGGAGGCCAAGGTGTGAGGATCATTTTAGGCTATGAATTCAAGACCATCCTGAGCAACAAAGCAAGACTCCATCTCTATTTCAAATAATTTTTAAAAGGCACATTCTAATAAATTCTACTGCCACCAAAGCAAAACAAAACAAAATAAAAACAATAAAGAGAAATTATCTGGAAGCTGAGTATGAAATGTGGTATCAGGATTCTTCAATTCATTCCAATTTTCTGAAATCCATTAGATACAGTGCAACCAAACTATGCTCAGTGGCCACTGGGACAGATAGAAAATTCTATAACTGGATACATTCGGGGAGGAGCCAAGATGGCCGAATAGGAACAGCTCCGGTCTACAGCTCCCAGCGTGACCGACGCAGAAGACCGGTGATTTCTGCATTTCCATCTGAGACCTGCAGCTGAGGGTCCTGTCTGTTAGAAGGAAAACTAACAAACAGAAAGGACATCCACACCAAAAACCCATCTGTACATCACCATCATCACAGACCAAAAGTAGATAAAACCACAAAGATGGGGAAAAAACAGAACAGAAAAACTGGAAGCTCCAAAAATCAGAGCGCCTCTCCTCCTCCAAAGGAACGCAGCTCCTCACCAGCAACAGAACAAAGCTGGATGGAGAATGACTTTGACGAGCTGAGAGAAGAAGGCTTCAGACGATCAAATTACTCTGAGCTACGGGAGGACATTCAAACCAAAGGCAAAGAAGTTGAAAACTTTGAAAAAAATTTAGAAGAATGTATAACTAGAATAACCAATACAGAGAAGTGCTTAAAGGAGCTGATGGAGCTGAAAACCAAGGCTCGAGAACTACGTGAAGAATGCAGAAGCCTCAGGAGCCGATGCGATCAACTGGAAGAAAGGGTGTCAGCAATGGAAGATGAAATGAATGAAATGAAGCGAGAAGGGAAGTTTAGAGAAAGAAGAGTAAAAAGAAATGAGCAAAGCCTCCAAGAAATATGGGACTATGTGAAAAGACCAAATCTACATCTGATTGGTGTACCTGAAAGTGATGGGGAGAATGGAACCAAGTTGGAAAACACTCTGCAGGATATTATCCAGGAGAACTTCCCCAATTTAGCAAGGCAGGCCAACGTTCAGATTCAGGAAATACAGAGAACGCCACAAAGATACTCCTCGAGAAGAGCAACTCCAAGACACATAATTGTCAGATTCACCAAAGTTGAAATGAAGGAAAAAATGTTAAGGGCAGCCAGAGAGAAAGGTCGGGTTACCCTCAAAGGGAAGCCCATCAGACTAACAGCGGATCTCTCAGCAGAAACCCTACAAGCCAGAAGAGAGTGGGGGCCAATATTCAACATTCTTAAAGAAAAGAATTTTCAACCCAGAATTTCATATCCAGCCAAGCTAAGCTTCATAAGTGAAGGAGAAATAAAATACTTTACAGACAAGCAAATGCTGAGAGATTTTGTCACCACCAGACCTGCCCTAAAAGAGCTCCTGAAGGAAGCGCTAAACATGGAAAGGAACAACCCGTACCAGCCACTGCAAAATCATGCCAAAATGTAAAGACCATCGAGACTAGGAAGAAACTGCATCAACTAACGAGCAAAATCACCAGCTAACATCATAATGACAGGATCAAATTCACACATAACAATATTAACTTTAAATGTAAATGGACTAAATGCTCCAATTAAAAGACACAGACTGGCAAATTGGATAAAGAGTCAAGACCCATCAGTGTGCTGTATTCAGGAAACCCATCTCACGTGCAGAGACACACATAGGCTCAAAATAAAAGGATGGAGGAAGATCTACCAAGCAAATGGAAAACAAAAAAAGGCAGGGGTTGCAATCCTAGTCTCTGATAAAACAGACTTTAAACCAACAAAGATCAAAAGAGACAAAGAAGGCCATTACATAATGGTAAAGGGATCAATTCAACAAGAAGAGCTAACTATCCTAAATATATATGCACCCAATACAGGAGCACCCAGATTCATAAAGCAAGTCCTGAGTGACCTACAAAGAGACTTAGACTCCCACACAATAATAATGGGAGACTTTAACACCCCACTGTCAACATTAGACAGATCAACGAGACAGAAAGTCAACAAGGATACCCAGGAATTGAACTCAGCTCTGCACCAAGCGGACCTAATAGACATCTACAGAACTCTCCACCCCAAATCAACAGAATATACATTTTTTTCAGCACCACACCACACCTATTCCAAAATTGACCACATACTTGGAAGTAAAGCTCTCCTCAGCAAATGTAAAAGAACAGAAATTATAACAAACTATCTCTCAGACCACAGTGCAATCAAACTAGAACTCAGGATTAAGAATCTCACTCAAAGCCGCTCAACTACATGGAAACTGAACAACCTGCTCCTGAATGACTACTGGGTACATAACGAAATGAAGGCAGAAATAAAGATGTTCTTTGAAACCAACGAGAACAAAGACACAACATACCAGAATCTCTGGGATGCATTCAAAGCAGTGTGTAGAGGGAAATTTTTAGCACTAAATGCCCACAAGAGAAAGCAGGAAAGATCCAAAATTGACACCCTAACATCACAATTAAAAGAACTAGAAAGCAAGAGCAAACACATTCAAAAGCTAGCAGAAGGCAAGAAATAACTAAAATCAGAGCAGAACTGAAGAAAATAGAGACACAAAAAACCCTTCAAAAAATCAGTGAATCCAGGAGCTGGTTTTTTGAAAGGATCAACAAAATTGATAGACCGCTAGCAAGACTAATAAAGAAAAAAAGAGAGAAGAATCAAATAGACACAATAAAAAATGATAAAGGGGATAGCACCACCGATCCCACAGAAATACAAACTACCATCAGAGAATACTACAAACACCTCTACGCAAATAAACTAGAAAATCTAGAAGAAATGGATAAATTCCTCGACACATACACTCTCCCAAGACTAAACCAGGAAGAAGTTGAATCTCTTAATAGACCAATAACAGGAGCTGAAATTGTGGCAATAATCAATAGCTTACCAACCAAAAAGAGTCCAGGACTAGATGGATTCACAGCCGAATTCTACCAGAGGTACAAGGAGGAACTGGTACCATTCCTTCTGAAACTATTCCAATCAATAGAAAAAGAGGGAATCCTCCCTAACTCATTTTATGAGGCCAGCATCATTCTGATACCAAAGCCGGGCAGAGACACAACAAAAAAAGAGAATTTTAGACCAATATCCTTGATGAACATTGATGCAAAAATCCTCAATAAAATACTGGCAAACCGAATCCAGCAGCACATCAAAAAGCTTATCCACCATGATCAAGTGGGCTTCATCCCTGGGATGCAAGGCTGGTTCAATATACGCAAATCAATAAATGTAATCCAGCATATAAACAGAACCAAAGACAAAAACCACATGATTATCTCAATAGATGCAGAAAAAGCCTTTGACAAAATTCAACAACCCTTCATGCTAAAAACTCTCAATAAATTAGGTATTGATGGGACGTATTTCAAAATAATAAGAGCTATCTATGACAAACCCATAGCCAATATCATACTGAATGGGCAAAAACTGGAAGCATTCCCTTTGAAAACTGGCACAAGACAGGGATGCCCTCTCTCACCACTCCTATTCAACATAGTGTTGGAAGTTCTGGCCAGGGCAATTAGGCAGGAGAAGGAAATAAAGGGTATTCAATTAGGAAAAGAGGAAGTCAAATTGTCCCTGTTTGCAGATGACATGATTGTATATCTAGAAAACCCCATTGTCTCAGCCCAAAATCTCCTTAAGCTGATAAGCAACTTCAGCAAAGTCTCAGGATACAAAATCAATGTACAAAAATCACAAGCATTCTTATACACCAACAACAGACAAACAGAGAGCCAAATCATGAGTGAACTCCCATTCACAATTGCTTCAAAGAGAATAAAATACCTAGGAATCCAACTTACAAGGGATGTGAAGGACCTCTTCAAGGAGAACTACAAACCACTGCTCAAGGAAATAAAAGAGGATACAAACAAATGGAAGAACATTCCATGCTCATGGGTAGGAAGAATCAATATTGTGAAAATGGCCATACTGCCCAAGGTAATTTACAGATTCAATGCCATCCCCATCAAGCTACCAATGACTTTCTTCACAGAATTGGAAAAAACTACTTTAAAGTTCATATGGAACCAAAAAAGAGCCCACATCGCCAAGTCAATCCTAAGCCAAAAGAACAAAGCTGGAGGCATCACACTACCTGACTTCAAACTTTACTACAAGGCTACAATAACCAAAACAGCATGGTACTGGTACCAAAACAGAGATATAGATCAATGGAACAGAACAGAGCCCTCAGAAATAACGCCGCATACCTACAACTGTCTGATCTTTGACAAACCTGAGAAAAACAAGAAATGGGGAAAGGATTCCCTATTTAATAAATGGTGCTGGGAAAACTGGCTAGCCATATGTAGAAAGCTGAAACTGGATCCCTTCCTTACACCTTATACAAAAATCAATTCAAGATGGATTAAAGATTTAAACGTTAGACCTAAAACCATAAAAACCCTAGAAGAAAACCTAGGCATTACCATTCAGAACATAGGCATGGGCAAGGACTTCATGTCCAAAACACCAAAAGCAATGGCAACAAAAGACAAAATTGACAAATGGGATCTAATTAAACTAAAGAGCTTCTGCACAGCAAAAGAAACTACCATCAGAGTGAACAGGCAACCTACAAAATGGGAGAAAATTTTCGCAACCTACTCATCTGACAAAGGGCTAATATCCAGAATCTACAATGAACTCAACCAAATTTACAAGAAAAAAACAAACAACCCCATCAAAAAGTGGGCAAAGGACATGAACAGACACTTCTCAAAAGAAGACATTTATGCAGCCAAAAAACACATGAAAAAATGCTCATCATCACTGGCCATCAGAGAAATGCAAATCAAAACCACAATGAGATACCATCTCACACCAGTTAGAATGGCAATCATTAAAAAGTCAGGAAACAACAGGTGCTGGAGAGGATGTGGAGAAATAGGAACACTTTTACATTGTTGGTGGGACTGTAAACTAGTTCAACCATTGTGGAAGTCAGTGTGGCGATTCCTCAGGGATCTAGAACTAGAAATACCATTTGACCCAGCCATCCCATTACTGGGTATATACCCAAATGACTATAAATCATGCTGCTATAAAGACACATGCACACGTATGTTTATTGCGGCATTATTCACAATAGCAAAGACTTGGAACCAACCCAAATGTCCAACAATGATAGACTGGATTAAGAAAATGTGGCACATATACACCATGGAATACTATGCAGCCATAAAAAATGATGAGTTCATGTCCTTTGTAGGGACATGGATGAAATTGGAAATCATCATTCTTAGTAAACTATCACAAGAACAAAAAACCAAACACCGCATATTCTCACTCATAGGTGGGAATTGAACAATGAGATCACATGGACACAGGAAGGGGAATATCACACTCTGGGGACTGTGGTGGGGTAGGGGGAGGGGGGAGGGATAGCATTGGGAGATATACCTAATGCTAGATGACGAGTTAGTGGGTGCAGCGCACCAGCATGGCACATGTATACATATGTAACTAACCTGCACAATGTGCACATGTACCCTAAAACTTAAAGTATAATAAAAAAAAAAAAAAAAGAAAAGAAAATTCTATAACTGGCCAGGCGCGGTGGCTCATGCCAGTAATCCTAGTACTTTGGGAGGCTGAGGTGGGCGGGTCACGAGGTCAGGAGATTGAGACCATCCTGGCTAACAGGGTGAAACCCTGCCTCTATTAAAATACAAAAAATTAGCCAGGAGTGGTGGCACGTGCCTGTAGTCCTAGCTACTTGGGAGGCTGAGGCAGGAGAATTGCTTGAACCTGGGAGGCGGAGGTTGCAGTGAGCCGAGATCGCACCACTGCACTCCAGCCTGGCGACAGAGCGAGACTCGGTCTCAAAAAAAAAAATTTTATAACTAATGTGGAAACAGTTTTATGATAAGATAACATGTGCATGATGGAACAGAGTGAACATTTTTGCAAGACTAGTCAAAGCAAAATTCAAGACTTCAAAAAAAAAAATGTGTACTTGGGAGGAGCAGTTTGCTTTGTTTATATCCTCAGACCCTGGGCTATGCACTCACTTTACTCTGCTATTAGTAATGATAATAAAAAGAGCTAATACTTGATGTATCTGCTAGGATAGGCTAGCTTATACAGTGGTAAACAAACAAAACTCAATGGCAACACAATGCTTATTTCTTGCTTATGCTAAGTTATCCTCTATGGGCTGGCAGAGAGCTCTTGTTTATCAGCTACACAGAAATCCAGGCTAATAGAGCAACCAACATCTTCAGCATCAATAGTTGCCATGCCAGAGGGAAAGAGAAGCACAAGAGGCTCAAAGCAACAAATAAATGCTTCAGAGACAAAGTAATCCATCCTTTCTGCTCAAACTCATTGGTCTTTCCCAATCACTTGAAGGCCAGGAAATAAAATCCTACCATGTGCTCAGAAGGCAAAACGCCAGAAATATTTAGTGAAGAGCGCTAATTGTCTATCATTCACTATCTACCAAGGGCTGTTCTAATTATATTACAGGCATTATCTCAGCTAAGCCTCATAATAATCTTGTGAAATAGGTACTATTAATGTTATCATCATTCCCATTCTATAGATGAAATAACTGAGGCACCAAGAGGCTAAGTAACCTGCTCAAAGTCACACAGATAATAGGTGGTAAAAGCTGAAGATTTAAACTTAAGCATTCTTGCCCCAGAGTCTGTGTGCTTAACCACAAAGCCATGAGATCTCTCACTAGGTGGGAACAATTTGAGAAACACTGCCATAGGCAATGGAGAGCCACTAAAGGATTTTTTAAGCAGGAAGTGTGAGTCCATCAGAATTGGCATTTAAAAGCTCCCTCTAGAGAGCACGGTGAAGGATTAATTTAACCAGATTTAGACTAAGGCAGGAAGGCTATTTGCAGAGTGAGGAGATGAAGATGGGGAGGGCTTGAACTAAGGTACAATCACCACTCACCGCAATTAACTGGGTTTTGTTGTTGTTGTTGTTGTTTGAGACAGGGTAACGGGGTACATTGGGGGTTGGAGGGGTGGTTCTTACTGTGTTGCCCAGGCTGGATTCCAACTCCTGGGCTCAAGTGATGCTCTGGCTCTGGCATCCTGAGTAGCTAGGACTACAGGTATGTGCCACCACACCCAGTAACTAGTTAATCTTGACTGTCTATTTCAACTGAAAAATGGTTATGGTAATACCTACTTGGATGGGTTTTCTGAGGAAAAACACCCCAATGAACTTGTGTGTTTTTAAAAGTCAAGTCCCCTAGGCATGGCTAGAAGGGAAGAGGCTTAGCCAGAAAATTTAATTGTTGTGATTAATAAAGTAATAGAAATGTTTAGTTTTCCTCTGATGAGATGAAAGCTTTGAGGGGATCCTGGTCTTGGGAGAAAGTAAAGAAATGGAGGAGAGGGTTTCACCAGAGTTTAGATAACTCTTAGCATCTGCTTACTATCTTCCCTGATTAATTATTTCCATGGCAGCCAGAGTGACCTTTTAAAACCACAAATCGGATCATGCTGTTTCCCTCTCCCCTAGTACAGTGCCTGATACTTAGAAATTTCTCAGTAACATCGTGCTCAGTGAATGAATGAATGAATGAGTGAATGAAAACACAAGCCAGATGGCAGGTGGATCCCTAAGGAAAAGGACAGCCAATGAGAAATTATCTGTAGCAACGGTGGCTTTGGATGATGATGTTTAATAATCATTTTTAAGGAGTTGCCTGTTGTGTGCTATGCTTTAATCACTGTCCCCCACCCTTCCCAAATAACGTTCAGTAAAAGTCTGCCACAAAAAACTCGCTGTTTTGTGAGAATTTAAGAAATGGAAGAAGAAACAAACTGTCTGGGCACCAGGCCAAACAATATCCAAAAAGGCAGGAGTCACAGAGGAGAGCTAATGAGTATTAGTGGGAGCAGGTATTCCAAGTGAGAGGTGACCAGAGTCCTCTGAAAATGTGGGGAGGGGGTGACGTTCCTATATCCTGGGTTAGGGGCTTGGACTCTTATATTTGGCTGTTGGAAAAAACAAGCTGGAGGACTTTGGGGTATCAACAACCCTCAGGTTACATAAGGATGATCATAGGGTCGTTGTGAGGATTATGTTGGGATAGTTCATGCAAAGCGCTTAACACAGTGCCTAGCGCATAGTAAGAGCTCAGTAAATGTTAGTTGTTGTCTTCCTTCACTTTCTTCCATTCCCTCCACTCCCTTTCTACCAGGCTCCATTCATTCTCTTCCAAGGACACGCAGGGGGCGTGCCCACCCCTTCCCTCCGCCCCCACCCAAGGCCCGCCCCCCGCTTCTCCACGGATTGGTTCCCGAGAGGCGGAGCTGAAGGAAGAGCCCAGTGCGGCGCGGTGGGGGCGGGGCGCATGCGCGAGCTGGGCAGGGTGGAGGTGGGGAGGAAGAGCTGCCGGAAGTAGGCGGTGGAGGTGGTAGCGGAGCTGACGGCAGCTGCCAGGGAAACCGAGGCGCGGGACGCAAGGCCAGCAGACAGGCCGGCCAGAGGGTCATCTGCGTCCGGCACCCAGGAGGCTCGTGGTCCGCCTTTGCCTGGGCTGAGGGTCTCTGGCCCCGCAGCCTCTCTTGGAGGCGGGCCTGTCCCTAAGCCCGCCAAGGGGCGCCGCGCCGAGGGGCTGCGGAGTGGGGGACGGACGCCCCCGACCCGGGAAGGGGCGTCCGGCGGGGCCGGAGGAGAGGGCTCTCCCCGCTCAGGAGGTGCCCCTGGGCGGGGGACCGGGAGTCCTCAACCCCGGACTGAGGCAGGGGTCTCTGGGGGCGAGGAGGGCGCGTCGCCCTCTGCCCCCGCCGGCACCCTGGCCATGACAGGCAAGTCGGTGAAGGACGTGGATCGGTACCAGGCTGTCCTGGCCAACCTGCTGCTGGAGGAGGATAACAAGTTTTGTGCAGATTGCCAGTCTAAAGGTAGCGCATCCCACCTGGCGGGCCAGGGGTCCAGCCGCGCCGGGGTGGTGGGGGTGGGCTGCGTGAAGAGGCGGTTTCTGAAGCTTAGGCCGCCCAACTCGGCTTATAAGTGGTAACGCGTGCTGCGCTTGCAGTGAGCCTACTGGGCTTTCTGCAGCTGGGGGATTGGTATGGGTAGAGCTTGCGAGGGCGAGTCTGTGTGTGTCGGGGAGGGTGGAGGTGATGGTGCGGGTGGAAGTTGCCTGGCGTGTTCAGGTGAGAATGTCTGTATTTGAGGGCTCTGAATGAGTTCTGGGCCGGCTGTCCAGAGAGAGCTCCCAGCATGTCACTTGCAAAGCTGGGGATGAACTGCATTGCGTGCGTGCGTGCGTGCGTGTGTGTGTGTGTGTGTGTGTGTGTGTGAGAGAGAGAGAGAGAGAATGACGAGGAGGAGGAGGAGGGAAGTGAGATGGCGGAAAGGAAAACTGCTTAAATGATTTTTAAAGGTGGTGATTTTTGCTTCCTGCTATTTGGTTAGCAACTCCTGTCATTTTGCAGCCTTGCTAAGATCTGACAAGAGTGCTTAGGTGACTTTATTCTTCTGGATGTGTGCAGTGGGAAACTGCCTTATGCAGTGACACAGTGCGGATTTCTAGGCAGTGTAGCCCTGGCTTGTAGAGTGCGTTGGAGGCCTATGTATGAGTGGTGGCAGAAACTAGCCGATTATGCCTGTAGTGCAGGATCCGTTTAATCAGTGGAGAGAGAAAGATGAATTCGATGAATTCATTGCTTCCATGGCGATTACACTTCTAAAGGTGAAATATGATCATTGTAAATTGGCAGAACCATTTAGTCTTTGTTTTCTGTGCCCTAGAAGATTCATGATTTGATACAATTAAAAGTCAGTACAATAGGAAATCTTGGTTATTAGTGAAATGTTGGCACTTGACATTTATACAAGCTTCTATGAATCTTTTTTTCCTGTATTTTCTAATTCTTTTGGCATATAATTGGAGGATTGGGAAAATTATTTTCCCTTTGGTTGGGTCGAAATGGATAGTTATATTTTGGGGGCGACAATTTACTTTTGTTCATAATGCAGTGGATTTGCCATGGTTGTTTGCCGTACAGCGTAGTGGGCATATACTATAAAACAAAGATTCAGTTATATTCGTATTTATCTATTTTGAGAAAGGAAGGACATATTTAATTGATGCTTTCACTTAATTACCTTTTATTTTTGAAGAATAAGGTTATAAAAGGAGAACAGGGGAGGGATACATAGACACCTAGTAATGTATTTTAGTGACCTCTACCAACAGATAAATGGAATGTGCCATTAGGAAAACAAATTCCTAGACTTCTTTCCTGAATTTTTGCATTAGCAATAATTCATTTTAAAAAGTATTTTAGAATCAATTTATGTTGAGTAGGTTAGCTTCTTGATTCTTGTTACATCTTCTGTTAGGTCTATTGGAAGATTTGGTTTATTTTAGGAGTGTATCTTGGCTTTATTCAAATTCCCTTATGTCCTCATTTGACAGATCTTGAGTCACAGTGAAGCAACCCACTGGAGTGAGCATTGCTGCATTTGGAGAGTCAGATGCCATTTTGGTGACTAGAACCCCCCCCCCCATTTCTCATATTACCCTTATACTTACTCATATTCCAATAAAATACAGCACATGGAAGAGAGAGGCTGATTCACTACTTCTTCCTCCAAATTTCCATTGCTTTTTATTTATTTTATTTTTTATTTTTATTTTTTGAGACAGTTTCGCTTTGTCGCCCAGGCTGGAGTGCAATGGTGCAATCTCGGCTCACTGCAACCTCTGCCTCCCGGGTTCAAGTGATTCTCCTGCCTCAGCCTCCCGAGTACCTGGGATTACAGGCGCCCGCCACCATGCCCAGCTGATTTTTGTATTTTTAGTAGAGACAGGGTTTCACCATGTTGGCCAGGCTGGTCTTGAACTCCTGACCTCAGGTGATCCACCCGCCTCAGCCTTCCAAAGTGCTGGGATTACAGGTGTGAGCCACCATGCCCAGCCCGAAATTTCCGTTGCTTTTTATTAATAAGCTTACTGGGGATCAGGTTATGAAATATCAGTTAATTCTTAATGAGAACTAGTAACTGCTGGCTTGTAAACTTTATTAACTACTGTTGATGGTAGAATCCTGGATCCTCAATTTCTTTTCAGAAGTTCGTTTTACATTTTACCAGGTGGCTTCAGGGACTTGGTCATTGTATTAAAAATGAGATGACAATGGGTCAGTCATCTTTAGATTATGACAAATAGGCATTTGTTGAGGCCTCTGTTTATCCAATTTATGAATTACCTATCCCATTCCACCCCTCCAAGCCCTCTCACTCTTTTTCCCCTGCTGTTTTCTAATTTTGGTTGTCATAATGATCATTTGGACAACTATCAGATTGTTGAAGGAAAAGACGTTTGGATCAATAAATTGTTACCTGTTAGCGCTGATAAAAAATACATTTCATTGGAGGAGGAATTTAAAAAGTGTTGGCTAAAATGAGAATTGGGTTTCAGTTTATTTACCTGTATTCCTGTGTCCTTTCCTAAAAAATTGGAAGTTAACTGTACAGGATATGGTGAGTGATTGCTCATCTATTAATATCCAGTTAGATGATGTGGCATAGACTATCGACCTATGAGCAGGTATTTTTGCAATGTTCCAAAATATAACTCTTTGGCAATGACTTTTATTTTTAAATTCTTATACTTATTTAGGAACATTTATTAGTTGACTTTCAAGGTATGTGATTTAAACTTCGGAATAGAGGCTGGGTGTGGTGGCTCAAACCTGTAATCCCAGCACTTTGAGAGGCCAAGGAGGGAGGATCACTTGAGTCCAGGAGTTCAAGACCAGCCTGGGCAACATAGTGTGACCTTGTCTCTACAAATAGTTAAAAAATTAGCTGGGTGTGGTGTTGTGCATCTGTGGTCCCAGCTACTCAGGAGGCTGAGGCAGGAGGATCACCTGGGCAACTGAGCCCAGGAGGTCGAAGCTGCAGTGGGCCATGATTGAGTGCCACTGCGCTGCAGCCTGGGTCAGAGAGCAAGACCCTGTCTCTAAAACAAAACACAACAAATAAACATCAGAATAGAGAACAAGCTTGTGTTCTTTTTACTTCGTACAAGTTTTGTTGATCCTGGGGTTTTTAACTGTCCTGGGCACGAGTCTTACCAGTTTCTGGGACCACTAAACCATTCCAGTAATTTCAGTGTGGGAAAGGAAACTGCTTTGGGGCTGCCTATTTAAGAAATGCTATGATTCTCTCTAGGCTCAAGATGTGATTTCTTCATTACCCAAAGCCCTGGGGTTAATGTGACTTTTAGGGTGAACTTTTGGACTAACTTAGGTAGTGATAGAACAGAGGACAAAACTACTGAAAATTCCAGATATGTCAATGGTAACTCTGGCTGATTGAGGCTGGGTTCCATTTTTGGGTATGGGTCATACTTCCTTTGTACTTGGGGTCATACTGGTCCAAGTTTTAACTTCTAGCTCAGCAGTTCCAGATTTTATCAGTGTGTCAGGAATAATTGCTAAGCCACCCCGTCAGAGACTGTGTTTTAAACTGGACACTATCTTATTTACCATGAAAGGATCTACAGTTGTCCTTTGGTATCCAGGGGGGATTGGTTCCAGGAACCTTCTGGGGTACTAAAATCCACAGATGCTCAAGTCCCTGATATAAATGTTGTAGTGCTTGCATATAACTTATACACATCCTCCCTTATACTTTAAATCATCTCTAGATTACTTATAATATCTAATACAATGTTAATGCTATGCCAGTAGTTGTTACTCTGTATAATTTAGGGAATAATGAGAAGGAAAAAAGTCTGCACATGTTCTGTACAGATGCAACCATTCATTTTTTACTGAATATTTTCTTTCCTTTTTATTTTTTTTAGAGACGGGGTCTTGCTCTGCCACCCAGGCTGGAGTGCAGTGGTGCGATTATAGCTCACTGTAGCCTCAGACTCCTGGGCTCAAGCTGTCCTCCCACTTAGCCTCCCAAAGTGCTGGGACTACAGGCGTGTGCCACGGGGCCCAGCCATTTTTTCGAATATTTTCAATCTGCAGTTGTTTGAATCCACAGATGCAGAACCCATTTCTAATGGAGGGCTGACTATACCTTTCTGATGACCTAAATATTTGTGTCCACTATTGGGACACTCCTTTCTTAGTGTCAAGGTTTGTGAGAAATTGAGGGCTGTTTGATGGGCAAAGATTTATTTATTTATTTACTGGCTTATCTACAATTGAGACAGGGTCTCACTATGTTTCTCAGGCTAGTTCTAACTCCTGGGCTGAAGCAGTCCTCCCATCTCAGCCTCCCAGAGTGCTGGGATTACAGGTGTGACACACCATACCCGGCAGAGCAAAGAGTTAAGAGTACAAGACATTTGATCATCTTGAGGAGTATTTACTTCAGACTGAAACACCACATGAAATTCTAGAGTCCAACAGAAAGTGTAATAATTTTTTGCTTTTCCCTTCTTCTGCTACATCCTATCTCTGAAATGTTTCACCCCACCCAACCACTGCCTCTGTTCCAACTCCTATATTTTTAAATCTACATTTAAATGTACTTTTTGAAAAAGGTAGCACTTTCATGTAGTTCAAAATCCAAAAGGTCCAAAGGGGAATATGTACGGTATAAAATCATTCTGCTGTCCCTCATCTCTGAGCCACCATTTTCACTCCGTGGAAGTAACAATTGTTGGCAATTTCTTTTCTTTTCTTTTCTTTTTTTTTTTTTTTGAGACAGAGTTTCGCTCTTGTTGCCCAGGCTGGCGTGCGATGGCAAGATCTTGGTTCACTGCAACCTCTCCCTCCTGGGTTCAAGTGATTCTCCTGCCTCAGCCTCTCGAGTAGCTGGGCGCCCACCACCACGCCCAGCTAATATTTGTATTTTTAGTAGAGATGGGGTTTCACCATGTTGGTCAGGCTGGCCTCGAACTCCTGGCCTCGGGTGATCCACCAACCTCAGCCTCCCAAAGTGCTTGGATTACAGGTGTGAGCCACCACACCTAGCCCATTGTCGGCAATTTCTTACGTGACTTTTAAGAGATAATGTATGCATAGACAAACAATTACATTTAAATATATTCCTTTGCAGTGCTTTTATGCAAATGGTAGCATATTACCCACAGCTCTTGACATCTGTATTTTTCAATCAACAGAACATGGAGAGCATACACTTTCCATGCACATTGAGGAGTGCTTTGTTCTTTGAAGGTATTTTCTAAGGCTGTGACCAAGTTATCTTGACTAAGTAGAAAGCTATTCTTAAATGATTTGGAAGACACTGTTGTCTCTCTTTTTTTTTTTTTTTTTTTTTTTTGAGGCGGAGTCTTGCTATGTACAGTGGTGCAGTCTTGGCTCACTGCAAACTCCCCCTCCCGGGTTCAAGTTCTCCTGCCTCAGCCTCCTGAGTAGCAGGGATTACAGGCACCTGACTAATTTTTATATTTTTAGCAGAGAGAAGGTTTCACCATGTTGTCCAGGCTGGTCTGGAACTCCTGACCTCAAGTGATCTGCCCACCTTGGCCTCCCAAAATGCTGGGATTACAGGCATGAGCCACCATGCCCAGCAGACACTGCTCTCTTTGAAGGCATCTTAGAAAGTGTCCTAGGCCCATAGACACATATAAGCCTACTGTTAAGATGGCAGAGAGGCAGAGTAATGGAAGAGTCTGTAGACTTGGTATTGGAACAGCCAGTTAAATTCCTTTACTTTGCTTATTGCAGCTTGGTGACCTGATTCCACATACCACCTAACTTTCTCAGTTTAGTTTTCCTAGTTTGAAAAATGAAAGTGCCTTGTAAACTAATGTGTTACACAAATGTCTGCATTATTTACTTTTACCATTGCTAATCATAAATTTTTTAATCTTGATTTTATTAGTTTTACTTTTGACTTTATTCCCTTTTAAGATAGTCTGGTTACTGGGAGCCACAGTTAGAATGACTCACCCAGTAATTCCCTAGTCTTTAAGCCAAAACCATTTCCTATATATGGAGTTCTGGCATTTTTGCAAATGTGCTTTATGGTACCCTTGAGGATGGTCTCTGGATGTTTCCCGATTTCAAACTTGTATGAAAGATTAGACCAGGGAATTTCTTTGTGTAGAAATTTTCTCATAGTTGTCTTAAGTTTTAACTCATGTACATTAATCTTTAGCTTTGCTTTACATTTGTTTTCTGTTGATAGCCAAGTCATTGCTTGTTAAATATTCCTTAGAAATGAACTTTCCTATCAATTTAAAATTATTTTAGCTGTATCTGTGGCACTTTTTTTTTTTCTCTTTTGAGATGGAGTCTCGCTCTGTTGCCCAGGCTGGAGTGCAGTGGTGTGGTCTTGGCTCACTGCAACCTCCACTTCCCGGGTTCAAGCCATTCTCCTGCCTCAGCCTCCCGAGTGGCTGGGATTAGAGACGCCTGCCACCACACCTGGCTAATATTTTGTATTTTTAGTAGAGAGGGGTTTCATCATGTTGGCCAGGCTGGTCTCGAACTCCTGACCTCAGGTGATCGCCCACCTTAGCCTCCCAAAGTGCTGGGATTATAGGTGTGAGCCGCCGCACCCAGCCTGTGGTACCTTTTAAAAAGTAAAAAATTCAATGGCGTGAAACAACAGAAGGAGTTCTGCTTCCATTTCTAGTTGTTAAACGCCTTTCTCTAGCCAAGATCACATATATTTCTGGTTTTTTATAGCTAGTGCACTATAACTCTGACAGTCATGGTTAGATTGATAGTTTTACTGAAAGTAATTTATCAAAATCCCCATTAGATTGTCTTTTAATGTCAACATATTAAACCTGTTCCCTGAGAGATACTTTCCTATTTGTTCTCCTTGCCCTTTAAATATCATTTGGTGCCAGTGAGATGAAGAATAGAAAATGTATATCTTTTAGGGGAACTTCGCAAGCCTGAGATCCCCCACTACATATAGTCATTCAGAAAATGTTTCTTAAGCACTTACTACCTACTTTTTCTCAGACATTGTACCGGGACATATAGATTAAAAGAAAGAGTCTTTAGTCTCAAGGATTTTACAGTCTAATGGGGAAGCAGATGTGTACAAATATAAATGATGCAATACAGAAATTATTGTGGCATGGTATACAGGGAGAAATGAAAGCATTGAAGAAGGCAAAGAAGTCTTCCTCGGGAAGTCATGGCTTCAAAGAGAAAAGTAGGCTGTGTCTTAAAGGATAAGTATGACTTTGCCAAGCTAATTTAGGGAACTTTGTATTCTAGGAAGAGGGAACAGAATGTGCAAAGCCTCGAAGGTGCACTGTTTTGTGTGTGTGTGTGTGCGTGTGGGGATTCTTTAGTATATTTTGACTGCATGTTGAGGAGTGATGAGGAGTAGAGTTTGACAGGTAGTCAGGATACTGTAAGGTTAAAACCTGAGCTCTGTGGTTGACTTGCTTCGTGGCATTGAGATTTTGAATATGCACTGTGCTTTAGACTTCCTGTTGTGTAAGAAGCCCATAGTATTGTAGGTCCACCTGCTATTCACATGGGGTTATAAATATTGCAGGCATGAAACGCTTCCTGATCGCTGAATAGTAAGAAAGGTCTGAGCATGGTGCCGATTAAATTCTCCATTGAAATGTACCTTTGTGGGTACATTAAATTATTTTAGCATAAGTCTAGTGAAGTGCCAGCAGTAGATACTATGTTATTTCTGGAGCTCTTGATGTTGATTTTTGAGGCTGAACATGCTCTTAGCCTCAAGCAGGTCATATTTGGAATACCTGATGTGTGCTCCTGGTTGCTCAGTGCTTAGGATGCATAAACAGGTAGCTGCAGTCTCATCTCTCAGTATATATACTTTTCAGCAAATCTTTTTTTTCTAGATAAATTGGAAAACTACCTTTTTTCTGCATTTTTCATCTGATGTCATTATGGTATGTAGGTGGCAGCTTTCTTGGGCACAGTTGTCTATATAACTGTTCATCACATGAGTCATTGTCTGTTTCTGTTCTTCTGCCTGAAAATTCCATCTTGGAAATCGTGTCATGCAATCGGTGACTGCGACATTCTACTTGTTATGTACACTGCCACTGGCTTTGTATGTTATGTTGATGGACTCTACCTGTGCTACAGTGAAGGGATAAAGTGACTTATTAAATTGAGTCAGACTCAGTTCCTCCAAATGGTATTTCCTGTAAAAATGATGCCAAGCAAGATTCTGCATAAAACATGCATATGCTTTACACTGTAAGCATACAGTGCCTACCTTTTGTTATTGTGTCTGCTTAAATCCTTACCACAGTTGTACTCCTGTTTGATCAAGTGGCCAGTTTAACTAGATACTAGCTTTGAAGAAGTTCTGTATTGGCCCCTGGAATGTGACAGTTCATACCACATTGAAAAGGTAAGAACCAAGTCTTTGTAGAGTAGAACACCTTAAAGTTAATCCACTTTTACCAAATTCCTCTATTGTTAAAGCAACAGTCCTATATTGGCTAATTTTTAAAATCATAATGTGCCACACTTTACACATCCCTAGAATGTAAGCTAGGGGGCAGGGGCCTATGCCTGTTTTGTTCACTGTAGTGTTCCCAGCACCTAGAACAGTGCTTGGCACAGACCAGGCTCTCAGTAAATATTTGTTTGAATGCATGAATTGATTTTATCATCTGTAAATGTTTTGTTTCATATTAGAAGAGACCTTTTCTAGGTTATCTGAATAATTGTTTTAATTCTTAGGAAAGCTATTAATTTTCTGAAAAATAAGTTTTAAAATATGTTTGGAAGGCCCTATGTCAGTCAAGGACCAGTCAGAGGAACAGAAGCCACTGTTGGTCTTATAAGCAGAGGGAATTTAAAATAGGGAGTAGGTTACAAGGCTGCTAGAAGAGCCAAGAAGCTGAACAGGGGCTGGTGAGGCACCCATTCGATTAGCAATGCCTGGGAACTACTATGCCTGCAAGGAAAATAGTGCACTGGTGTCACCAAGGGCTGGAAGTCCGAGTGGTCTGGTGTGAGCGGAAGCATGGAAAGAGGAGCAGTCTGGTGGCAGCTGGAAGTAGGCCGAGTGAGAGAGCGTATTACCCTGGCTGCTCCCTGCTCCTGCCTCTTATCCTCCTCAGTGCCTCCCATTGATGGAACTTATCCTGAAATCAGTTGGCAAAGGGAGCCTGGGAGATGTAGTTCCCTGTGATCAAGCGGAGCAAGGGAGGGATCCCAGCGCAAACAGGCAAAGACACAAAGGCACTGAATTCTCCAAGATGTAATTTCTTTCCCCTTATAGTATTTGAATTATTTTGGACAAGAGAACGGAAGGGTTTTCCGGCAGATATAACATTGCGTGCTTCTAAAGGATCTTGACTGTTGCTGAAACAATTATTAGTCCCAGGAAGTAATGTAACAACTCAGTCATAGTTTATATACTTAGGGGGTATGACTAGGCAAATTGGCTCCTGTATTGAATATGTATTTGACTGTTGGCTGCTGCCAGGAGCAACTTATCGTTTGGTTACTCAGAAAATAAGTTCCCACCCTGTCAATTCTGGGAAGTCTTAGGTATGGTGTATCCACATTGAGTATATCTACAACTGGACAGCTTGAGTTAGTCACACAGAAGCCATACACAGAAAATGTTGAGGATTGCAGCGTTAAAACATGGTACAGCTCACTCTTTTTTTTTTCTTTCGTTTTTCTGGAGACAGAGTCTTGCTCTGTTGCCCAGGCTGGAGTGCTTTGATGCGATCTCAGCTCACTGCCTCCTCTGGCTCCCGGGTTCAAGTGATTCTCATGCCTCAGCCTTCCAAGTAGCTGGGATTATAGGTGTGTACCTCCATGCCCAGCTAATTATTTGTATTTTTAGTAGACACAGGGTCTCACCACATTGGCCAGGCTGGTCTCAAACTCCTGGCCTCAAGTGAGCTACCTACCCTCCTTGGCCTCCCAAAGTGCTGGGATTGCAGATGTGAGCCACCAAGGCCGGGCCTCAGCTCAGTGTTTTCTTTACAGTTAAGGTAACTGCAGTGTGGCTGTTTTATCTTGTGCTGCATGTTAGTTTAACTAGTCTTATTGATTTGTTTGTTTTACCCCACAACTTCAGATAAGTTTGCACTGGGTGAGGGAGGCAAGATCACTGGGTCTGTTTTCTTCTACCCTGACCTGAAAAAAATATTTTGTCTTGTAAGGAATGTTGCTGCTGCTCCATTTAAGGGCAGAGCTTTCCAAGTTGTGGCTACTTGTTTTCTACGTGATTATAAAAGTGTCTAATGAGTTATATGAGACAAGTTCAGCCCTTTCTAGAAGTGCTTTTTTTGTCAATCAGGTCACCTGCATTTGGGCCCTTGCTATATTAATGGAATTGGTGGAACTAGGCCAGCAGAGTTTTCAGTGCAGTGTGAGTATGTTTGCTTTTAGGCTGTTACTTCCCACAGAGGCCACAGATAAAGGACTCTCGTTGTTTGAGTGAAGTTACCAACTGTAACAATTGCATAGGTTTCCTTGTTTCTTTCTTTTCTCCAAAAAACTCATTTCCTCTTGGCAGGTGTTACTATAATTCACAGGTGTAATGAAAATGTAATTTGGGATTTGAAAAAGCATATCAGACTGCTTCCCAGAGTACCAGTTCTTTTCAGCTGGTCCATTTCAACTTAAGAGGTCCATCTATGCATTTTTGAAGCTTCATATTTAATAAATATAATATTTCACTGCTGTGTTTGACTATTCCGTTTCCCACACTTTCTCCTTCCCTACCCCACTCTTCTGGATCCTGTGTTTCCCCACAGGCTTTGTGAATGCCGGTCCACTGATGGCTGAACTGCAGGTCTCTCCCCAGTGGAAAGCCCCAGAGATGAGCCAGATCTGCCTCAGCTGTGGCCATCCGTCAGCGTAAGGTTGCTCTGGTGGTCGTCTTCAGTTTGTCCAGCTCTTCCCCTTATCCCCCATCCTCCCTCATGTGTGGCTGAAGCTTGCCCTGGAATCCCACCTTTGTAGCATGTCACTCGGTAGTAGTAGAATTTTATTATTGTTGCTTTTTTTCATTTTCAATTAATGTTAAGTGATTCTCTGACAAATTTTGTTGACCATAGCCCTCTTTTCCCCTCAGTTCATAGATTTCCTATAGGAATTCTGGTTTGCTTTTAAATACATATAGAATACAGTTTATTTAAGTTCTGGATTTCATAAGCTTACTTGGAAAATACTTTTTTAAAAAAAACATTTCAGGTCAAAGCTTCCAAAAAGAAATTTCTTAATCTGAAACAATGAGAACTGGGTTCCTCAGGCCTCATGTCATTTCCCCTCACCCACAAATCAAATGTGTAATGCTCTCATTTTATGATGTATTGAAACAGTGAAGCAAATGCGAGAGGGAGAGAGACCTACTCTCAGCTGTAGCTGATAAGTGTGTCCTAGCATGGTGATTTGAGCAAATAGAGCACCTTTTCTTTTCCTTTTCTTCAAATAGCCATGCTGTCTTTTGCAGCAGTTGCTGGTGACGGAATACCATAAATCCCCAGGCCTCTACCACAGAGCTTACATCTTTAGATGTGGGTTTACATGTTAATCCTACAATGTTATTTCACCTCAGTGGTCTGAAGTGCGCACACAGTACATTTTGTTCTTTAACTTCCTCTTTTCTTGTCTAACTGGAAGTCCCCAAATGTGTGGATTTAGAAATGAGTTCTCTAGTGTTTCTAGTTTTGAGTTAAGGAAGTTTTGTCTTGATATTGTTTAGGTGGTTGTTTTTGTTCTGTGCCTTCAAAAATAATTTCTTACAGAATTTTCTGTGTGAACTGGTGACATCATATGCTGTAGTGTAAAGCTTGTAGAGAAGGGGGCATTGGTGTCTTTTTGTTGTTGTTGACACTTTATCACTCCTTATAACTGACACAAACCCTGAGAAGAGAAACAGGAAGGAAACTCCCTGTTCTTACCATGATGCTTTTGTTCAAAATAGCTGAAAACAGCAGAGCTGACGGAAACCAATTTGAGTGTGACAGCTGATTTGAGAAAGAATGAATTAAGAGATTCAGGCTCTTCTGCTATGTTGAAATCATTTTTACTGAAAGATTAGCTGTTTGGAACAGGGATTGACTTTGTCTCTCTGAAAGTAGGCATGAAGAGTTCGGTTAGAGGAACCGTTACAGATGGAGGAGAAACTTGAGGAAAGGTCTTTCCTGTAGTGTGACTACAGTATTAACATTCCCAGATTATATGAAAGAGAAAGGAAGCTTCATTAAATGAAACATTGGAATCAGGAAGACTCCGGCTTGGCTCCCTGAGCATTCTAACTTGTTCTGAGCCTAGTCTCGACAGAAGTAGCCTGACACAAGTGGCTCAGATCAAGGGTCCATATTACGGGCAGAGTAAAAATAGGTCCCAGTTTCATTAGACTTCTCATACATTTAAGGAAAAAAAGATTTGTTGCCATAGGAACAGACCAGTTGTTTTCTGTCTTGTGGGATTTTAGGAGCTGGGGAGATAGGAGGATCCCTGTGCTTATAATCTAAACATCAGTAAATGCTGGTTTTTTTTAAAACAACAACAACTTTATCTTTTATGATTCTGAAACCTATCCACGATAAAAATCATTGGAAAGTATGAAAAATATAATGATGCTGAAGGTATTTTTCATAATTCTTTTTTTTTTTTTTTTTTGGAGACAAGGTCTCTCGCTCCGTCGCCCAAGCTGGAGTACAGTGGCACGATCTCAGCTCACTGCAGCCTCTATCAGGCTTAAGCAGTTCTTCTGTCTCAGCCTTCATAGTAGCTGGGACTACAGGTGCACACCACCACGTCCAGCTAATTTTTGTATTTTTAGTACAGACAGGGTTTTGCCATGTTGCCCAGGCTAGTCTCGAACTCCTGAGCTCACATCATCTGCCTGCCTCGGCCTGCCGGAGTGCCAGGATTACAGGCATCAACCACCATGCCCGGCCTTATTTTTCATAATTCTTATCACCCATTTACTTGAGCTTATACCATAATGATTTTATATCATTCTTTTTTGCTTAACATTTATTATAAGCTTATTTCATGACATTAAAAACGTGTAAATACCTTTATTGTATCCCAGCATTGGAATATGTCATTATTATCTCTTGCCCAATTGTTAATATTTGAATTTTCAATTTTTTAACAATACAAATAAGGAAGTATAAATTTTTGTGTTGTTGTTAGAGTGATGGGTTATTTATGTGTTCAGATTTGAGTAGTCAAGTGGGCCCTCTAATTTAAAAAGTTACCAAGGGGATTCTCTGGGTTGAGCCCACGTAGAGATGGCTTTGCTATGGGCATTATCATTCTGAACTGCTTCATTGCAGTAGATGTCTGCTGAGGCAAGGAATGGGGAATTCGGGAGAACCCTGGTTTCCCCATAAGGGACCTAAGGAACATAAGGGACATAAGGAACAGCTTTATGGGTCATACCACAGCAAGATGGGCCGGCACTTTCACATTGAGAGGTGACAGCGTGCTGGCAGCCCTCACAGCCCTCGCTCGCTCTCGGTGCCTCCTCGGCCTTGGCACCCACTCTGGCCGCACTTGAGGAGCCCTTCAGCCCACTGCTGCACTGTGGGAGCCCCTTCCTGGGCTGGCCGAGGCCGGAGCTGGCTCCCTCGGCTTGCGGGGAGGTGTGGAGGGAGCCAGCTCCGGGAACCGGGGCTGTGTGCCGCACTTGTGGGCCAGCTGGAGTTCCGGGTGGGCATGGGCTTGGCGGGCCCCGCACTTGGAGCAGCCGGCCAGCCCTGCTGGCCCTGGGCAATGAGGGGCTTAGCACCTGGGCCAGCGGCTGCAGAGGGTGTGCTGGGTCCCCCAGCAGTGCCGGCCCACCGGCGCTGCGCTGGATTTCTCACCGGGCCTTAGCTGCCTTCCCACGGGGCAGGGCTCGGGACCTGCAGCCCGCCATGCCTGAGCCTCCCCCCACCTCTGTGGGCTCCTGTGCAGCCTGAGCCTCCCCAACGAGACCGCCCCCTGCTCCACGGCACCCGGTCCCATCAACCACCCAAGGGCTGAGGTGTGTGGGCGCACAGCGCGGGACTGGCGGGCAGCTCCACCTGCAGCCCCAGTGCGAGATCCACTGGATGAAGCCAGCTGGGCTCCTGAGTCTGGTGGGGCCTTGGAGAACCTTTATGTCTAGCTCAGGGATTGTAAATACACCAGTCGGCACTCTGTATCTAGCTCAAGGTTTGTAAACACACCAATCAGCACCCTGTGTCTAGCTCAGGGTTTGTGAATGCACCAATCGACACTCTGTATCTAGCTACTCTGGTGGGGACTTGGAGAACCTTTGTGTGGACACTCTGTATCTAGCTACTCTTGGTGGGGATTTGGAGAACCTTTGTGTCCACACTCTGTATCTAGCTAATCTGGTGGGGATGTGGAGAACCTTTGTGTCTAGCTCAGGGATTGTAAACGCACCAATCAGCACCCTGTCAAAACAGACCGCTCCGCTCTACCAATCAGCAGGATGTGATTGGATGGGGCCAGATAAGAGAATAAAAGCAGGCTGCCCGAGCCAGCAGTGGCAGCCTGTTCGGGTCCTCTTCCACAGTGTGGAAACTTTGTTCTTTTGCTCTTTGCAATAAATCTTACTGCTACTCACTCTTTGGGTCCACACTGCCTTTATGAGCTGCAACACTCACCGCGAAGGTCTGCAGCTTCACTCCTGAAGCCAGCGAGACCACGAACCCACCGGGAGGAACGAACAATTCCAGACGCGCTGCCTTAAGAGCTTTAACACTCACCGCGAGGGTCCACAGCTTCACTCCTGAGCCAGCGAGACCACGAACCCCACCAGAAGGAAGAAACTCCGAACACATCCGAACATCAGAAGGAACAAACTCCGGACACGCCGCCTTTAAGAACTGTAACACTCACTGCGAGGGTCCACGGCTTCATTCTTGAAGTCAGTGAAACCAAGAACCCACCAATTCCGGACACAACATTATATACCTGATGTGCGGAAATACCCTTGCGCCATTGACTAGCATCTTATGTTGTTCATACAGTCCTCATTCACTTAAACTTAGTCCTCTAAGGAGGTGGATTAGAGGTCCTACATTAGTAGAAAGGAGGTAACAGCTACTGCATTATTATTTTTTTTTTGAAGAAGGGCCCTCAGACTGGAGATGAGGACAGGGACTGTGTTTTCATGTCTATCTGCATACTTAATGCACGGTGTCTGGCACATAGTGTCTATGTCCCTATTATGAGCAGCATTATTCTGTTAATGTGTGTTCAGGTCATATGCTTTGTTTTGTTTTTTGATAGTCTTCCTCATACTGTTAGCCCAGATAGCTGAAGATCTGTGACACCAGGAAGCTGAGCAGGTGAATCTCATGGTTGCTTTGTGGTAATTGCTTCTTTGTGCCATTTCATTTCTGTGCTTCTGCCACCTGTGCTGCTTTGGAAGCTGGAGCTAGACATGAAGCGAATCCTCTGCCCTCTCAGTAGGAGGTTTTGGTGTGACACATCATCCTGGGGAAAAATGTAGCATGAAGTGTGAAACAGGAGGCTGAAATAGCAGTCCTTTAGCCCTTTTGTGGGATGGGAGTAAATATTTAGACGTGGTTCTCAGGTGCTGTAGAATTTAATAACCTTGCAGCAGTTTTAGAAACTCCTTGTGCCCACTGGAACAGGTTCGTTTAAAGAATCTTACTTGGGCTCTTTTGAAATTGTGATGCCCCCACCTCCACCCACTCCCCTCCCCCGCCCACCCCCAGACCTGCCCTGAGTTCATCTGCCTAATGTTCCCTTTGCAGGATCTTTGTACTCACATGGCTGGTATCTTTGCCCCACCCCCTTATGCCATATATTTTGACCTCATTGTGTTCTATTCTGAAACGCCTGGGTTTTGAAACATCGTGGTGAATGTTTTCTTTTTCAAAGGGCAAATCTCCATCTTTTGCTCTCCTCCCTTAAGCCAGGGCTGTTTTGATGACTGATATTCTGCACACCACTGGACTAACCAACCATCTGTACTTTGATCCCAGAATTCATTTTGATTCTGCTGTTTGTTTAGAACTGAAAGCTTTCTAGCTTGTTTGGATGTGGTTGTGATTCAGTGAAACTGGCACTGATTTTCCATCTGTTTGCCATTGGTTGGGACTTCTCCAATGTGTTAGGAAAGCTGCTGTGCTGAGTTGCGAAGAGAAATTCACATGTCCATGGTCTTGCACAAGGGCTCATTTGCTCACTTAGAAGGTTTTATGTAGAGCCTCTGCCTGGGTGAAAGACATGAGCTTCCCTGGAAACAATTGAAAA
This sequence comes from Homo sapiens, assembly GCF_000001405.40. NCBI lineage: Eukaryota > Metazoa > Chordata > Mammalia > Primates > Hominidae > Homo > Homo sapiens. Next base: position 40,390,478 of record NC_000001.11, read on the forward strand.
ACATCTTCTGCCTGGCCACTCAGTCTTGAGCTCTAGTAGGTTACACTGTTTTTCCCTTCTGGGCTTCTTTTTGAGGAAGGGGAGTGTGGATGGGAAGAAATCTTCACAATCAGTCTCAGATTCCCAGCAGCAGAGAGTGAATTGTATGTTGTAATAATAAAAAAAAGAATACCTAAAGAACAAGATATCAATTTAGTGACCATTATTGAGCATTTACTATGTATAACACACATTTGGGTGTGTAAAGGTGATTCTAATTTCAGTCCAGCTGATCCTTTCTTCTGTGAACTTGGGCAAATGACTTGACCTCTCTAGGCCTTAGTTTCTCCAACTGTGCTTAGACTAGATCATTCCTAAGGTTTGTTACAATTTTAGAATTTTGTACTCTAAACGTGTATCTGTTTGTTACAGAACAAGAGAGGCTTTTCCACAAAATTGACATATTCTTATGTCTCACTTCAAACTAAATGGCTTAAAAATGGTTCCTCTAGAGCAGGATTTCTCAACCTCAGACTATTGACATTTTGGGTGATTCCTTGTTGTGGGCACTGTCCAGGGCATTTTAGAATGTTTAGGAGCCAGCATTCCTGTCCTCTGCCCACTAGATGCCAGTAGCTCTTCCCTACCCCTCTGCCCGTTGTGACAACCAAAAATGTCTCTAGACATCAGCATTGCCCCTTGAGGGGAAATCGTTTCTGTTGGGAGCCATTGGTCTAGAGGAACAAAGATGGGACTATTTGAATATGGGCTGTTTTTAATATCAGTTTTCATGTTATTCCACTATTGCTTATTACCTGTTTAATCAGTAAGCATGCATTAAGTGTATACTATACACAGATGAATGCCGACGCTTGATTATGAGGGACTTTAATGACCATGTCAAGTTTTCAAATGTTGAGTCCACCTGGCCAACTTTGAAATGATTGCCCAGCTGTTAGCGCAGCAGTCCCTACACGCCTACACCCACCAGCCTGCTATTAGCCTTGGTCAGGGTAATGATTGAAATGTATGAAAGCATTCACTCACAAAGGCTATCAGATAGCAACCTAGGAAGGCCCTGGGATTGTGAGTTATGGATCGGGACTGGGTCTTGTGCATCCAGAATCTAGTATTATGATAGTTATCCCTTCAGCTTCCTAGGGGAAAAAAATTCCTCGTCAAAGTGGTGGGGTGAGGAATCTATCCTAGGGATGGAGGATGAAGAGCAATCTCATTGGACAATGACCATATCACCCTTTTTAGTAGCTTCTTCTAAACATAGGCCCTTTCCCTCCCGCAGTGGGCAGGCTCACTTTGCAGCTTTAGTTTTTTGTTTTGTTTTGTTTTGTTTTTGTTTTTAAATATATGAGTAGATACTGGTTGTTGCAAAGAGGAAGTTAAACTGAAGTAACCTAAAAATGTAAAGAACTGAATGTCCCCAGGAGATGAAGACAGTAACTTGAGAACCAAGTTTGCTTATATTACCTGAAGTGAGGTCACTAGGAAATTGGTTTAATTATAGTATCAAGTTTTGAAATATCAGGTCCACCTGGCTGACTTTGAAATGATTTGCCCAGCTATTAGCTCAGCAGTCCCTCCCTGCACACCAACTCCACCCAGCCTATTGTTAGCCATTGAAGTGGTGATTGAAATGCATTAGATTGCCCAAGAAATCTAATCTTTGGACTTGCTACATTTGCTATAAAATATCAGTTTAGGTTTAATAACTTTGAATTTGCTCCCAGTACCCCCAGATTTTCTCATCTGTTTTAAATTCACATTCTGCACTTGGTCGGGTGCAGAATGGTGCTTCTCGCTGATTGGGGTAGAGTGTGTTCTGTGAGCATCTTTGCTGGGATGCTCTGGGATTCCAAAGCCATGATTCAGACACTTAAGCCTGTGTCAGTCCCTATCCTTAGGTCCTGGCAGGCTCCGTGTTCCATTCCAGCTGAGCCTTTGCTGGAGTAATTACCCACATGGAGTCTTCAAGCCAAACAATTGTTTGTACTGAGATAGTCTCACTGTTTGGCTCCTAATGAAATAATCTCTTTCCTGCCCTCAATGAAAGCAGCTATTTTTTGTGTCCTCCCTCCCCTATTCAGAGAAGCCATGTCTCATCCACCACTCTTCCAGCTTATTCATAAATGCTTTAAGCAGGGTCTTTGTGTAAAGGAAATTGGCTGGAGCTGAAATATCATAGGCTAACCAGGAGACAAGGAGCATTAAGGACACCCTTTTCCTTGACTTTCTATTTAGGGTATTTAAATTACCTTTCTGTGATTTTCTGTAATAAGCAATCTAAAACTTAAATCCACATAAGCAAAATAGTCATACTAGGTTTTTAAAAAGTATACTAAATTAGGCCGGGCTCAGTGGCTCATGCCTGTAATCGCAGCACGTTGGGAGGCCGAGGCAGGTGCATCACTAGGTCAGGAGATCGAGACCATCCTGACTAACATGGTGAAACCCCGCTGTCTCTACTAAAGACACAAAAAATTAGCCAGGCGTGGTGGCATGCACCTGTAGTCCCAGGTATTCGGGAAGCTGAGGCAGGGGAATAGCTTGAACCCGGGAGGCGGAGGTTGCAGTGAGCCAAGATCACACCACTGCACTCCAGCCTGGGTGACAGAGCGTGAATCCATCTCAAAAAAAAAAAAAGTATACTAAATTAGTATAATTTTATTGTTGTTGTTACCTAAAGGAGCTCTCAAAAATAAAAGCTGGCCAGGCGTGGTAGCACATGCCTGTAGTCCCAGCTACTCAAGAAGCTGAGGTGGGAGGATTGCTTGAGCATAGGAGATTGAGGCTGCACTGCACTCTAGCTTGGGCAACAAAGCAACAAACCCTATCTTAGAAGAACAAACAAAAAACCCAACAACAGAACAACCACAAATGAGTGAGTGCAGCAGGAGAGGCAGCAGAGCGCCGTGGGAGTTGGAATAGGAAGGAGAAAAGGCTTCATGGGGAAAGTGGGCAGAGCAAGATTTGCACAAAAAGATGTTTTGCAAATAGAGGAAATAGGCCCTGTAAAGCTATTTGTGAGAGACTGTAAGTTGATCAACAAAGTGTAAGTAGTTCTTCTAACTTTTTTTTTTTTTTTTTTTTTTGTGACAGAGTCTTGCTCTGTCGCCCAGGCTGGAGTACAGTGGCTCAATCTTGGCTCACTGCAACCTCCACCTCCCAGGTTCAAGCGATTCCCCTGCCTCAGCCTCCTGAATAGTTAGTATTACAGGCGTGAGCCACAATGCCTGGCTAATTTTTGTATTTTTAGTAGAGATGGGGTTTCAGCATGTTGGCCAGGCTGGTCTTGAACCCCTGACCTCAGGTGATCCACCGGCCTTAGCATCCCAAAGTGCTGGGATTAAGGCGTGAGGCACCGCGCCCGGCCACTTCTAACCTTTTTAAGGAGTATTTGCGTGAACAGAATCAATGAGTTTCTTCAAATTAACTTCTGACAATAATCTAAATGGTCTCCATTTTCTGATTCACCCTTTTTTCCAATTCCAAGTTGCCATTATCCATGTAATTGGCTCTAAAGAGAGCAAGGAAATCTATCTTCTCCAGGAGTTTCAGTCATAGATTTTTAGCTGGCTCTCTTTATCATTTGCAACTGAGTTCATTCATATGCTTGTTTTCAAGAATTTTTTCCTTTAGTTCCAGAACTCTTTGCTTCCATCCTATGGTTTCTTGGGAGGACAGTTCTAAGCTTTCTTAAGATAAGTGTTTCAATCACACCATCTACCATTTCCCTCAGAAGTTGTTCTCCTCTTATGCGGTGTGTTTAGGTGTTTGGGGCGCCAATCACTAGGGATTGGAAGGATTTTGATGAATCTTCAAGTAACCATGTCTTGAAGGTTAGCCATCATCAGTTCACTCCATGAAATGAAAACTTACGGGGATCCACTTTTGCTCTTTTTTGAAGAAGTCTATTGTCCTCAAAGGAAGAGGTGGACCTGTTCAGATTTTTAAGTTTTATCTTATTCAGTGTTTGTAGCATCAAGGGACTGGCCTCTAACGGAAGCAACTGGGGGCTTCATTGGCTTATGCAATCAGTCTCATCTCACTGACTTTACAAGGTTCTTCAATACTGGCAGAAAATCTCTTGGCTAGCTCTTTCTCCCTCCTTAAAATATGTTGGCTCTTTACTATAAAAACAATCATAGCAGCACATACCAGAATCTCCTAGGGAAACCCCCAAAGACTTGGGCCTTGTCTCAGCTCTCAGACACTACCACCAAGAGCACTGCATAGCTTTCCCAGGACCAACTGGAAAGAATTCTTTTTTACGACGATGTAATTGACAATGAAAATTGTATATGTTTACAGTATACAATGTGGTGTTTTGATATATGTGTACATTGATTTTTGTGGCAGTCAGGAGGTCCTCTAGTTGGAACAGAGACTCACCACACCCAAGAGTCCCTCTGTCTGTATCCCATCCCCAAATCAGAAAAAGGCCTGTGCGTCTCTGTGGGTAGTATTCACTCTCTCAGATTCCTCTGTGAGTCAGGAACATGACAAGTGGCATCTATATACACAGTTTTAAGAGGAAGTGATGTCACTCTTGGTGTATAGAAGTGAGAAGAGGAGTAATGAGAATTAAAGACCCAGATCACAGGAGAATTTAAGCCATACTTAGAAGTTTGGAGTTCAGTTGATGGTGGGGGGTCCAGTGACATAGCTTTGAATGGGGTGATGACATTATCAGGACATATGTTGGCAGAATGTCCTTTTCAAAGCCAACAAAGTCCAAACTAGGATCTCATTCTTTCCCTCCTGAAGTCACCTGGGGAATTGAATTGATAATAATGATACAGGATGACTGATTGATAGTTCTTTATTCCCAGAAACATCACCTAAGTATACACTAGTTACCTTCCACTGCTGGGAGAGACAACAAGGAAGAGTCACAGTAAGTCCCTACCTGTTAATAATAAACCAATGGCCAGGCCCAGTGGCTCATGCCTGTAATCCCAGTACTTTGGGAGGCCAAGGTGGGAAGATCACTTGAGCCCAAGAGTTCAAAACCAGCCTGGGCAACATAGCAAGACCTCACCTCTACAAAATAATAATAATAATAATAATAAAACAGGGCAGTAAGATTAATGTGGAGCCAAATTTACCTTTCCAGAGTAGTTTAATGAATTTTTGAGATACAGTTACTATCTTTTAGAAGAGATATGTTTGAGATAATCTGGTTAAGGTATATTGACTTGTCTAAAGTCACACAGGAAATTAGTGCTGTAATTTAGATAATTCGTATCTTTAGCTGTGTAGATAAGAAGGGCCAGTTAAATAACATGAGAAAGATGAAGAATGCCTCCTTCCTTTCTCCTAGTAGACCTCAGTCTGCTTTCCTGTTGATTTCTTTGTGTTACAGGCTTTAATGTTTTTTGAGAAAAGCCATTTTAAGTTAACTGCTGAATTAGTTTTAGACATAGATTGACTAATCATTTCATTAGTGAGTACTTAGCAGTGTTCTACCTCCCTTAACCTCCTTTTTCCGGTTACCTGGTAGGAAGATAATGTTGCTTTGCTTCATCTCCATTGGTAATCACAGCAGTCTGTCTAATTGCTATGTCTGTTCTATCATTGAGCTCCTGGATTAAATTGGTTCAGCGGGCTTGTATTTTGGTTGAGTATATAAGTGGCTGCTTTCTTCTGCTAGAATCTCCAAACCTCCATCTTTATCTTTCATACTTTGATATATTATATAAGTATGGGGGGAGTAAAAAGCAGCACCAGGATATCAAAATGGTAGGAAGAGAGATTAATGGGACTCCGTATAAGGAAGGCCTCTCTAATAGTGGGTGCCGTCTAATAGACAAACCAACTACCTTTTGAAATGGTACGTAACTGACTCAGCATTGGACAAGCCAGGTGATCACCCCTAGAAGGAGGGTGCATTCAGTGAGAGGCTGGACCTAAGAGGATTTCTAAAGTCCTTTCCACCTCTGATTTTCTAATTTTAAATTTCTTGGTGTAGGATTTACCTTTATTCTCTAACCAGTCTCAGACATGTTTTAATTTTCTTTGTCTCAGACATTTTTAAGCTTAACTTATGCTCTTTTTTCAACAGTACAAATGTGGACAGTGTTTCTTTTTGACAAACGGAAACAACATTCTTGCAAGATGGCCCAGATGGAAAGGGACTTGTCTTGCAAGTGTTCTGAAAGCAGAGGTTGATTGCATAAGCCTTTATTTTGGTCTCATGGTTCCTTAAAATGTTTGTACTTACAGAAGTTCAAAGTTACTGTTTATTGTTATTTTGGAATAAGGAACTTGATGAACTCTCTTTTGTGTGGATGAAAACATAGAGGTAAACATACCTCTCAGCAGCCCTACACAATTTTTCCAAGATCCCACTGGTGTTTCTGTGTATTCTTCCTTTTCAGTGAATCAGAGAATGGAGGGATATAATGAGTGGAACTGAGGTAACTGGCACTAGATTTGTTCTTAAAACAAATACTGCTGCTTTTTTTACTTTGACTTCCAAATTTTGGGTCAGAGTTAATGACAAGTTATGTCACGTAGAATTAATCTCTTATAAAATCTGAGTTTGTTGATTTAGGTTTTTCCTTATATGTATGTTGCATTTAACCAGTTTTCAGTGCCTGGTATAGGCTCCATGAACCAAATTTGATTCCGTGTTTTAGGTTCCTCAAGACCTAACATCTTCATAGATTGTTTGTTTCATTTTACGTTTTCAGAACCATTGAACGGTAAGCAGGAAGGGACCTAAAAATTACTGCAAATCATCTACTGTAGTAGTAGGACTGTAGTAGTAGAAAGAACTGTAGGGCTCATTGTTCACCCAATTCACCACATGGGGATCATTTCTCTACCATCCCTGAGAACTGATTACCAAACCTCTGTTTGAACACTGCACTAACTGAGATTTTACAATTTCTGGATATGCTGCATTGGTTTTTACACAACCTTAATTGTTAGAAAATTTTTCTCTAGAGTGTGCTAAAATCAACTTCTACTCCTTGGTGCCAGTTCTGCTTTTGAAGCCTTTCCAAAGTAACCTAATCCGTTTTCTGTGTTACAGCTATCCTTTAAGGCATTTGAAAACTTCTCCCTTCATTTTGCAAAACAGGAAAAATATATACATTTATGTTGCTTATTGACGAATTCATTTAACACACATTTATTGTGTACCATCTTCTGTTTGCTAGCATTGTGTCAAGTGTTTGTGATAAATGATGAAGGAACATGGTCATTGCCTTCCAGAGCTCATAGTCTATTTAGGACAAGAGAGACCTGTAAGCAACTCGAACAAGATATTAAGTATTAGAAGAACAAAGCATACCCTGGGCTATTAGCAATAGAGAAAGTTAGGGTTTATTCCATTGGAGGGCATCACAGATGAACTGGATTTTTAAGTTTGTCAAGCAGGGAATGAGGGAGAAAGCCATTCCAGGTAGAAAGAATGGTGTAGTCAAAGAGATTTGAGTGTGCTGCATATTTCACAATTATGACTTCCTCAGCATGTGTAAAGTACAAGGCTCTCAACAGACTTTATATATTATGTTAAGGAGTTTCAACTTACCCTGCAGCCAGTAAGGAGCCCTGGATGCTTACGTTGTTTTGTTTTTACGATATCTGTACTGGTTTTTCCCATTGCAAAATTAATAGAAAGCTCATTGCAAACAATTCAGAGAGGATATATAGAGAAGAAAATAGATGTTTCATTATCCCATTATCCCGATATAGTAATAATTTACATATAGTCTTCTAGATTTTTTTTCTGTGCATACGCGTACATTTATTTATTTATTTATTTTTTGACAAGGTCTCACTCTGTTCCCTAGGATGAAGTGCCATGGTGCAATCATAGCTCATTGCAGCCTTTGAATCCTTGGGCTCAAGCAGTACTCCCGCTCAGCCTCCCAAGTAGCTAGGACTACAGAGGCATATCACCACACCGAGCTCATTTATTCATATTTTAAAAAAAATGGAATTGTTTCATGTGTACTCTTTTAATACTGGATTTTTAAAATTACTATATCATGGAGATACTTTTATATGAAATAGAGGCTCCAAAATTTTTCCCCGTTAAATGGTGATACCATAATTCCTTAATGTAACCTATTAATGTTTCTAATTTTCATAAAGATGTAATAATGAACATTCTTAACGTATTTCTTTGTGTACTTGACCTGTTTTTTCCCTGATGAATTCTTACAAGTGGGGTCAAAGGATTTACTTAGTTCTTTTGTTTTTTTGAGATAGGGTGTCAATATGTTGCCCAGGCTGGCCTCAAACTCCTGGGCTCAAGTGATCCTCCAACCTCAGCCTCCTGAATAGCTGGGACTACAGACATGTGCCACTGCACCTAGAATACTTAGTTTTAATTAATCTTTAAGCAAATGTTGCTTCCCTGCTATGTTCAAGGAACCATGCTATGCCGTGAGTATATGATAGTGAATGTTACAGGTCTGGTGACAGCTCTTGTGGCACACATAGTTAAGCGGGAAAGACATCTTAAACAATCAAATAATTAGATAGTAACAAAATATGGTATGATTTAGAAAAAGTAAAGGGTGGCCAGGCACAGTGGCTCACTCCTGTAATCTCAGTGCTTTGGGAGGCCAAAGTAGGAAAATCACTTGAGGCCAGGAGTTCAAGACCAGCCTGAGCAACATAGTGAGACCCTGTCTCTTTTTTATTTCATTGATTTATTTTTATTTTTATTTTTTTCAGACAGAGCCTTGCTCTGTTGCCCAGGCTGGAGTGCAGTGGTGGGATCTCGGCCCACTGCAACCTCCGCCTCCTGGGCTCACGTGATTCTCCTGCCTTAGCCTCCCAAGTAGCTGGGACTACAGGCATGTGCCACTACGTGTGGCTATTTTTTTTTTTTTTTTTTTTTGTATTTTTAGTAGAGATGGGGTTTCACCATGTTGGCCAGGCTTGTCTCAAACTCCTGACCTCAGGTCATCTGTCCACCTCTGCCTCCCAAAGTGTTGGGATTACAGGCGTGAGCCACCGTGCCTGGCCCATTTCTTTTTTTTTTCTTTTCTTTCTTTCTCTTTTTTTTTTTTCCTGACTCTTAACACCACTCAATGACCCATCTTTACAAAAATAAAAAATTCAGCTGAGCGTGGTGGCTCATGCATCTAGTCCCAGCTACTTGGGAGACTGAGGTGGGAGGATTGCCTGAGCCTGACAGCCCAAGGCTGCTGTGAGCTATGATCGCACCACTGCACTCCAGCCTGGGTGAGAGAGTAAGACCCTGTCTCAAAAAAAAAAAAAGAAAAGAAAAGAAAGAGTGAAAAAAAGAGTAAAGGGTAAATGAAAGTTCATAACCTTTAAAAAAAAAGTCCTTATCTTTTAGAGATATATGCTGAAGTATATACAGATGAAATGGTATGATATTTAGGATTTGCTTCAGAATAATCCAGGTTGGAGTTGAGGGGCAGTGGGTGGGAGTATAGCTGAAACAAAATTGGCTAGGAGTTGATAATTGCTGAAGCTCATGGTTAATTATGCTCTGCTTTCGTTTGTTTGAAATTTTCTGTAAGGTAAAAACCAAAAGAAAGGGTAGAAGAGATGTTACAGTCGGGTTTAGACTGGGGAGCCAAGGAAAGACTCCTTTGAGGAAGAAACATTTCAGCTGAGACCCTTGTGATGTATAGGAGTTGGCCAGGCTGCAAGTGGCATTTGGCAGTTAGGGAAAGAGTTTTTTTAGGCAGCAGGAGCAGCATGTACAAAGTCCAGCAAGCCCTGAGGAAGGAACATGTTGGTCCCTTGAGGAAATGAAAGAAGGCTGCTACCATAGGAATTGAGAGGCTGCGGAAGGAGGCATGGGCTAGACCTTTAAGACCTTGGAAACTATGTTAAGGATTTTGTTATTTAATCCAATAGTAATAGAAGAATTTTAAGCAGCACAATGTGGCTTTGCTTCTTTAAGAGCTCAAGTTGGCTGTTTGGTGGAGAATGGTTTTGGTTTGGGCTCAAGGGAGAAGAGAATGTAAAAGTGGAGAGAGAGCTATTAGGAGGTTATTGCAGTGGTCCGAAAGAGTCTGGTGGCTTTAGATTACAGAAATAGTGATACAGATGGAGAGAAGAGATACTGATTTGACAGATATTTTTGTCTTGGTGATGTGGGGGCTGAAGGAGAGAGGTTTCATGATGCATAATTTTCTGACTGACGCAATGGAATGGATGGAGGTGTAGTTGACTAAGATGAAGAAAAAAGGAAGAGATTTTGTAGCAAGAGATTGAGAGCTTAGTTTGGAATATGCTATTCAGAAAATGTGCACCAATTTACATATTTACCTTTGTGTATGAGACTACATGGAAGGTTTATATTTAGAGGTGTGATCTGTACAGATTTGTGTTTTAGAAAGATTATTCTGGTGGTGGGATTCTGGAGACTAATTGCTTGTTAGTCTGTGAGCTTTTTGAATTGAGGAATCTCATCCTTATTTTCTCTGCCTTTGTATCCCCAGTACTTAGCAGGCAAATTGCTTGGCACATAGGTACACAATAAATAATGTTAAGAGAACCAATGCTGGTTGGGCGCGGTGGCTCACACCTGTAATCCCAGCACTCTGGGAGGCCGAGAAGGGCGGATCACTAGGTCAGGAGATCGAGACCATCCTGGCTACCAAGGTGAAACCCCGTCTCTACTAAAAATACAAAAACAAAATTAGCCGGGCGTGATCGCGGGCGCCTGTAGTCTCAGCTACTCGGGAGGCTGAGGCAGGAGAATGGCGTGAACTCGGGAGGCGGAACTTGCAGTGAGCCGAGATCGCGCCACTGCACTCCAGCCTGGGTGACAGAGCGAGATTCCGTCTCAAAACAAACAAACACACACAAAAAAGAACGAATGCTTATAGGTGAGACATGAGGTCTAGGTAGAAATGGATAGATTCTGGAAAAGTTTCCAAGATAGATTCCACAGGATTTGGATGGAAGATGGGAAAGTTCTCTCCCTTCGCGTAGCCTGCCCGTTGAACTTTTTGACAGGTCCGTTATGCCAGCAGGTCTAAATATAGGTAGCCATCAATTTATCAATGTTTTTTCCTCCTCAATATTTATTTGTTTGGAACTCCATAGATTAGAACTCAATGATATAATTATTATAATATTAGTAGTAGCTTGAAGTCCTCCATCACGCTAGTTCCCCTTTTCTGTCTGCTGAGTTGTCAATCCCAGAGCCCCTCTAATCCTGGCAGCTTTGGTGGTGGGGGAAGTTTCAGCAGCAAGAGGAATTTGCAGCAGTAGTTACTCCGTATGTAGAAGCTGTCCAGATGTTGAATATAAGTTGGATATTACGTATATGCTTTTCATTTTACAAATGGAGACATAAGCCCTAGAGAAACTTGTCAAAATACATGCAACAGGTCCGTGTAAACCCAGATTTTTCCGATACTGAACTGGTACTTAGGACAGTTGATTTCTTGACTGATCAACCAAATCCATCTCCATCTACTTTTTTCATTTTCCCTGATCCCTTATTGCAGAGTGATTCTATGTTAGTTTTAGTATTGCTTGATGCTGCCCACGCCTGCTCTTAGGCTCCTGTTGAATATGTGCACTTATGTGTGACCTTGTTCTTGTGTTGTGCCGATCACTACCAGTTTACATCACTTGTCTATCCTCTTTGCTTTCAAAATTGTTTGGCATATTGCCTCTCAGCATTTCTTTTCATTTTAAATTTCAAAATGGCATCTTTTATATTTTTTTCCTTGATTGCCATGACCAATGTGTATTAAACAATTGGTTTATCTCTTTTTATTGATACATAATAGATGTACATGTTTTCAGGGTACAAGTGATATTTTGATACATTCACATAATGTGTAATAACCAAATCATGATAATGCTATATCCGTCACCTTAGACATTTATCTTTTCTTTATGCTGGGAATATTTGAATTATTCTCTTCTACCTATTTTGAGATATATGGTAGATTATTATTTACTATAGTCACTGTACTGATTTATTGAACACTAGATCTTATTTCTTCTAACTGTATTTTTGTATTTTTGTTTTTTTTTTGAGACAAGGTCTCGCTGTCATCTAGGCTGGAGTGCAGTGGTGTGATCTCGGCTCATTGCAACCTCTGACTCCTGGATTCAAGCAATTCTCCTGCCTCAGCCTCCCCAGTAGCTGGGATTACAGGCACGTGCCACCATGCCTGGCTAATTTTTTGTATTTTTAGTAGAGATGGGGTTTCACCGTGTTGGCCAGGCTGACTAACTGTATTTTTGTACCCATTAATCAACCTCATTTCTTCCTCCATCCGCCTACCCTTCCTGGCTTCTAGAACACCGATTTACTCTCTCTTCATGAGATCCACTATTTTTTAACTCACTAACATTTGCAGCAACATGGATGGAATTGGAGGTCATTATGTTAAGTGAAACAATTGGTTTCACTTGCATTTTTGCAAGTTTACCAGATTAAAGTAGGCTGGCCTTATAGCAGCAATACCAGGTACTGTGGAATCCAAGTACCCACCACTTAGGTTGACAGCCTTGGGCCTTCTTTCTTTGCCTGTGTAGTGGGGGCATATGCAAGCACAAGGGCAGGGTGGGGGTGTGTAGCAGAGAAAGGGAACAGGTGAGGGTTTAAAAAGTGCATTTTCAAGAAATATTTTAAGAGAAATAAAGGAAGCTGCTTAAATTTTCATGTTGCCTAGAAGACTTTGAAATTGGGTCTAGGGTAAATTTCTTCTCTCTGTATTCAGTTCATTTTGGTTCTGATATTTTAGGACCAGAACTCATATTCCTTTTTAAAAAAGAAGCACTCTGGCTGAGCGCGGTGGCTCACGCCTGTAATCCCAGGCCTTTGAGAGGCCAAGGCGGGTACATCACCAGAGGTCTGGAGTTTGAGACCAGCCTGGCCAACAAGGCGAAACCCCGTCTCTACTAAAATACAAAAATTAGTGGGGTGTGGTAGCACGCGCCTATAGTCCCAGCTACTCGGGAAGCTGAGGCACGAGAGTTGCTTGCACCTAGGAGACGGAGGTTGCAGTGAGCCAAAATCACGCCGCTGCACTCCAGCCTGGACGACAGAGCGAGACTCTGTCTCAAAAAAATAAAATAAAAAGAAGCACTCCGTGGTGTTGCATAGAGTGTTGGTATATATTACATATATGAATGAGTTAACTGGCCCTTATCAGGAAGATGGATGGGAAGTGGGTTCTGGAAACCTTATTCTATACCACATCCTTATATATAGTCCTCAGTTATTGTCCCTCTGTGTTCTAGGGCACTGTGAGGTGAATGCTATTGTACACGTTTTATAGATGAGGAAACTAAGGCTCAGGAAATGTAAGTATCTCTCAGAAGGTCACACAGGTAATCACTGAAGGAGCTGTGCTCAAACCTAAGTCCTACAACTGGCAGAGTGTGGTTGCTCCCACCTGTAATCCCAGTGCTTTGGGAGGCTGAGGCGAGAGGATTCCTTGAGGCCAGGAGTTCACAACCAGCCTAAGCAACATAGGGAGACCTTGTCTTTAAAAAAATTAAAAAATTAGCTGGGCATGGTGTTGCATGCCTGTAGTCCCAGCTACATGGGAGGCTGAGGTGGGAGAATCGCTTGAGGCGAGGAGTTTGAGGTTACAGTGAACCATGATCTTGCCTCTGCATTCCAGCCTGGGCAACAGAGTGAGAGACCCTGTCTGTAAAGAATAAAATGAAATAAAAGTAACTACACCATTTCCCCATGTTTTCAGCCATATAAGTAACATTTGTCTCTTTTATTTTTCTTTTCTCTAATTTCAGAATATTTTATGGAACATGTAGTTATTCACTAATAAATCTAGTGGCTCAAAACTAAAAGAGATTGAGTATCTGGGATATAACTATCACTATATTCACTGGGAAAAGGTTTCACAAGGGATGTCAGGTAGGGATTTGGTGGGGAGAAGAGGCTGTTCTTTGGCTTTTCATGAAAATACAGTTGCCTGTATTTCTGTACTGAGGCCTTGTCAGTGGCTTCAGAGTCACCCCAAGGCTCCAAGTCTTAGCCTTGCATTCCTCAGAAGCAAAAAGACTTTAAGTACGCTGGAGTGGGAGCTGTGACAGTGGCTTAGATGATTGGGAATTGCCTTTTCCCATCTTAAGGCCAGGAAGCAAACAGTGTAACATTTCACAGCTGACTTTTAATTTTTAATGAATGTGTTTGGCTTCTGACTTTGTTAGCAAACAAATACATCTTAACTTGTCTTATGAGTTCTAGACTCTGGAATCTAGAGCAAAGGAAAAGTGCTTTAAGAAACATGAAATATTAACTTGGTGCCATTTTAAATCTTATATAACTTAGATCTTATTGGAGTTCCTTTATGAAAACTGTAACCTAAAATGGATATACCACATGTTAAGAAACCCCATTTACATCAGTTTAGGGTTTTCATTTTGTGTTTGACGTGACACTCTCCCACATGAAACAAGTGTGCGAATCATTTTTGTGTTTATTAGATACATGGCGGACCAACTATGTAAATCCATCTAGGAATGTGAAGGGACTAAATATCTTTTTAGAAGGTAAATCGGAGCTTGTGATAGCAATAAGGTATTGGGATAAAATTTCAGGCGGAGAGCACCACCTGGTGGTAATAAGGAGAATGTGAGCCTTCTGTTGCAGTATTTGCGATAGTAAATAAGTGATATCTTTGTCAAAAAATTACATTCTTATTTGTAATAATCATGAATTCAAATTTCTAAAACTAATTTTCTGCCACACAATTCTAGCATTCCTTCATTAAAACTGCTGTCAAAACCTTCAGGCTGGCCAGGCACAATGGCTCACACCTGTAATCCCAGCACTTCGGGAGGCCAAAGTGGGAGAATTGTTTGAGGACAGGAGTTCAAGACCAGCCTGGGCAACATAGTGAGACCTAGTCTCTACAGTAAATAAAAATATTAGCCAGGCAGGGTGGCACACGCCTATAGTCCCAGCTACTCCAGAGGCTGAGGCAGGAGGATCGCTTGAGCCCAGGAAGACGAGGCTGCAGTGAGCTATGATCGTGCCACAGCACTCCCTGTCCGGGTGACAGCGAGACTGCCTCTAAAAATAAAAATTAAAAAATTAAAAACCTGCTAGCTAACCAAATAATTGTCTGTGTCCTAAAGAACTGAAGTCTTGTGCTCGTTGTCGTTCCAAGCGTAGGCCCTGTTTATCTCTGTAGAAAATCAGTGTCTTTTCACCTCTTTATTGCATCCTCTAATTTTTATATCACACTTATTTTATGTGGTAAATTTCTGCCAAGTGGGATAATGGAGAAGGAAGTATTTCTGATTTTTTAGTAAGTTTTTGGCAGGTTTCATATAAGTCATTTTTCTTTCCTGGGTAAAAATTATGAAGAGGAGTATGATAATTTTTCAGAGTGATTATTAGGATGAGTAACACTGGCAGGGGATGGGAGATTCTGTAACAGTTTTGAATTAAAATTCATATTTGAGATTTCTTTTTTGTTGCTATAAGCATCTTTATTATTTGGCAATCTTGAAACAAGATACTTCAGTAGTTGAGTAAAGTAGGAACATCAGCCTAAGGGGAAAAGATCCTATTAAGTTAATGCGAATGCATATTTTATAGGCCTGGGGTTGGGGGGAAGATAAACACAGTTTCAATTACAGGTTGAGCCATGGACAAGCATGCCATATCTATCTTTTTTCCTGGTAGGAAAACCGAATACAGGCCACCACTAAAAAGTGGTGAATACAGGCCCATCACCACTAAAACGTCTCTTGGGAGAGGACTGTTTATGTAAGGTGCTCGGCCAAATAGAATATGACATGGCTTTGCACTCCTGGGATTTTTCTTAATATAAGTAACAGTCTTATAACATCTGCGTTTCAACACTCATATTAGCAGACACTGTAAAAAAATTGTACCATGCACAAATGCCCACTTATTATATAATTCTTTTTATATTAAATGCCCAGAATTGGCAATCCATAGAGATAAAAAGTAGATTCATAGTTGCCAGGGGCTGGGAGGAAGAGCTGGGAGAAAATGGGTAGTGCCTGCTAATGGGTTTGTGATTTCTTTTGGACTAATGAAAATGTTCTGGAATTAGATAGTAGTAATCATTGCACAACTGTGTGAATATATTAAAAACCACTGTATTGTACACTTAAATTTAAACTAAAGAAAAGCTGACACATGGAGGAATGAGCAGAGTCAATAAACAGGTGGTTATGGTAAAAATTATTTCACTTATGTTCTAGCAGAAATGTCTGATAATCTAATATTGTAGTTTAGGCCTTGAATGTTGTAATTTGTACTTTATTGCCCTGTTCCTGACTTTCACAGGGCCGCGATGGGCCTCTTGGAACATTGGTGTGTTCATCTGCATTCGATGTGCTGGAATCCACAGGAATCTGGGGGTGCACATATCCAGGGTAAAGTCAGTTAACCTCGACCAGTGGACTCAAGAACAGATTCAGGTACTTAGCCCAAGAGTGAGTCAGCTGCTTCCATATATCTATGTAAAAGGAATTCCAGATGAATTTCAGTCAAACCTGGCACAAAGGTGAAGATAAAGGAAAATTTAGTTGTTAAACACTTAACATCAGATTCTTGTACCCTAACAGAAATTTTTATTCTTTCTATTTAAGATACAAGTTATTCTACCTATATTTTACCTCCTTAAAAACAGAAATAGTCTACGGTCTAGGATTCCATGGGCCCACGAAAGTATTAAGAGGGATCTTTGGGTGATTTTCTAAGACTCTTAGCATTTGCAGGTCTAAAATTTATAGTTTCAAATATTCACTTTTGGTCGGGCACGGTGGCTCATGCCTGTAATCCCAGCACTTTGTAAGGCCGAGGTGGGTGGATCTCTTGAGTCTAGGAGTTCAAGACCAGCCTGGGCAACAGAGTGAGACACCTGTCTCTACAAAATAAAGAATTAAAAAATTAGCTGGGCCTGGTGGTACGTACCTGTAATCCCAGCAGTTTGGGAAGCTGAGGTGGGAGGATTGCTTGAGCCCAGAAGTTGAAGCTGCGGTTAGTCATGATCATGCCATTGCACTCTAGCCTGAGCAATAGAGTGAGACCCTGTCTCAAAAAAATAAATAAATAAAAATTCACTTTTTAAAAAAACCTCCAAATCATAGACTTATGGGAAAATTTTATTACTAAAATGCATACATGAATCTTTTTTTTAAGACAGAGAAAATATTTTAATGGTACATAATATTAAAATGTATCCATTTTTGTAAACTCATCATTTCTGATATTTTTAGACACATACAAATGTGGAATTAGATAACATTTAAAATTTCAAAAATTTTAAATAAATTTAAACATAATTAACCTTAAAAGTATATTAAATAGGACAATGTGTATATTAGATTTATTGTTATCATCTTTAAAAAGCTGTAACAGCTGGAATGCATACATGAATCTTGCATGCTGTTAGCTTGGTGGGCTTGGAGTGAGACTCCTAAGTTAATGAGTCTGGCTGGCCTAAGAGCTGTACCTTGATATAGCTTCATTATTTTTTATTCTCTTCCTACATTGAAACGCTTTAATTTCAATTTTTTCTTTCTTGGGAGTAAAAGGGAAGCCCCCCGCCCCCCAAATCCAGTTGCTAAAGTTGGTAATGGAAATCAGAGGTTACGCTTAACCAGAAAATGGCTTTAGAAATTGCTTTAGATTGTATTTATAGATGTATTAAAGGTCTAAAAAGGTGAGTTACATTTTTCAGTTACACTTCACTCTGTTTTATGAAGGAAATTATATGCCATGGAGATAGTCGGGAATTTGGAGATTTAAAAAGCTCTTGGGATTTATCCCTCACAAGTGTTAAGGAGTCTACTTAAAAGCCTAATGGGAAACACATTTATTGGAATTGATTAATAGTATAAACTCAGAATGATAACACTGATCATTGCCTGCCAAGTAGACATTTTAATTGGTAGCTGTGTATCTAAGAGTTTCAAATGAGATCTTGATTTATTACTGAATTGAATGTATCTTGGTACACAAATATTTCAGTAAAAGGAACCTATGGAGTGGGGGAAAGACAGCTTGGGGCAAATGATTGGGAAATCCTAGTAAGGTAGAGGGAATCATGAATTGGAAATCAGAATACACAAGTTTAAATGTTGGTTCTGACACTCTCTAGGTTGGTTCTTCAATTGTACAGTAGTGGAATTGGGTGAGAAGTTTTTCAGTTCTTTCTTGATCTGACGTTCCATGTTTCTACATTCTCTTTGGTCACAGTGCATGCAAGAGATGGGAAATGGAAAGGCAAACCGACTTTATGAAGCCTATCTTCCTGAGACCTTTCGGCGACCTCAGATAGACCCGTATCTTTTCTGGAGCAACTTAGAAGGCTGAGTGGTATTTTGATGCTTGGGGAGAGTCAGACAAGACTCCAGTCCTGTAATGTGACTGGGTCATCTCTATGTGGATTAGTCAGTGTCCTTGCTTGTCCTCTGTCCTGCAATCAAGGTGCACAAAAAGCACATGTATTTGTGAATGTCGGAATTGTCATACGGTGTCACTTGAAGAAGACTCACTCTGGAATTAAGACTGCAGTGATTTCACTGTGAATTCTTCTATAAAGTTACATCTCCACTAGTTTATTTTGGATCTCTGAAACTATTGTTTGATTAAAAAGAGTAGTTCATTGTGCTCTGTTAACCCTGGCAGTCAGCAAAATTGCCATTCATTTTTATCATCTTTTTATGTCTTGGGTGAAAGAATTAACTGTTGTTTACCAGTTTGTCAATAACCAATAACTTTCTTCCACCATCTGTTCAACAGAGCATAGCACCTAGGACACAAAACCAAATCCCTTAAAGGCAGTGCTTCTCAAAATGTAGTTTGTAGATCATCTTGTTAAGGTTCTTTTTTTTTTAATGGGTTCAGGTGGAACCTGTTAAATGCAGATTTGGGGCCTTGCAGAAGACCCACTGGTCAGAATTTGGCAGTGGGGCACAAGAGTTTATGTTTTTAAGGGGCACTTACGTGCCTTTGTTTGAGGCCTATTGACCTAAGTGCTTTAAAATAGACATTTGACTGCTTTACCTATATTCTAGAACAGCCACATACAGCCTCTAATGTCAGTTTGAAGGTTAATTCCACTTGCTGCTATCATCACGCTGAAGGGAAAGCATAGGAAGTAATGATTCCCTGCTTTAACTGTGAAAGAGGCATTTTAAGGTTTTGGTCAGAGAAATTGCATATGAAGAGGCAGGAGCCATGTGGGGAAACCAGGCAAGAGGGAAGGAGGAGAACAATGCTCCGTGGAACACAATTGATCTTTTATCTTCTTGCTGTTTGAGAGGCTTGTTGGATTCATCCTTAATAAGCTTTTTGCAGAGCTGTTGAAGGATTTATTCGAGACAAATATGAGAAGAAGAAATACATGGACCGAAGTCTGGACATCAATGCCTTTAGGGTTGGTTATACATCTTTCAAGTTTTGTCCACAATAAGTAATGTGCTTATTAAATCAGGCCAGAGAACACGTTGAAGAACTGCTACCAAAACACTCCAAAACCATCTTTTAAAAAATGCAAAAGTAGACCAGGTGTGGTGGCTCATCCCCTAATCCCATCACTTTGGGAGGCTGAGGTGGGAGGATCACTTGAACCTAGAAGTTTAAGACCAGCCTGGGCAACAAAGAAAGACCCCCATCTCTACAAAAAATTTAAAAATTAGCCAGGCATGGTGGTATACATGCCTGTAATAACCAGCTACTTGGGAGGCTGAGGTCGGAGGATTACGTGAGCCAGGGAGGTTGAGGCTGCAGTGAGCTGTGATTGCACCACTTCATTCCAGTCTAGGCAACGGAGTTTGACCCTGTCTCAATATAAATTTTTAAGCAAAAGTAAAAAGTGCCAGTTACTGAGTCAAGACCATGAGGCAGAAACAAACTTCTGCCTATCGGTGAATTCTTGCCTTAATCTGTAGTTAGAAGGTGTTAGTGATGATTCCCAGTTTTGAATTATTTCTTGGGATGGACATGTTGCATATACTAGATCAAATAAAACAGTATATGTGTATATGTACTACAGCTATATCTATCTACATAGATATATACACACATATATACTTTTTTCCTGTAAATGAAATCAACAAAAGTAGGTGTAATTAAATCACCAGAGTTTCCTTCAGTTTGACCAATGTATATTTCCAGCATTACCTGCTGATAACCAGTGTGTTGGACTGATTGCCAATGGGACCCTTGTTTCTGAGAAGGGTTTCAGAGGGAGACTGGCTACCAGTTGCCAAGAACACATTCCATCCTAGGCATGTTTAGAATCTGCAATACAGTATATGATAACTAGGACAAATATAACACACAGGGGGACAGACAGCATGATTTCTGAAAGAGGAAAATATGCCTAACTAATGACAGCTAATGGAGAACCAATAGATATGACTATTTATACCTTTAAATAACCTTTGACAAGATTCTACAGAAAATTCTCTTAGGAATAATTGGCTATTTATCTAGTCACAGAAGTATTGAGAGTAAGGGATTCTCCACTTCCAGCGCAGGTCCTACCTATCTATCATCTATTCTAGTTATGTAATAATGATATAATAGCCAGTGAAATCACTGTTTGCACTGAGCTCCAAGCCCTTCTGGGTAATTAAAAGTTAAGCTAATTGGAATCCACTTCAGGCTGATCTTATGAAGCTGTGTGAAAGGGGCATTAACTGGTAGGTGAATTTCAACACAGGCAAGTAAGTGTAATACATATAGTTAGGTAAAAATGATTCCTTCTCAACTGTGTATGAAGGACTCTTACCTTGCAGTTATCCAGAAAAGGGACTTGTCAATATCATATCTGTGCCAAGAAAGAACCCAGTGTGCAGCTACAGCTTGCATGGCATCATCAAAAACAGTTTAGAACCCAAGCATACACATTTCGTTTTATTTGTAGAAAACTGTGGTCTGTCTGCCCAGCTCTGTTCATTGTGCCTAAAGATATGAACTCAGATGAGGTCAGAAAAGGGTATCTGAGATAATTCAGATGACGAAGGAGTAGAGTTGCTATTTGTACACAGCTATTGTGGAAACAGCAGCTCTGCCCTCAGGGTATTCATGATTTCATTGCTGGTATACTGTACCCATGAAAGCAAGCCCGGTTACCGGATGTTTCTCTTAGGAAGGAAATAACCTCCCATTTACCAAAAAGCTATTTCAGAATTTGTTATTTAATGTACTTAGATTTTTTTCATATTTTGTGAAGATTTTTATGCCAATAATTAGTATTTGCTAAGTGAAGACGTTTAATATCAAATGAAAAGAAACTGGCTTTGTTAAAAACTATTCTTTTTATAATGGACAGATAAAACATTTTTAACTTAAATGAAATGTCGTGTTAAAGACATACACTTTGTATGAGAAAAACAGCTGCATGTATTGATTATAAAATTATTTTAGAGAAAATGAAAATTAAAGTGAAATATCCATACATACTCTCACTATCTTTGCTAATAATTATCTTCTTGGTGTGTTCCCCTTTTTTTCTAAATAGTTTCTTTTTGGAGGCATAATTATAATACAGTTATGTAGACTTCTCGTGCCTTCATTCCACTTAACATATATTTCTGTGTTGCTTATATAGTGTTTATAATTTTTAATTGTTGCATCATCTTTCAGTGAGTAGCTAAATCACTGAAAGTAATAATTTATTTACCATTTCCCTTCTGTGGCATAAATGTTATTTAATTTTTTTTAGCATAAATAATTCTGGGGTGAACTTGGTGCATTTAACCTTTTTCATATTTTGG
The DNA here is from genome assembly GCF_000001405.40 of Homo sapiens. Taxonomy (NCBI): domain Eukaryota; kingdom Metazoa; phylum Chordata; class Mammalia; order Primates; family Hominidae; genus Homo; species Homo sapiens. The sequence continues at coordinate 40,412,183 of NC_000001.11, forward strand.
ACTATTTTCGTAAGATACATTACAAGATATGGTATCATCTAGGTCAAAGGATTTCAACATTTGTCTCTTCCTAGTTTTGCCAATATACTTTCCAGAATTTGTACCATTTTACTCTCTCTTCTCAGCATTGTATAAGAGTACTGGTTTCACTTCATCCCTCCCACCATTATAGAAAGATCTTTCTCCCTGCATAAAGTGCATTTTAAATTGCATTTTTTATCACTGGCAAGACCAAACATGTTTTTCATATGTATGCTATACTCTGTATTCTTAAGGTTACTTTGTGGTTTTGTTTTACATTTAGATGTTTATTTGATTTTAAAACTTAATTTTTGTTCTTCTAATCTGTAAACTTGAAATTAAGGTTTATTTTCTGACTGTTAAAAAAATGAATATTGAGAGGACCTATGATTGAATTTATGATATCACAAAGGACATAAGCTGAGTAAGATGAACTTATTCACTAGTATACTGATATGAGGGGAGACCTCTCAAAGCATGGGCAAATTAAATTTGGGGCACAGGTGGGCAGCATACTGGTAAAATGTTTTAGCGTCTGTACATAGCCTCGACTGCAAATGTCAACAGTCATGAGTGGGTTAGGAGGGCGGGCGCCTAAGGTGTTTGGAAGACGCCTCGTACAGCATTGAGGCCAATGTGGAAGAGGTCAACTCTCATGCTCCACACCAAGACACCGCCCCCCAAGCTTGTCAGACACTTACGTCAGAATCAATAGGGATTGGAGGTGTCCTTTTCGGACACTTGGAATTATGATTTATCCAACTATTAGTCACCTTGGGCCCTGTGTTCTTTGTCTTGTTAAATCATTATAGAAAGAAAAAGATGACAAGTGGAAAAGAGGGAGCGAACCAGTTCCAGAAAAAAAATTGGAACCTGTTGTTTTTGAGAAGGTGAAAATGGTAAGTTGGGAAGTATTTGCACTGTATGGACAGCCTCAGGTATGTGTATATTTGTGAAAGGGAAAGTAGGAGGTCTCGTGGTGAGTACCATTGCACCATCACAGCTGGGGCTAAAGGGTTCTGCATCTGGATTGGACTGCCTGCTATCATTTCTGCTCTCTCGTTACCAGTTGCTGCCTAAATCTGCTCTGTAAGGGCTTCGCTTTGGGGCCAGATGAGAACTCAGGAAATGCATCTGTTCCATCTAAGCAAGAGGCACATTCCAAGCCAGAATGCCAAGGCTGAGGGACACCATCTGAGCAGATGCTATTTCCACATTAGTCCTTCTCTTGTTAGACCTTCTGTATCCCATTTTCTGATTTCAATGAAGAACAGTCCAGAAGTGAGGCCATATTAGTCCATTTTAAGTGATCCCTTCTTATGTTCTTGCTTTGTCATGTTGAAACAGACACCCTTCTTTTTCCACAGGACATATTGTGGCTGTAGTAGTAGAATCTCTAACATAAAAACTTGGAATCTTGGGAGAGAGGACTTTACTTACTATTGCTTAAGGAAGAGTCTTTTATCATCGTTCTGAATCACATTGTCTGTGGACACAATCACTAGTGATACTGGCAGAGTGAATTAGGTAATCTTTAAACCAACCTCCCTTTTGGTGTTAAAGTAAAAGGTTTTCTAACCACTGGGAGATTTGTTGGCTCTTGGCTCTTGTACCATCAGATACCTACCTTTATTCTTGGCTTTTCCTGGGACCAAAAACTGCTGCTTCTGTTGGATCCCCTGTTCTGTGGTTGTCTTGGTTTCAGAAAGATCTGTCTCTTTAGGACACCAGACAATCACAGGCGATATCTTTGTTTTTCATTTTAGGTTTGGTTTATGCACTTCTGCCTCCTGACTTGATTCTTTCACCTAATACTTCCTGAGTTTTGTTTCTTTGGTAACTCTCTTTGAATAACAGCAGCCCTACCCACAAGAACACCGTGGCTTTACAGTGGAGATGGGAAAAGAGTTCAAAACCACCTGCTTATTTCTTGCTATAACATATTTTCACCTTAGCCACAGAAAAAAGAAGACCCACAGCTACCTCGGAAAAGCTCCCCGAAATCCACAGCGCCTGTCATGGATTTGTTGGGCCTTGGTAAGAGTTGGACTTTTCAGCTTCCATGTTCTTACAAATTTTGATAAATTCTCAGTGACCCTGGAAGATAGGTAGAGATGGGGTTCTCCAGTTTTGTCTTCATTGCCAAGACTGTTCTCTCACATTCTTCCTGATCTGTTTTACATCTGAGCAGTTGCTCTAAGGAAGTGTTTACTGTGACACTTTTCAGAGCGACAGTGTGGTGTAGTGGTTAAGAGCATGGCCTTTGGAGCCAGTGTCGCTCTGTGTTACTTACTGTCTGTGTGACCATGGGTAGTTTACTTAACCTCTGAATGTTGCTTTCATAATCCGTGCAGTGAGAATGAGTCTCTACTTCAAAGGTGTTGTTGGAAGGATTAAATGAGATAATGCCTCTAAAGCTCTTAGCCCCATGCCTGGCACATACTGAGCCCTCCATAAATGTTAGCAGTTTTGCTAAACAGCACCTTTGAGCCTCATGTCAATTCCCTGTACTCCACTCCCTGCCCCCATTCCTTTCATTTTTCAGATGCAACCTGTTTCTGAGATGGCCTGTGGTCATTTTTCTCCAAACCTTTGAAATCCTGAACTAGTGATTCTGCCCTTTCAGAAAGAAAGCCTGTTGTCTGCCTTTCACAGCACTGATGGTTGCACTTTGTTTCCATCCGCTTCTGCTGATTGAGGTTATTGGCTACTTAGGCTTCTAATTTCTGTACCTTTCCTTGCTCTCTGAAAATGAACCCTCCTCCATACCTTGCCCTTCAAATAGCCAGAAGGGAGCCAGCCAGCCCCCCACTGTGGTGCTGAAATACCCTTCAGGCCTGGGCGTCTGCTGCCCTGTGCCTGATAGCTGGGCTACAGGCTTCCCCAGAGCACTCTGGGAATGTGGGGTGAAGCCTCTTTTGAGAAGCCCCGTCCATGCTAGATGGTTCCAGAAGTCTAGATTTCTAGGTCCATGAGCTTATGGGCCACCTTTGCTTTTTGTCTAGAATAGAAGGAAGGCATGGGCTTAATAAGCAGTGCTGCATCTTAACTTCGATCTCTCTTTCTAGATGCTCCTGTGGCCTGCTCCATTGCAAATAGTAAGACCAGCAATACCCTAGAGAAGGATTTAGATCTGTTGGCCTCTGTTCCATCCCCTTCTTCTTCCGGTTCCAGAAAGGTGAGTCTTGTGGGCTCCTCAGGATTAAAGAACATTCTGAAATGGGTGATTTTGATATCTTAATCATGGAACCACGTCATGCTTCCTTGGTGGAGTTGGACTTTGGTTTTCTTGATTCTTCATTCTTCCCTTAACATTGTGTCATTTCTGTCACAGTCTAAGATTGCTGTTCATGCCTTTTTTTCTCCTGCTCAAAAAGGGTGGGCCATTTGAGTTGCTTCTCTGGAAAGTGTGTGATACTGTGAAGGCTGATACTTGAGGCTAGCTCCTCGGCCTGAGTTACTGCCAGAAAATTGTAGGTAGGAAAGACTTGAAACCTTTAATGGCTACCATTCGTGAAACGCCTGCTATGTCTCAGGCACAGTGTGAGGTGGTTTTTGTATATCATTTTGTATATTTCATTAATAATTTCACTCCTTCACCACAAACCTGCAAAGTGGAAATTTTACAGATGTGGAGACATTAGTTTGTAAAAGTTATGTGACTAGCCTGTGGTTATACTAGTAAATGGCTACACTGGGGTCTAAACTCAGTTCCCTCTGCTGCATCATTTGTGGGTTGTTTTGTTTGTTTGTTCCTACCAAATCACATGTTTTGGTGAAAGGAAAGAATTGTAACAGAGCTTAATTATCAGGTGTGTTCAGATAGTTGAATGGTAAAAATGTTAGGAAGCTATTAACTTGAGCCATGAATTCTTATTGCAGATGTTAGGAGCAGCAGAGAGGGAAGGGAGACCCTTAAAGAGACCCCCATGAGAACCATTTCAATTCTCCCCCCGCCCTCTTTGCCCTAAGGTTGTAGGTTCCATGCCAACTGCAGGGAGTGCCGGCTCTGTTCCTGAAAATCTGAACCTGTTTCCGGAGCCAGGGAGCAAATCAGAAGAAATAGGCAAGAAACAGCTCTCTAAAGACTCCATTCTTTCACTGTATGGATCCCAGACGCCTCAAATGCCTACTCAAGGTAGATTTCATGGGTGTCATGGCCATGTGCCAGGTAGAGACATGAGGGCTTCCATGCAGGAATTATTTATTGTGACAGAGGACAGTTGCTTTGGGGGCCAGGATGTCATACACCAAACAAACCTGAACATGACCAACGTATCAGCAGATGGAAATTAATGTAACTCAGAGTCATACTTCTGTGGAGTCTGGGGTCACAATTCGGTGAAGTCTAGCTCAAGGTCTGGATCTGGACCCTAAAGGGAAAATGGCTCGGTCAGCAGCCCATTGGTAAGCTATAGCAGGCCTCGTAGGGACTCTAACTACTTTGCTGTGTAAAGAGCATTGTGAGTAGAGTAATCCTGAGAAATTCCAGCTGGAAAGGGTTAGCCAGGGAGAGTTCGGGCTGACTTTATGTTTTTCCCTCTTTAACCAACCTGTATGTGTGTTTTCTTGGCAGCAATGTTCATGGCTCCCGCTCAGATGGCATATCCCACAGCCTACCCCAGCTTCCCCGGGGTTACACCTCCTAACAGCATAATGGGGAGCATGATGCCTCCACCAGTAGGCATGGTTGCTCAGCCAGGAGCTTCTGGGATGGTTGCCCCCATGGCCATGCCTGCAGGCTATATGGGTGGCATGCAGGCATCAATGATGGGTGTGCCGAATGGAATGATGACCACCCAGCAGGCTGGCTACATGGCAGGCATGGCAGCTATGCCCCAGACTGTGTATGGGGTCCAGCCAGCTCAGCAGCTGCAATGGAACCTTACTCAGGTAAGCTACCCCATTTTACTTGCAGCAAGAGTTTTGAGCCTTCCTCAAGTTTTTCTCGGTTTGTACCTCTCCACTATCCTTTGAATCCTTTCCATGTAGATGAGATAATGTAAGAGACATTGTTAGGTTTGCTTTTTTTTTTTTTTTTTTTCCTAGAAGGTCTGTCTAAAGTCAGACTTTCTGAGGAGTTCTGGGCTCCTGTAGAATAAGCCCAACTGCCTAAATCTGAATCTCTCCACACATTCTCAAAAGCAAAAACAAACACACAAAGAAACCCTGTACAAACAATGAATGCAGATATTCTCACAACAATCTCATTTGGTAGACAGAATACTGCAAGGTTCAAATGGCATGGCAATGGGCATATAAACACCAAATCCAGCGGAGCCAGCATCACAGAGGAGACTGTAAAAAGAGAAGATGGAGCAGGGGCCTAGCAATAATACCACAGATAAAGTAACCCCCCAGAAGGAGAAGGACCTACCCTCATCAAAGACATACTGAGAACAGGTCTGAGATGTGGTAGATTAGAACTCTGTTTACTTGGAGGATCAAAAATAAGAGACTTCAGATATATAGGAGTATAGGTAGTAACCTTGGGAAAGCATTGCTTCTCGGGGAGATGGGCATGGCCTAAAAGGAGGAGGTACCCTTTAGAGGACTGGTGGTGAAGGAAAGAAAGACACGAGAAATGGGAATGAGAATCACAAAATCAAATATACACCTTCTTCCCTCTTCCAAAATAACCACTTCACTAATAAAAGATGGTGCTCTTAATCTAAGAAATTTAGTAAGCCTCCCCAAACCTTCACACCTATTATTGCTGATTGAGAAAAAATAAGACCTTACAAAAATGAACCAAACATGGAAGCTGACATTTGTACACAACTACTACAGGAAGAAAATAGAAAATGAAAATCAAAACATTTCACGTAATGAATATTCTCCCTCAAAAAACAGTCATGAAGCAGAAGAAAATTGTTACACAATCTACCAATCTGAATTAAATGTCCTTAAACATTTGCAGATAAGACAAAACACCTTAAATCAGAAATTCAAAAACTTAAAGCCAAAATGGATAAAAAACTGCATGCTGTGAAATGAAAGTTTACTAAACTCAGAAAAGAAATTGAAGAAAAAGCCAAAATTTTCGTATAAAGACTCAATTACAAGTTAGCTAAAGAACAATAGATTGAGCTGAAAATATATTCGGCATTGAGGAAAGGCATGAAACAGCTAAGAGAATGAAAACTAAATATAGAAAGTAGTAAAAAGAATTAGATGGAAATTAATATGGAAGTTAGGCAAAGAAAACTTACATATATTTGGAGATGCCCAAAGAAATAAAGACAAAATAAATAAAATATGGGACAGTATTAATGTGTTTAACACCAGAAAACATTCTAGAAATAAAAGACTTGGATATAATATGGAAAGAGCCCACTGTGTGTCTGGGAAAATTGACCCAGAACAGTCAACTTTAAAACATATCCCAGCAAATCTACAGACTTTAAAGAACATTCAAAATGTTTAGGGGTCCAACCTTTTCCATACCTCCTACCCACAAAAATCTGTTACTTAGAACAAACAAAAAATACCCAGGTTGACATCAGACTTCCTAGCAGCAAAATACAAAAAGAATAACAAGGAGAGTAGTATTTTAAAGACACTCAAGTGTATGCAAGACACAACAAGTATTTTACAACCAAGCCAGCCAAGCTATCCTTCAGGTATCAAGGCTGTAAAAAATAAATATGCAAGAACTCAGAGAATATCACACTTACAAGACTTTCCTGGGGAATCTAACAGAAGATAAGCTTCATCCACCTAAGAGATGACTGGGGTCATTTTCATTTTTGGCAAAAGAACTGATGGTGAGAATTGAATGTTTAATTGAGAATCTAAGACTAAAACAAAGGTGGTGACAAGCGTTGCAGAATATACATTATATTCTGACAAACAAATACAACTGAAAATGAAGGAGGAGGGAGAAAAGTTGAATAATAAATATTGTATGGGAAAGAAGTAGAAATCGAAGGATGCAATAAGCTGACAAACCAAATCACGGAAGCTTGAATAAGGAAAAAGGAGACCAAGGACATTGCTAAAAAGTATTACTATGAAGGTAATCACTAGAACAAACACGTGAAATGTTCTGAATACCAAGATAATTTTCTTCCTTTCTTTTTTTTTTTTTTTTTTGAGACAAAGTCTCACTCTGTCACCCAGGCTGGAATGCAGTGGCACAATCTCGGCTCACTGCAACCTCCGCCTCCTGGGTTCAAGTGATTCTTCTGCGTCAGCCTCCCGAGTAGCTGGGATTACAGGCACCCGCCACCACACCCGGTTAATTTTTTTTGTATTTTTTAGTAGAGACGGGGTTTCACCATGTTGGCCAGGCTAGTCTCAAACTCCTGACCTCAGGTGATCCACCCACCTTGGCCTCCCAAAGTGCTGGGATTACAGGCATGAGCCACTGCGCCCAGCTGAGAATTTTTAAAAACAGACTACAAAGTGCAGCAAATACAATAAACACAGTAAAAATCTAATATGATGGAGTTGAGACCAAACATACCAGTCATACCAGTAGGCAACTCTTCTATCAAAAGAAAATGATGTTCAAATTGGCTAACAAAGCAACACTAGTTTTGCACTAGGTACAAAGAAATACAAAGTGATTTAATGTGAAAACCAAGAGACAGGCAAAGGAACCCCAGAGAGGTGGTATGGTGCATGTGTACTGCACATGTGCATGTATAGCTATCTTTATCAGGGTTATACTTATTTATAAGAAGTACTTTTATGTTTTTGTTTCTCTGTGGTCCAGAATAATTTATGTAGCTCTGGTCTTTGAAGGTTTTGTGGAATTCCCATGTGAAGTTTGTGGGCACTATTGCTTTTTTTGTAGCAAATCTTTGATACTTTTCTCTGTTTCTTCTATGGAAGTCAATTTTGGAAAACTGTATTTACCTAGATTTTCCATTTCGCCAAGGTTTTCAAATTTATCAAAAGTTATGCCTAGCAGTCTCATTAATTTTTTTCAAAGAACCAGGATTTCGATTTATTGGTGCTACATTTTTCCGTTTTCTACCTCAATTTCCGTAGGCTTTCTATGGGTTTACTTTGTTATTTTCTAGCTTTCATAGTGGAGATTTTAATTCACTTATTTTCATTGTTTCGTTTTTATTTATATAAGTAATGGAATGCTATAAGTCTGATGGGAATATGTCAGAGGGACGCATGAGCCAACTTCCAGTGGCTCTGACTGGCCAAATGTGAGACAATTTGAACATCAAAAAGAGTAACAACAGTAATGGATTATGACACACTGAATGGAAAAAACAAAACAAAACCATGAGTCCACGGTGATATTTTTTAAAAACCAGGTGTGGAATGGAGGGAGGAAAAGCCTTCTTTACAGAAGAATGACAGTAGTTGTAAAAAGAGCAAAGGATTGACACATTTGCAAAGAAATGCCCTTCAGATTATTTATTAATTATAATGAAAGAAATATAGTCACTACCTCAGCCAAGTGATCAAACATAAAATTACTGACAGAGGAACAAAGTAATGTCATATGCTTCCTGATATTTTGTACTAAGAAAGACATGTGTCACCTCCATAGAATCTTGCCAAAAATATTGAACCTCGATCCAATTATGAGAAAACATGAGATGAATCCAAATTGAGGGGTATGCTACAAAATAACTGTCCTGGGTTCTTAAAAATGTCAGTGTCAGGAAGAAATGGAAGGAAGTGTTAGGGAAACTGGTCTAGCTTAAAGGAGACTACAGAGATCTGAAAATGAAATGCCATGTACATTAGAATATGGTGTTAATGTTAAAATTCTTGAGCGTGTTCATTGTTTTGTGGTTCTGTTAAAGTGTTCATTCTTATGAGGTGCCTCCTGACTTAGGAATGAAATGTCGTGATAGCTGCAGCTTTTTTTTTTTTTTAATCTGCAACTTTTGATACTCATCAAAAAAATGTAAGTTTTTTTATAGGGAGGGAGAGAAAATATGGCAAATGTTAACAGTTGGTGAATTTAAGGAAGAAGATACATGGGTTTTATTGTACTATTGTTTCAACTTTTATGTCAGTTTGAAATTTACTTTAAAAGTTGGTACAAGAAAATAATAGTTTCTCCTAAAGAAAAATAACTTATATAGAAAATTTACTAGGCTTAGGAAATTCAAGGCATTTTTCTCCATAAAGTATTTTTCTGTTCACTGCTAGGGGCCAGTCTTTCCATCAGATTCATGAAGGACCCCCGCCCCATCCTGCCCCAGGCCTTATTCCACTGACTGTTTTCTCCCAGCTCCTTCCCTTCTTATACACTGAAGACACATTAGTCTTCCCCCGCCCCCGCCCCGCCACCGCCTTTGTTCATTCTGAACAGTCCAGTTCCTTTTTTTCCCCCTTGTGCAAACGAGCAAGCCTGCTCAAGCGCTTTCCCTGACACTGACAGTAATAGCTGTGCTGAAGATGAGGCGGGAGCACTGGGGAGGGGGCTTTCCTTTCAGCTTTTAGGATTGGCCAGGCAAGTTAACAATAGGCCCCTTCTATTTAGGATGAGGGACTGGAAAGGAAAAAGAGAGGAACTCATGCTGATTTTCTGTCGACTAGATCCAGATGCCAGGATGCCTTCTTTCCCTCCCTGAGCTTTAGTCTCCGTCAGCATTGCACTCCCAAAAGGTCATTCACGTACGTGGCCTTGAAATGATCTGACTGCTAAGGTCCAGGGTTTACTGTCCATAACAGAGTTTCCCTTTGTCTCATTCTCCCCATCCTGGCAGAGAAAGGGACTCTCACCCTGCCTTTTGCACTAATTGGCGGAATGCCCACAGCCTGGTCTGAAAGTCTCCTCTCTCCCTTTCAGATGACCCAGCAGATGGCTGGGATGAACTTCTATGGAGCCAATGGCATGATGAACTATGGACAGTCAATGAGTGGCGGAAATGGACAGGCAGCAAATCAGACTCTCAGTCCTCAGATGTGGAAATAAAAACAAAACACCTGTATGGCTGCCATTCTCTTCAGCCCTCGCTCTCCCCTTTCCACAGCCTCCACCCCTGACCCCCATCCTCTTTTCCTACCTCTCTGTTTGGTTTAGAAATTGCTCAATAAGTCATTTGGGGTTTGGCATCCTGCCCAGCCACTTCCCAAACATGAAGACCTCTCTGTTGCTTTATGTTGTACATGCCCCATAGCCATCCCAACGTCCTCCCCAGTCCTCTCCTGGCACCAGCACCTTAGAAGTTGTTGGCAGAAGGCACTTAAACTGTGGGAGAAGTGTGCACACCTTTGAGTCCCTTCCCTCAAGGTTAAAGCTCCTGTCAGACTCTCAGAAGGGTCTGTGGGTGTTGTATATTAGGCAAACAGGGGAAAGCTTAGAGGTCCTTCTATATGTGTTAATAAGCTGTTTCTAAGTGTTTAAATTTGAAAAGCATCATGTTCTCATGATTTATGGGAATGAAGCAAGTACTGAAATCAAATTAAATACTCCCTGGGTCCTGGGTCAGTTTGACCCTAGCCCTGGGGTGAGGCAAGCCCCCTCCTATGAGGATGAGCAAAAATACTACTCTCTTCGCCCTGAGTTGCTTTCTGGATCTGGGGCTTCAGGACTTGCTGCTTCAGTCAGCCTTTATTAGCACCAAAGACTTTATGAAGATCCCACACACAGACACACATCCCTTCCCGCCTCCCCCCTGCCTTCAGTAGGATCTGGCTCCGTGGCTGGAGGACCAACCCCTATAGTGGGAATGCAGAGCTTAACGTGTACTGCTTGTGTGTGTGCGTGAGTGTGTGTGTGTGTATGAGTGTGTGTTCCGCCTCCCACCCTCTCCCCATCTGCTCTGGGTATTTTTGTTTTTGTTTAGTTTTAGGTTTACAACAGAGAGGAATTAATTTATCAGCAGCCTAAAACTGTTGTGTTTTTCTTATGGTTTAAAAAACGCCATGTCATTGATAACTCCCTTTCTCCCTTCCCTTCTCCCGGTCTGCTGATCACTCTTTCATGCCTGTGTATCCAGGGTGCTCTGTTTCCCCACCGTTCCCAGGTGTACGAGGCAGAGGGCCGGGACAGCTTTCCTCTCAGTCATTGTTCACCCCACTTGAAAATTCAGACAAGAAAACTTTGCTTAAAAGATTTCATGTGTGGGAACCACAGTTCCTGGCTGCCTTTCTCCTGTGTATGTGTAAATTCCTTAATAAATATTGCAGGGAAGGACTGTTTGCTTGGCCATTACTGTGCGTCACTCTTGGAGGAGGGTGCGTTACACTTAGGTTTTCTGTTTTCCAAAGGCAATTGTTTCACTTCCTGTATTTTAGAAAATTCTGTACTTCTCATACCCAAGGGTGAGGCCCAGGCTCCAGCAGTCAGAAAGGGGGCCTCTCTCCACTGGCATCTAGAGCTGTGAGCTGAGAGAACTCCAGAGATCAGCACCTTCTAGAGTCACAGAGCATCAGAGCGGCATGCTTTCCCCCCACAGGTGGAGAAACTGAGACACGGAGAAAGGACATGGTTGGCAAATGTCCACTAGAGAACCCTGGGCAGAACCGGCAGTAGCCTCCAAGTGTCTGGATTTCCAGCCCCTTGTTCTTTCCCTATACCATGGCAATTAAGTAGTGAGTTGAAATTCCTCTCTGCCAAGAGAGCAGTAGCTTTGGCTGGTAAAGGTAACTCACCCCTCTCTGAGCTATCAGAACTGGACCTTCCGTATCAGTGTCAGGAATTAGGACACTCAATCCTGGGGGCAGTACGAAATACAAAAGGCCGAAGACCATCTTTAGTGCATTTCCTGCTCCCTTTGACTCCTTTTCTGCTCTCAACAAATGTGATCCTTGGACCCTTCCTCCCTTCTTTCCTTTGAGTACACCCTTTGAGTCCTTAAAGATGTAAGTGGGAGGACAGCACAGTGACTAGGAAAGTTGGCTCTGGGTCAGGCTGCCAGTGTTCCTATCCCTTCCTACGCTGGGACCTGAGCAAATTACTGAACTCCTGTGTCCAGGTAAAATGGGGACAATGGTAATACTTAGGATAGTAAGAAGCAGTTCCTGTGGTATATTTAGCACACTACTGGGCACTTACTAAGCACTCAGATATTAGCAGGTATTACGTGCCAGATCTGTGTTAGGCAGTAGCTCATTTGACAAACATTTAATAAGTGTCAGTAATGTGCCAAAGAATGTTTTAGGCTCTAGAGACAAAGCAGTGAATAAAAACTGTCCAATCTCATAGGATAGTGTGGTAGGAGAAATGCATAATAAACAAATAGATTTAATTCAGACAGTATAAGACAAGGGGAGAGAGTGGGCACGGGGCCATTTGGATGGAGTGGTCAGGAGAAGGTTACATTTGGACTGAGACCTAAATAAGCAGCCAGTCCGTAGAGATCTGGAAAGAGTTGGAAATAGTTTGGGGGCATCAGTTTGGGAATCATGAGGGTACGGGTGTTATGTAAAGCTATGAGACCGGTTGAAGTCACTTGAGAAAATAGAAGAGAACTGAGTCTTGGAACCCATCAGCATTTAGAGTTTGGGAAGGATAAATAGATGAATCTGAGATAGTTTCTGCTTTTAAGAAGCTCATGGTCTCATGGGGCAGCAAATTTATAATTTCTTTTTTTCGTTTTGTTTTTGAGACAGGGTCTCGCTCTGTCGCCCAAGCTGGAGTGCAGTGGTGTGATCATGGCTCACTGCAGCCTTGACCTCCTGGGCTTAAGCTATCCTCCAACTTCAGCCTCCCCAAGTAGCTGGGGCCAAAGGCGTGCACCACCACACTGGGCTAATTTTTTTTGGAGAGACAGGGTCTCCCTATGTTGCCTAAGCTGGTCTCAAGCTCCTGGGCTCAAGTGATCCTCCCACATCGTCCCCCCATAGTGCTGGGATTACAGGCATGAGCCACTGTGTCCGGCCTGTAATTTCCTATGCAGGTGGATTATGGGAGCTGAGGTGAGGGGGGACTTAGCCCAGTCAGGAAAACTTCCTGAAGAGAGTGGCACTTGAGCTGAGCCTTAAAGGGAGAAGTAACAGTTAACCAGTGAATTGGTGTGGAGAAGAATATTCCAGACAAATAGTGTTATGTGAATAAAGATACAGAAACCTACAAGAGCATGGAACATTTTGGGAGGCACAAACGTATGTCTAGGGTATGATGGGAGTGTGGTGTGCTGTGGGAGAGGTGGAGCTGGACCAGGTCAGGGGCCTTTCCACACCCTATGAAGGAGTTTAGCCTGAAGTATGAGTGGTGGAGAGACTTGGTAGGTTTGCGTTTTAGGTAGCTCACTCTTGCATCACTGTGAACAGCACGTTTGAGGAAGCAAGACCAGAGCTAGGGAACCAGAGATGGGAAGAGCTGACCTAGGGCCGTGGTGGCAGGGGTAGGGGAGAATGGAGGGGCTTAGAATAGCAGTTAGTGATTGATCATGAGGCATGTGAGATGCTAAAAGGTGTTCCACAGAAATGCTAAACTAAGCATGGAAAAGACTGTTATATCACCTCATATCTAGAATATAATATCTACATAGTAATCTCTTTGAAAAGTCCTGTAGTAGACTTTTTTCATAGTTTTCTAGCACTTACCAACACTTATTTTACCACGGAGTCAATTTTTCTGGTATATCTAATAACCATAGAATACTATTTGTGGGAAAAGCAACCAGAAGAATACTTTAGGACAGGAGTGTCCTATCTTTTGGCTTCCCTGGGCCACATTGGAAGAAGAACTGTCTTGGGCCACACATAAAATACTGATAAAATGTGATATCTGATGAGCTAAAAAAAAAAAATCGTAATTTTTTTGTTGTTTGTTTTGTTTGCCTGTTTTGTAGAGATGGAGTCTCACTCTGTCACCCAGGCTGGCTCTTGGCTCACTGCAACCTCTGCCTCCTGGGTTCAAGCAATTCTGCCTCAGCCTCCCGAGTAGCTGAGACTACAGGTGCATGCCGCCACACCCAGCTAATTTCTTTTGTATTTTAGTAGAGACGGGGTTTCACCGTGTTGCCCAGGCTGATCTTGAACTCCTGAGCTCAGGTAATCCGCCCACTTCAGCCTCCCAAGGTGCTAGGATTACAGGTGTGAGCCACCACCCCTGGCCCTCATAATGTTTTACGAATTTGTGTTGGTCCTCATTCAAAGCCATCCTGGGCCGAATGCGGACTGTGGGCCGAGGGCTAGACAAGGTGCTTTAGGAGGTAGAGTTGGGAGGTGTCAGTATTGGACAAGATGTGGGATGGAGAGAGAGGAAGCAGTCAAATCTCCCATGTTTCTAGATTATGTCAAAGAATTTACAGAAGGAAGAGAAGCTGGCTTTTCTCTCTAGGAGGGAAGAAGTAGATAATTAGGAGTTTGGTTTTAGGCTTGTTGAAATTGGATTGCCTGTGTTATATCCAGGTCTGGTTGACCAGCTGGAAATTGGATTTAAGAGTCTGAAGTTCAAGGAAGAGGTCAGGCTGGAGAAATTAATTTGTGAGTTAGCCCATGGGGTGGTAATTGATACCATAGGAGATGGATAGGAATCACATAGGGTGGGTTTGTAAAATAACAGCAGTGGGCTGGGACAATTTGTGGGGAAATATTTATTTTTAATAGAAGCTAAGGAGGAAAGGCCCAAGAAGGAGAGGAGATGGAACGGGGATGAGGAGGAATAGTCAGAAAGTTATGCAAAACAAAACAAAACTCTAGGAAAGTACAATGTCAAGGAACCCTAGGAACTATAATATCTAGAAAAAGGGATGATCGCAAACATCAAATCAGCAGGAAAATCTAGTGAGATAAGGATTGGTAAAAGGACTACTGAATTTAGCATTTGGAAACTGTAAACTTCAGTTGGAGTGGTAGCGCCAGAAACCAGATTATAGCGAGTTGAAGGGTGAATTGAAGCAGTTGTAAAGTAGAGAAACAGGCTCTGTAAAATTAAATATACCTGGTAAGATTTAAGGGTTACCCTTAAGAATAGAAATAGAGCCGGGCGCGGTGGCTCACTCCTGTAATCCCAGCACTTTGGGAGGCCGAGGCGGGCAGATCATGAGGTCAGGAGATCGAGAAGATCCTGGCTAACACGGTGAAACACGTCTCTACTAAGAATACAAAAAATTAGCCGGGCACCTGCAGTTCTAGCTATTCGGGAGGCTGAGGCAGGAGAATGGCGTGAACCCAGGAGGCGGAGCTTGCAGTGAGCCGAGATCACACCACTGCACTCCAGCCTGGGAGACAGCGAGACTCCGTCTCAAAAAATAAATAAATAAATAAAAATTAAAAAAAAAAAAGAATAGAAATAGAGTATGTAAATTCCAAATCAATAAAGAGGAAAAAATTAGAATAAGAAAATGCAAATAAGCAAAAATATCAACCATCCTCCTATCCCCCAAGAAAAAGGCAGGGTTAAGAATTTATTTGTTTTAAAAAAAAAAAAGCTCAGAAAAGTGGACCAAACTTAACTGAAAAGTCATATGATTGAAACAAGTCTAAATACAAAAAATACAATGTAGATGGAATAAATAGAGTTGGATTACTGACATTGTCAGATTGCCGTGTGTGGTGGTCACGCCTGTAATCCCAGCATTTTGGGAGACCGAGGCGGGTGGATCATGAAGTCAGAGGTTTGAGATCATCCTGGCCAAGATGGTGAAACCCCGTCTCTACTAAAAATACAAAAATTAGCCAGGTGTGGTGGCAGGTACCTGTAGTCCCAGCTACTCGGGAGGCTGAGACAGGAGAATTGCTGGAACCCGGGAGACGGAGGTTGCAGTGAGCCAAGATCACGCCATTGCACTCCAGCCTGGGCAACAAGAGCGAAACTACTTCATAAATAAATAAATAAATGTAAACACATAAAAAAGGTCGGGTCTGTAATCCCAGCACTTTGGGAGGCCGAGGCAGGCAGATCACAAGGTCAAGAGATTGAGAACATCCTGGCTATGTCCAACATGGTGAAACCCCATCTCTACAAAAATTATGAAAATTAGCTGGGCGCGATGGTGCGCTCCTGTAGTCCCAGCTACTCAGGATGCTGAGGCAGGAGAATCGCTTGAACCTGGGAGGCGGAGGTTGCAGTGAGCTGATATCACCCCACTGCACTCCGGCCTGGTGAAAAAAAGAAGGCTGGGCACGGTGGCTCAAACCTGTAATCCCAGCACTTTGGGAGGCAGAGGCAGGCAGATCATGAGGTCGAGAGATCCAGACCATGCTGGCCAACATGGTGAAACCCTGTTGGGTTTCCAAGATTGTCATGGCTAGTCTAGGTCCTTTGTATTTCCATACACATTTTGGAATCGGCTTTTCTTTTTACTTTTTTTTTTTTTTTGAGACACAAAAATTTTTTTGAGACTCTGTCTCATAAAAAAACACAAAAATTAGCTGGACGGGGTGGCGTGTGCCTGTAGTCCCAGTTACTCGGGAGGCTGAGGCAGGAGAATCACTTGAACCTGGGAAGCAGAGGTTGCAGTGAGCCAAGATCTCGCCACTGCACTCCAGCCTGGGTGACAGAGTGAGACTCTGTCTCCAAATAAAATACAATAATAAAATAAAATGAAACAAAATCCATTCCTAGCAGGGTGCAGTGGTTCACATCTGTAATCCCAGCACTTTGGGGGGGCTGAGGCAGGCCGATCACTTGAGTCTTAGGAGTTTGAGACCAGCCTGGGCATCGTGGCGAAAACTGTTCTCTACAGAAAATTAGCTGAGTGTGGTAGCATGTGCCTGTGGTCCCAGCTCCTTGGGAGGCTAAGGTGGGAGGATTGCTTGAGCCCAGAGGTCGAGGCTGCAGTGAGCCAAGATCTCCCCACTGCATTCCGACCTGAGTGACAGAGTGAGACCCTATCTCAAATAAAATAAAATAAAATAGAATAGAATAAAATCCATTCCTTCTGGCATCTCAGACTTTTCTTTAAGATCACTTTCCTTCACCTGAAGTATATCCTTTGGAAGTTTCTTTAGTGAAGGTCTCTTTGAGTCATTCCTGAAGTACTAAAAATACAAGAATAGGAAATGTTTAAAATATAAGAATGGAACAAGGAAGATCAGGCAAATGCTAACCAAAAGTAAATGGGGATCCTTTATATCATTTATATTTATATTTTCAAAATAGACTTTCAGACAAAAAGCATTACAGGTTGAGCATCTTAGCCTGAAAATGCAAAATCCGAAATGCTCAAAATATCAGCACTGACACGACACCACAAGTGAAAAATACCACAACTGACCTCATGTGATGGGGTCACAATCAAAACTTTGTTTCATGCACAAAATTATTTAAAACATTGTATAAAATTACCTTCAGTCTATTAGTATAGGGTGTATATGAAATAAATGAATTTTATATTTAGACTTGGGTCCTGTTCCCAAGATATCTCATTATGTTTATATAAATATTCCTAAATGTGAAAAAATCCAAAATCTGAAACACTCTGGTTCCAAGCATTTTGGATAAGGGGTACTCACCCTGTAATAGAAAGAGGACAGAACTATATGTTATAATAAAAGGTTCATTTCACAAGGAAAATATTACCATTCTAAACCAGTATACATTCTTAAAGCCTCAAAGTACAAATTTATAGAACTTCATGGAAAAAGAATCCATCATCAGTGTGTGAAAATTCTCCACCAATTTGTGTGTGTGTGTGTGTGTGTGTGTGTATGTTCGTGTGTGTGTGTGTGTGTATGTTCGTATGTGTGTGTGGAAATTGAAAAGCTGATTCCTTGCTGGGTGCAGTGGCTCACATCTGTAATCCCAGCACTTTGGGAGGCCAAGGCAGGCAGATCACGAGGTCAGGAGTTCGAGACCAGTCTGGCCAACATACTGAAACCCTGTCTCTACCAAAAATACAAAAAATTAGCCGGGTGTGGTGGTGTGTGCATGTAATCCCAGCTACTCAGGCGCCTGAGGCAGGAGAATTGCGTGAACCCGGGAGGCGGAGGTTGCAGTGAGCTGAGATAGTGCCACTGCACTCCAGCCTGGGCAACAGAACAAGACTCTGTCTCAAAAAAAAAAAAAAAAAAGAAAAAAAGCTGATTACAAAACGTATATGGAAATACAAAGGACCCAGACTAGCCATGACAATCTTGGAAAAAGAAAGAAAAAATTTGGGCCAGGCATGGTGGCTCACACCTGTAATCCCAGCACTTTGGGAGGCTGAGGCGGGTGGTTCACCTGAGGTCAGGAGTTCAAGACCAGGCTGACCAACATGGAGAAACCCCATCTCTACTAAAAATACAAAATTAGCTGGGCGTGGTGGCACATGCCTGTAATCCCAGCTACTCGGGAGGCTGAGGCAGGAGAATGGCTTGAACCTGGGAGATGGAGGTTGTGGTGAGCCAAGATGTTGCCATTGCACTCCAGCCTGGGCAACAAGAGTGAAACTCCATCTCAAAATAAATAAATAAATAAATAAATAAATAAATTTGAAGGGATTACACTACCAGATTTTAAGATTTCTTATGCAACTACAGTAATTAAGACAGTGTGGAATCAGTGCAGGATAGACATATAAACCGCTGGAATAGAACACAGGAGCTGGAAACAGCCCCAGGCACATATTGATTTATGAAGGTGGCAATGCAATGCAGTGGATTAAGGGTAGTCTTTTAAAGAACGGACACTGGGACGTTAGAGAAAAAGTGAAAGTTGACCCCTACCTCATACCATAACAGTAAATGAATTCTAGGCCGGGCACAGTGGCTCACGCCTGTAATCGCAGCACTCTGGGAGTCCAAGGAAGGTGGATCACTTGAAGCCAGGAATTAGAGACCAGCCTGGCCAACATGGTGAAACCATGTCTCTACTAAAAATACAAAAATTAGCCAGGCGTGGTAGCACGTGCCTGTTATCCTGGCTACTCAGGAAGCTGAGGCAAAAGGATCGTTTGTACCCAGGAAGCAGAGGTTGCAGTGAGCTGAGATCATGCCACTGCACTCCAGCCTGGGCAAGACAGCGAGACTCCATCTCAATAAATCAATAAAATACATAAATAAATAAATTCTACATAGATTGAAGATCTAGTGTGAAACTTAAAAAAATTAAGCTCCTAAAAGATAATAGTAGAGAATATCTTCATGTCCATGTGGAGAAGCCTTAGGAGTTAAAAAGCACTAATCATAAAGGAAAGATTGATAAAGTTGATTAGATTAAAATTAAGAACTATTTATGATTCCATTAAGAGAGCAGAAAGGCTTGCCACAGAGTAAGATAAGATATTTGAAATGCATATGATAAAGGCATTGTATCCAGAATATATGAAGAATGCCAGCAAAATAAGAAAAAGACATATTAGAAAAATATGCAACGGAGACCAGAATAAGCACTTCAAGCAGACTAACTATGAAGACTAACTTTGAAGAATGACTAACATTGAAGAAATGCTGAATCTCATTAGTAGTTGGGGAAATTAAAACAAAACAAAACAAAACAAAACAAAACAGGAGACATCATGAAATACCTACCAGAATGGCTAAAATAAAAGATCATTCTAAGTGTTGACAAGAATGTGGAGCAACAGAAACTAGTAGGAGTGTAAATTGACATGACTACTTGGAGAATGGTTTAATAGTATCATTTGCTAGATAGACAAACCTATGACCCAACAATTCTACTCATAGGTATATACCAAATGGAAATATATGTACTTGAGCATTAAAAGATATGCACAAGAATGTTCTGGAAGCATTCATAATAGCTCCAAACTGGAAACAATCCAAATGCCCATCAGCAGGAAAATGCATAGATTATAGTATATTCCTACAATAGAATACTACACAGCAATGGGAATGATCAAACTACAGTTTGCCAGGCGCGGTGGCTAAACATAGGACATTAAATCCAAAATCTGTGGTAGGTGCATTCATATCAGTAAATACCACCAGACCTTAAATGACATCTTTCCCTTCTTGATTGAACACTCAATATTTTCCTAAGAATTCCTCATGTTTTTTTCGATGACTGTGTAAGTCTCCTCCTCTGTGTGCTTCCTCTTTGCTTCCTAGTGTGATATGTTATACCCAAAATAAACTGAGACATTCTTAACAAAAATATTTAACCTCAACCTAATCAAGTTTCTAGATGTAACTTCCAGCTTCTAGGAAGATTAAAAAACATTTTTTTTTTTTTTTTGAGACAGAGTCTTGCTCTGTGGCCCAGGCTGGAAGTGCAGTGGGGCAATCTCAGTTCTTACAACCTCTGCCTCCCGGGTTCAAGCAATTCTCCTGCCTCAGCCTCCTGAGTAGCTGGTACTACAGGCTTCCGCCACCACGCCTGGCTAATTTTTGTATTTTTAGTAGAGACCAGGTTTCACCATGTTGGCCAGGCTGGTCTCAAACTCCTGACCTCAAGCAATCCACCCACCTCAGCCTTCCAAAGTGCTGGGATTACAGGCATGAGCCACCGCACCCAGCCTGCACCCTTAAATTTTATATCACCTAAAATCTGTCCATTTTCAATTTTGCCATTTATCCCAAGAAAGTCTTTTGATGCTTTTCTTTTTAAACCAAGATACAGTCTAGCTTTATGCATTGCATTTGGTTATTATGTCTATTTGGTTTCCTTTAGTTTGGAACAGTGCCTCTCACTTTTTTTTTTTTTCTCGTGAGAATGACTTTTTGAAGGGCTCAAGCCAATTAGTTGGTAGACAGTTCTATGTTTTTAATCTTCCTAGAAGCTGGAAGTTAGGTCTAGAAACTTGATTAGGTTGAAGTTAAATATTTTTCTCAAGAATGTATCAGTTTATTTTGGGTACATCATATCACACTAGGAAGCAAACAGGAAGCACACAGAGGAGGAGACTTATGCAGTCATCAGAAAAAACATGAGGAATTCTTATGAAAATACTGAGTGTTCAATCGAGAAGAGAAAGGTGTCATTTAAGGTCTGGCTGTATTTATTGATACGAATGCACCTACCACAGATTTTGGATTTCATGTCCTATGTTTAGCAGCTGGGCATGTTTTTCATAGGGAAAGCTGAACATAATATTGGCCTATCTATTCTAAAAGCTGAGATGACAGAAATGCCTTTGTGTAATGTGGAGAAAGGAATTTAAGAAGAATTCTGGAACAAATTACCAAATATGTTATCCCTTTTCCCAACCCATCCCTGCCTGGCAGGATCCTGAAGACATTCCCTTTACCAAAGTCTTGAAGCATACTTTATTCACAAGAGTACTGGGAGCATTACAACATGACTTAGTAGTTCATAAAATGTTGGTGAAGTGTATTTCCTTGTCTCTTTTTTTTTGAGACAGAGTCTCACTCTGTCTCAGTCTGTCACCCAGACTGAAGTGCAGTAACTCACTGCACCCTCAAACTCCTGAGGCTTAAGGGATCCTCCTGCCTCAGTCTCCCAAGTAGCTGGGACTACAGGTGTGGGACTACATGCCCATGCCCACGTATTTCCTATTTTCAGTGTAATTGTAATGATTCCAGCAGTAGCCTTTAACGATGACCCCCCATGCAATTTATGGTATTCAAAATGGATACCAAGATCTTTGCAGGTGGTTAATTGGAGATAGGGTCCTAGATAAATGGCAGATCACTGAAGCCCTACTTGATCTGTATAGCCAAAAATTTCTCCAGGTTTGGAGGCAGATATCAAGACAGAAATGCAGCTCTGGATTCTCTTGCTAGACTTAAGCTAGTTTACAGATTCAGAGCCTATTCAATAATGGAGAGGCCATGTATCCTGAGGAAGGAGCTTGTAAAAGTGCTGCCAGTACAGAATGTGTATCATTACCATTTTATGGATAAATGTGTATTACCATTTTGTCTGGATAACTGTACACTAGGGAAACTACACAAACACTTGGGCAACAAGTGGATACTAGCTGTTAGTTATTACTAATTCCCAGATACCCACAATGTCATTGTCCACTTCTCAGAGTTCATATGGGGACCAGGTAATGATGGAGTTTTGTTTTGTTTTATCCGTCTGTTTGTTTGTTTTGAGACGGAGTCTCGCACCATCGCCCAAGCTAGAGTGCAGTGGTGCATTCTTGGCTCACTGCAGTCTCTGCCTCCCAGGTTCAAGTGATTCTCCTGCCTCAACCTCCCCAGTAGCTAGGATTACAAGTGTGCGCCACCACGCCTGGCTAATTTTTGTAGTTTTAGTAGAGACCAGGTTTTGCCATGTTGGTCAGGTTGGTCTCGAACCCCTGACCTTAGGTGACCCACCTGCCTTGGCCTCCCAAAGTGCTGGGATTACAGGTATTAGCCTCTGCACCTGGCCATGATGGAGTTTTTACCTAAGTCAGCCGCACCATTGGTCCAGTGGAAACTTAAACCTCTCCTAACATAGTTCCCCAAGTTCCAGAGCATCAGTTGGAAAAGATGTTCTTAGCACGTGATAGAATCCCCACACTGGCTTGCTCACCTGTGAAGTAAAGCCTGTTAAGAAAGGAACGGATTCATTGAGTCTTCTATAGTTGATAGAAAGAAAAAAAAAAAAAAAAGAAAGCAATGGAGATGAGGAAGCTCCTGGAGCTCTTCCACATCAAAACAATAAATGGATCTGGTACTGTATCTCTAGGGGAATTGCAGGGATTAAAAGACTTCACAGATAGTGGTGATTGCTATCCCATGGCCTTTTAACTTGTCAGTCTAGCTGGTGCAGAAGATGGGTGGGTTTGGGAGAATAACAGTAAATTATCCTTAACTTCATGAAGAGAAGATACCCATTGCCATTGCTGTTACAGAAGTCATTTCCTATTGAATCAAATCAGGATAGTGTGGGACACCTGATATACAGCTATTAACATGACAGTTTGGGTGGGGAACAGTCTATCCTGATAAAAATATCAGAAGCAGTTTGCTTCCACTTGGTAGAAAAGCAGTGTGATTTCCATCCCATCTGGGGAATATGTCAGCTCTTGGATCTATGCCATAATTTAGTCTATGGAGGCTTTGGTTGTCTCACTGTGGTATATGGTATTTTCCATAGATGGCCACATCAATATATGTCCCATCCTTCATACTCATGATGTGACATTGGCATTCTTCCACTGAAACGTGGAGTCTATTTTCTCTCCCCTTGAGCATGAGTGGACCTTTGTAACTGCCTTGGTCAATAGAATGCAGCAACTATGACACTGCATGACTTCTGAGGCTAGGCTATAAAAGGGCAGTATGGCTTCTTCCTGCCTCTCTGGCCCAGGACTCTTGCCTTTTTTTTTTTTTTTCTGAGACAGAGTTCCACTCTTGTCGCCCAGGCTGAAGTGCAATGGCACAATCTCAGCTCACTGCAACCTCTGCTTCCCGGGTTCAAGCCATTCTCCTGCCTCAGCCTCCTAAGTAGCTGGAATTACAGGCGCCTGCCACCACACCCAGCTGATTTTTTTTTTTTTTTTTTTTTTTTTTAGCAGAGATGAGGTTTCACCAGGCTGGTCTCAAACTCCTGACCTCAGGTGATCCACTCACCTCGGCCTCCCAAAGTGCTGGAATTATAGTGTGAGCCATCGCGCCCAGCCTGACTCTTGCCTTTGAACCCAGCCACCAGATTCTAAGAGAGCCCAGACCACATGGAGAGGTCATGTGTGGGTGTTCTGGCCAACAGCTCTAGTAAGGCCAAGATGGTAATGAGTAAGCTTTCAGATTATTCCAGCTCTTTGCCTTCGAGTCTTCCAGCTAGGCTTCCAACATCACGGAGCAAAGACAAGCTGTCTGCACTGTACCCTGTCTAATTCCTGACTCATGGAAACTGGGAGAGATAATAAATGATTATTATTTTAAGCAGGAAGTAATGGGCAAACTATAACATATCATAATCTATAAGGAGTCCTGTCACATCAATGACTAATTTTAGGCATGTTAAGATAACCCCTTTAAAGTGAGGGACAAGTTGCTGAACTTTTTATCCCTTTCTATTAAAAAAGAAGTACAGTACGTGGTGAGTCTTTTTTGTGTGTGAAGTACATGTGTCATATTCGAGTGTGTTGACTCAAACAATTTTTTGGACAACTTGCCTACTTCAAGTGGAGCACAGAATGATGGAAGTCTCTTCTTGTTTAGGCAACAGGCAGCTCTGCCCCAGCCCTTATGATTCAGTAGGTCAGTTGCAGATCTGGACGCTGTAGAGACTCTTACAAGCCCCAAAGAAAGAATCACAAAGGAGGCAACTATGGTTTTTGAAATGATGCCTTTTTTGGCGAGTAACTAGTTTTCCATCTGGCCCTGGGGAGATTGAACTGCAGATCATGACACTCTTGGTACCCTGCGACCAGAGCTGCCCATATGAATTGGGTGGTGATCTGTGCGTTCCTGGGGAAACCCCAGTGTCAGTGTGCTTAGGTCTTTTCTCTTAGGCCACCTGGAGTCACTGGAGACGTTTCTTCAAATTTGCTGCCCAGAGAGTGTAGATCTGGGTGGGAGTTCTGAAAAGGAGGTTGGGAGTCTTAAGTGTGTAAATTTTCATTTATCCTCACCCCATCCCATCCACCATTTTCAGCATAGTAACCTGTCTTCAGCTGTGCCTGGTGTCCTGCTGTTCAGAGATTCCTCTGTGTTATCCTCTCCTGAAACTACTGGTTCAGTCTTCTGCGGACGTAAAAGAACAACAGTCACCTACAGAGTAGTGGAGGGACGCTGGGAATATAACTGCTTCTTCAGCAGATTTGCCACCGGCATTCAATTTTTATTTTATTTTATTTTGTTTATTCATTTATTTGGAGACAGAGTGTCCCTCTGTCGCCCAGGCTGGAGTGCAGTGGCGCGATCTCGGCTCACTGCAGCCTCCACCTCCTGGGTTCAAGCGATTCTCCTGCCTCAGCCTCCCGAGTAGCTGGGACTACAGGCGCCCGCCACCACGCCCGGCTAATTTTTTGTGTGTTTTTAGTAGAGATGGGGTTTTACCATGTTAGCCAGGATGGTCTCGATCTCCTGACCTTGTGATCCACCCGCCTCGGCCTCCCAAAGTGCTGGGATTACAGGCGTGAGCCACTGCGCCCAGCCGTTTTTTGTGTTTTTAGTAGAGATGGGGTTTTGCCATGTTGCCCAGGCTGGTCTCAAACTCCTGAGCTCAGGCAATCTGCCCGCCTCAGCCTCCCAAAGTGCTAGGATTACAGGCATGAGCCACCGCGCCTGGCCTGTATTCTATTTTTAGCGTTGCTTTCACTCCGCCTTTTTAGAGGGTACTCCAGGCAACCTATTTCTCTGCTTTTCAGGATTCTGCAAGGGAAGTTGGGTTCCTCTTGGCCTTCCCCTCTGCCCACTTAGGATTCAGCCTTTTCAGGACTCATAAGTCCATCACCATTCATCTATTTGTTTTCCAGTTTCCAAAAGTTTTTGTTATTTTTCTTCTCTTCCACTCAATGTGTCCCTGTGGGTTCATGCCTCTGGCTTTAAATCCCTTTTTCTACAGTAATGATTTTTTATGAGGGAGCTAAATGCATATGTTCCAACTACTCCCTTTAAATAGAATTTAAGACAGAGACAGGGAGGAATAAAGGCCAGGGGAGGAGGCCCTTCTTTTGACAAGGAATTCAGTTTTCCAGGGAAGGGAATTGTAGACTGTAAGTCTCTCAAAGAAAAGGGCACCTGTGGGATGAGGGTGGGGACTGTCATCCTTGTGAAGCCCTACATCGTTGGGTACTTTCTCTTTAGGAAAGTCCAAGTTAACTACAGCTTTAATTCTGAATTTCCCTGATTCTCTCCTAAAATTAGCATAAAAACTGCAGTCTGGTTTATTAATTTTGTGGGAGCTTAAGGCAAGAAAGATGAGTGTGGCTTTGATCTGTCCCCTTGTCTCCCAGGAGAGAGAAGGGGTATTAGCTTTGAGTACCCATTCTGAGTGAAACCAGTAGCTGAAAAGTGACCCAAGATCCTGGAGGATTGTTCCAGAGAGGAGGACAAGAGAAGAACGATCACTTTCTGTTTACCCTCATGTGTTAGTGAAGGTTGTTCTTTGAAGAGAAAGGATTCCAGCAAAATTCTAGATAAAGTAGGGGTGGCAAGATGATCTATAACTGAATGAACTCACTGGAAGCAGAAACTCAGAACCAGAGGTGACTGTGACTCTGAAAGATGATTTCAATTATTGTGTATTTATGTCTTTAACTGTGTAATCGAAGTGTATTCTACATATAGGAAAGTATACAAATTATAAATGTATACCTTGATGAATTATCTGTTTATTCATTTTTAATGTGTACTGAGAGAAATGTAACTGGCACATTAAAGATGAAATTTCAAGGATGTCATTCCTTGGGATGAGGGTAGTGTAGGCTGGTAAGACATGATAACTCACCTTACAAGAACTCCATAACTTACAGGCTTATTGTTCATGCATTCAGTGACTGCCTGGTTTATGTTATCTCAGAAGCAGACCCTAAGACAAGGATTGCAGTGCAAATAGTTTATTTAGGAAACACAGGAAATACCAATAGGGAGAGGGGGAAATGAGATAGGAAAAGGAAGATAACCAATAAAGGATACACTTTGAAGTTAGCTACCATCGCAGGAGACTGGAGCTTAATCTCAGTGAAACTGGGAATCTGCAAAATACAATATTCAGAATTATGCCACCTAGTGGTGAGCAGACCAGGCATTCTCATACCAACTACCAAATGTCATTGGTTGAGGGCTGTTGGTGGGACTATGGTGGCATGGTCAGTAATAATTCTCAGATATTTGGGGCAGCCCAGCTCCTGGCAGAGAGATGCAGATACTGGCCTCCGGCATTTGCTGGAGGCACTGGAAGGTCTCAAGGATATGCACAGGGCAGAAACAGCATTGGCTACTCTAACTAAACCTTCCATGATACATGCTCAGAAGTATGGAAGTATAGATGATGCCGAGTGCTAGTGTGAATCCCTCCTGCATTGTTTTCAGCATTCTTCTGCTGGAAGTTGACAATCATTAGTTATGGAAAATATGTAGGAGGATATATAATTGCAAATTGGAACTGGACCTCACTGTCAGTATTGATAATGTTAATTTCCTTTTGATTCTATCATGAATCAGTGATGAAAATGGTATTTCTAAAGGATAAGGCTGGAGATTGTAATGGAAACGTGAACAGTGGTGGTGATTTGAATAAAGTTTACTGATTATGCACAGGAAGAACCTGGGCATGAAGGTTTAAGACAAATACCTAACAAAGCTGTTAAAATTGCCAATCATATAAGAGTGGGTCACTGAATTCTCTGCTTCTCAGTTCTATGAAGAGATGGGCAGTGATTTCAAGCAGCTTCTCGTTTTGTTCAGAAGCTCATTGGTTTTCCCTCAGAAGAATCCCTATTTATCTCTTCAAGATGCTAAAACATCTTCATCTTTCCGGATTACATACCCTTTGTAACAGCGCATGCCTAACTGGCACTGGCTATATCACGTGAACAATCTCAATTCAGTCCTGCAAGGCAAGGTTTAAACCAGTTTTCCACTTGAGAGATCAAGTGCCTTAAATTACCGTGTTGTGTAACTGGAGTTGTGGGGCATGCCTCTTTATAATGGTGAGTCAGGTTCCTTTTGCTTGAATGATATGATTATTAACTCATCTGAACTGAAATGATATGGTTATTAACTCCCTGAAACTGTATTTTTGAAGATGATGAAGAGACACTTAAATGACTTGATAAAATGTCTTCATTGGGCTGGGCGTGGTGGCTCACGCCTGTAATTCCAACACTTTGGGAGGCCGAGGTGGGTGGATCATGAAGTCAACAGATCGAGACCATCCTGGCCAACATGGTGAAACCCTGTCTCTACTAAAAATACAAAAATTAGCTGGGTGTGGTGGCGCACGCCTGTAGTCCCAGCTACTCAGGAGGCTGAGGCAGGAGACTCACTTGAACCTGGGAGGCGGAGGTTGCAGTGAGCCAAGATTGAGCCACTGCACTCCAGCCTGGCGACAGGGCAAGACTCCATCTCAAAAAAAAAAGTCTTCATTGGGGTTTTCAGAATCCAATGGCAGAGACGAGTAGATAAGGAGCTCTTTCCTCACTACCTTTGGAGACATGACCAAATAACTTGACACATTTTGAAGAACAGATTCTAGATATTGTATTAGATGTCCTATTGAAATACAGTTTATTAAACAAAAATTTCTCATAATTTTGATTAGTTTATAATTCCATCAGATAATACAGTTAAGTTTGTTGCCTCTACACACACTATGCATACTTATAAATTAGGTTTCCAGTGGTGAAAAATAGAAACATAGAAGCTCATCTTTTTTTTTTTTTTT
Source organism: Homo sapiens (assembly GCF_000001405.40). NCBI lineage: Eukaryota > Metazoa > Chordata > Mammalia > Primates > Hominidae > Homo > Homo sapiens. Next base: position 40,440,258 of record NC_000001.11, read on the forward strand.
TTTTTTGAGACAGGGTCTAGCCCAGGCTAGAGTGCAGTGGCGCAGTCAGTCTTGACTCACTGCAGCCTAGGCCTCCTGGGCTCAGGTGATCCTCCCACCTCAGCCTTCTAAGTAGCTGGGGCTACAGGCATGCGCCACCATTCCTGGATAATTTTGTTTATTTTTTAAACTTAATTGAATTTAAATTTTTTGAGACGAAGTTTTGCTCTTGTTGCTCAGGCTGGAGTGCAATGGCGCAATCTCGGCTCACCGCAACCTCTGCCTCCCTGGTTCAAGCAATTCTCCTGCCTCAGCCTCCTGAGTAGCTGCGATTACAGGCATACGCCACCACACCTGGCTAATTTTGTATTTTTAGTAGAGATGGGGTTTCTCCATATTGATCAGGCTGGTCTTGAACTCCCGACCTCAGGTGATCTGCCCGCCTTGGCCTCCCAAAGTGCTGGGATTACAGGTGTGAGTCACCTCACCCAGCCTTGTTTATTATTATTACTTTTTTAAGATGGAGTCTCCCAATGTTGCCCAGGCTGGTCTCAAACTCTTGGGCTCAAGTGATCCTCTCACCTCAGCTTAAGCCCATCTTTTTTTTTTTTTAATAAGGCCTTTTTTTTTAATAACTGATAATAAACCAACTATCTCTCCCCCTTTTAAACTGATAAAGATTTTGTTTTGTTTTGAGATGGAGTCTCGCTCTGTCGTACAAGCTGGAGTGTGGAGTGTGATCTTGGCTCACGGCAACTTCTGCCTCCCAGCTCAGCCTCCGGAATAGCTACGATTACAGGCATGCGCCAACATGCCTGGCTAATTTTTTTGTATTTTTAGTAGAGACAGGGTTTCACCATGTTGGTCAGGCTGGTCTTGAACTCCTGACCTCAAGTGATCCGCCCTCCTCGGCCTCCCAAAGTGCTGGGATTACAGGCGTGAGCCACCACACCCGGCCTTAAACTGATAAAGTTTTATTCTTCCCAATGAGAAACTTATTTTCAGATACATGCTTTTGTAAATTGATTGGATTTATTAATACTTCTTTTCATTATTTTATTTACAAGTTGAACTTATTGGATTTATTTTTTTATGTCATGTAATGGTTTCCTATGTCCAGTAGACAAATTGTTCTCTTTTGAATACATTTACTAAAATTAAAAAGGGAATCCAGAGCTTCATTATGATGCAGCCAACATCATTTGGCATAAATCCCTTGTTAAAGTCAGTGTTATGAGAAAATAATCTGATTTCAGATAATGTTTTTTTTTTTAAATTTGTGCATGTTAACACTCTAGTTTGTATTTGCCTCTGTATTCAGATAATCCACACTACACACACACAAATAACAACCAGACATATTTGTGGGGGTAATTATTGGCTGAATCACATGAAGTTGTCCCTTTTGTTTTTTTTTTTTTGAGACAATCTCCCTCTGTCACCCAGGCTAGAGTGCAGTGGCACGATCCGGGCTCACTGCAACCTCTGCCTCCTGGGTTCGAACGATTCTCCTGCCTCAGCCTCCCGAGTAACTGGGATTACAGGCACCTGCCACCACGCCCGGCTAACTTTTGTATTTTCAGTAGATGGGGTTTCACCATGTTGGCAAGGCTGGTCTCAAACTCCTGACCTCAAGAGATATGCCAACCTTGGCCTCCCAAAGTGCTGGGATTACAGGCCTGAGCCACCTCGCCCAACCCCTTTTGTATGTTAAAATTGATCGAATATTAGGAAGTCCATATGATTTAATCTAACAAATTTTTTGACAATTTGATTTTCTCACTTGGAAAAGATCTTATGGAAATCCTGCCAAGTGATGGCATAGTGCTAATGGATTCTTTCAAAAGGCCTTTTTAAGTCCTTGGTGTGGCTGTATCATTTATTCAGCAAATCCCTTACGGGTGGACATTTAATTTCCTATTTTCTGCTAGAAGAAGCAGTTCTGTAATAATCACCTTCGTACAACTGTCCTTTGAAACAATGCTTTTGTTTCCAAGGGACGCATTTTTAGGAGTGGGATTGCTTTGTCAAAAGTACTATATTCAGATAACTTTTTATCTGAATAAAAGTACTGTATTGAGATTTTTTTTTAGCTGGGTGTCGTAGCACACACCTGTGGTCCTAGCTACTTGGGAAGCTGAAGTGGGAGGATCGCTTGAGCCCGGAAGGTGGAGGTTGCAGTGAGCTTAGTTTGCACCACTGCACTCCAGCCTGGGTGACAGTGAGGCCCTGTCTTAAAAAAAAAAAAAAGGTACATATTTTTTGGCTGGGCACACCTATAATCCCAGCACTTTGGGAGGCTGAGGAGGGAGGATCACTTGAGCCCAGGAATTTGATACCAGCCTGGCCAACACAGTGAGACTCTGTCTCCACAGAAAATAAAAAAATTAGCCAGGCTTGGTGGCATGTGCCTATAGTCCTAGTTACTCGGGAGGCTGAGCTGGGAGGATTGCTACAGCCTGGGAGTTTGAGACTTAAGAGAGCCGTGATTGCACCACTGCACTCCAGCCTGGGTGACAGAGCAAGATTCTGTCTCAAAACAAAAAAAAAAAGTTACAGGGTGCTTTGACATTACAATTAAAAAAAAGATCATGTACATTAAATGGCACAGAAGCAGAGCAGCATGAGATGTGATAAAATTTACACCCAAAATATCCCAAATAGCTCTTTTGTTAAGTGTAAAACTCTTAAATTGTAAGAAAACATTGTGCGTTAATTAAACAGTAGCATTTTTAAAATTTACTATTTATTTATTTATTTTGAGATGGAGTCTCACTCTGTTGCCCAGGCTGGAGTGCAGTGGCGCAATCTCGGCTCACTGCAACCTCTGCTGCCTGGGTTCAAGCAATTCTACTGCCTTAGCCTCCCAAGTAGCTGGGATTACAAGCACCTGCCACTGCAACCGCTAATTTTTGTAGTTTTAGTAGAGATGGGGTTTCACCATATTGGCCAGGCTGGTCTTGAACTCCTGGCCTCATGATCCACCTGCCTCAGCCTCCCAAAGTGCTGGGATTACAGGCGTGATCTACTGCACCCGGCCTAATTTTTTTTTTTTTTTTTTGAGACAAGGTCTCACTCTGTCACCCAGACATGAGCCACTCACTGTGCCCAGCCTAGCATTTTTCTTTTTTAGTAGTACATAAAATAATGATGTTTCTCAAATTAAATGATGTTTTAAAGACAATTAAATACTGATTTTGTCTGTCATCTGCATTACGGATTTTTTTTTAGGTGTGTCATCTGTATATTGACTTTAAGACATCTTTTGCCTATAAAGATTTTTAATTTTTAAATAGTCAAGTACATTGACTAGGTCTGTAGATTTGGTTAAAAGCATCTCTCCCACTAGATTTTCAGGATTTTGATCTATTTTTATATTTTATATTTTAGAGTTTAACCTAGCTGGAATTATTTCTGAATATGGTTTAAGATGAGGACCCATGTCAAAACTTTATTTTCTTCTAGATTGATAAATACTAGAATTCCGTAGGCTTCGCTTATTAAGCAATTCATCCATTTCCTACTGAATTGAGCCTCCATCTTTGTCATTTAATAAATTCTCATATGTACTAGAATCAGTTTTGGATTCTCTAGTCTGTTTCATTGGTTTCTTTGTCATTCTTCATGCCAGAATCATAATCATATGGCTATGGCGACTGCAATGGTTTGAATATGTCCCCCAGAAAGCAGGCGTTGGAAACTTCATCCCCAGGGCAACCGTGTTGGGAAGTAGGTCCTAATGGGAGGTATGTATGTCATGAGGGCTTTGCCCTCATGCATGGATTAATGCCTTATAAAAGAGCTTGAGGTCTTGGGTTGAGTCTCCTGCTCTCTCCAGCTCTCTTGCACGTCTGCCATCTGTCATGGATGACACAGCAAGAAGGCCCTTGCCTGATATGGGCCCCGCGATCTCAGACTTCCTAGACTCCAGAACTGTAAGAAATAAATCTCTGTTTGTTATAAATTACCAAGTCTCAGATATTCTATTATAGCAGTACAAAATGGACAGAGAAAGTGACTTTTTAGTGTGTTGTGCTATCTGGTAAGCCAAGTCCCCCATCACCGTTCTTTTCTTGACTTTTCTTGTGTCGTATTGGACCTTTATTCTTGCATAAATTTTAAGATTTTAAAATCTAGTTCCAAAATCAAAACAAAACCCTGCTGGGACTCTAATCAGAATTATAATCATTTTATATTATCTGACATTGTTATGATAGCAAATCTCCTCTATGAATGATATACATTTTCATTTACACAAATCTTGTTTTATGCCTTTTAATGATTTTTATTTGTATTTTCTTCACCTTTATTTTCTTATTATTAAATTTGTTCTAAATATTTTATAGGTAGAATTACTCCTTCTGAGGATGGAATATATCCCACTTCCATTCTATTCTAGGTGCTCATTTCTTTTTTTTGTTTTTTTTTTGAGACAGAGTCTCACACTGTTGCCTGGGCTGGAGTGCCATGGTGCAATCTCGGCTTGCAGCAACCACTGCCTCCTGGGTTCAAGCAATTCTCCTACCTCATTCTCCTGAGTAGCTAGGATTACAGGTGTCCATCACCACGCCCGGCTAATTTTCTGTATTTTTAGTAGAGATGGGGTTTCATTATATTGGCCAGTCTGGTCTCGAACTCCTGACCTCATGATCCACACAACTCAGCCTCCCAGAGTGTTGGGATTACAGGCGTGAGACACCATGCCCAGCCCTACTAATTTCTACATGCTCATTTCTAAAGCAAGGAAAATATTTATTTTGTGTGTATTTCTTATGAGGCAACTATCTCACATCAATTCTCCTATTAATTCTAGCAGTTTTTGTTACAGACTTTTTCTAGATATGGTATCATGTCATCAGCAAAAAGATATAGCTCTACCTCTTCTTTTCCAATATTTGTGCTAGTTTTCTTATTTTATTTGACAAATACTCTAAGACAATGTTACAAACTAATATGATGGCAAGTTTCTGATTTTATTTGAAATTGTTTTATTGTTACACTATTTAGGGTACCATTTACATTTTTTATTTTTGTAAATAGTCTTTCTTAGAAGTAATGTCTTAGTCTGTTTGGACTGCTATTACAGAAGACCATAGACTGAGTGGCTTATAAACAACAGAAATTTATTTCTCACAGTTCTGAAGTCTGGGAATTCTAAGATCAAGGTTTGAGCAGGTGGTTCCCAGAGGCCATCTTCTGGATGTGTCCTTATATGGTAGAAGGAAGGGACAGGGAGCTCTCTGGGGCCTCTTTTATAAGGTGTCAGATACAAAAGAAGTTCCTCTTCAAAGGTTTGGCTTGTTCAGCGTCCCGTTCTTTGTTGCCTACTTCCAAGGCCAAACCAACTTCCTTATCCTTTGTGCCTCCCTATGTTAGTTTCAGTAAACAACTTTCTCACCAGTCCTTGTCTACAGAGACCACATCTGCTACCCACTCTGTAAATTACCCCTCCCGTTGCAATGGCTCTTCCTGCCAAAACTGCCCTTCTCACCAGTGTAACCACATTCCGAATTAGCCAGTTGGGTTCAGCTTAGATTGTGCGGTCCAACTCCAGCCAATGGAGGCAGGACACAGTGACAGGGACAAGCCGCATTAGGAATAAAAACCCCTTCCCTCCTTTGTTCAGTGTGCTCTCATGGTGACCAAACCTGCGAACAGCACCCTTCTACAGAAGTAAATTTTGCCTTGCTAAGAAATCTTTTGTTTAAGTGCTCATTTTCTTCGCAACTTCGAGCTTTACTTCCAACATAAGGGTAGCAATCCCACTCATGAAGGATCCACCTTCATGACCTAATCACCTCCCAAAGACCTCACCTCCAAATACCATCACATTGGGAGTTAGGATTTAACATATGAATTTTGTGGGGATGAAACATTCAGTCTATACCAAGTAATCTCCTTCTATTCCTATTTTACTTAGAGTTTTTAGTACATGAATTAGAACAATAGTTGGCTAACAGTAAATGCTCTTTACTTGTTAAGCAGATAATGATGTACCAGAAATGACTGCTAAAGTTTATTAAAGTCTTTTTCACTGACTATTGACATGATCATATAGTTTTTCCTCTTGAATTTGATGTTATAGGTTATGTTAATGTGCTTCCTGGTATTGGAACACCCTTATATTCCTGGGAAAAACTTGGTTGGTCATATATATTTTTAAAAATTAATCACTAGTTCTATTTGTCAATATTTTATTTAGAATATTTGTACTTACAGTCATAAATTAATCTATACTTTTCTTTTTTGTACTTGAAAAATCATGGTTTAGTATTAAAGTTCTACTTCTGTTATTGAATAAATTCAGGAGCATTCATCTTTTTCCTTAGTCTGAAACATTTCCCCTTCGTTGGGAACTGCTAACTGTTCATGGGGTGGGTGCCCAGAAGCCAAGTCTTTCTACCATGACACTCCGTGGCCCCTGGTCAAAGCCAAATGATCAAATGATCCTGCCAAAATTTGGAATTTTGAACTGAGTAACACAACTGAAAGTTGCCAGAGCTGAATCATGTTAAGGGTGGTGGTTTAGAGGGCATCTCTCTGGGCATTTGCTTTGTGGTGCTCAGAAATCCGCTGGTTCGTAAACTTTCACAGACTAGGCTAACCAGTTCTTCCTCGAATTCCTGAAGACTCCAGAATCCTTCCAACAACAACAATAATAATAATCATTTTAACTTAGAAAGCAATTCTGGTGAGCTAGTTACTTGCAAATAATAGGGCCTTAATCACAAACCTATGTATAGAATAGTTTCTTATCCCAAAACTATGGCTAGAATCACCTTTATGTGAACACGTTAACAGTTGTGCTTTTACTTTAAAACAAAAGTTTACTTTGACTAGGATACGGGGTAATTAAAAAAATTAAAAAGTGAAAAAGAAAACAAAACTTTACTTTCTTGAAATTATACGATGTGTAACATGTACAGCAGGAACCCAACTTGATTTGTTCTTGCTATGGGCTGAGTGTTTGTATTCTGCCACAAACGAGTATGTCGAAGCCCTAACCCCTAAAGTGACTGTATTTGGAGATGAGGCCTTTATAGAAGTAATAAGTTTAAATGAGGTCACAGGGGTGGGGCCCTGATCTGTTAGGATTAGTGTTCTTAAAAGAAGAGACATCAGAGAGCTCACTCTCCTCAAGCACACAAGAAGAGGTCTTGTGAGCATACAAGGAGATGGTGGCTGCCTACAAGCCAAGAGAAAAGGCCTCAGAAGGAAACCTACCTTGCTCACCCCTTGATCTTGGACTTCCCAGCCTCCAGAACTATAAGAAAATTAATTTCTGTTGGTTAAGCCACCCAGTCTATGGTATTTTGTTGTCAGCCAGTGAAGACTCATACTGTTCCCCAAATGGCTAACTAGTTGTCCTAATGATATTTGTTGAATAATCCATCATTACCCAGCTGCTTTGAAACGCCAGCTTTACAATATACTAAATTTAAATAAAGTGTCAAGTCTGTTTCTGAGTTTCCAATTTCATCTCACTGATTTCCGAGTATATTTTGGCACTAGTTTTATTTTGATTATTTTGCCTCCATAATACAAGGTAATATCTGGTAGGGCAAGTCTGCCTTCATTATTGTTGGAAAACATTATTGGCCATTCTGGAACACTTGCCATACTAGCTAAACTTTAGAATCATTTAGTTTAGTAAAAAGAAAAGTTGATTTTCTTTTTTTTTTTGAGATGGAGTCTTGCTCTGTCACCCAGGCTGGAATGCAGTGGCATGATCTTGGCTCCCTACAACCTCCACCTCTTGGGTTCAAGCGATTCTTTTGCCTCAGCCTCCTGAGTAGCTGGGATTACAGACACACACCACCACACCCAACTAATTTTTGTATTTTTAGTAGAGATGAGGTTTCGCCATGTTGACCACGCTGGTCTCGAACTCCTGAGCTCAGGTGATCCACCCGCCTTGGCCTCCTAAAGTGCTGGGATTACAGGTGTGAGCCACCATGTCCGGCCGAAAAAGTTGAAATTTTGATTGGGATGCATCACAGTTTATGTGAACTGGAGGAAGAGTGACATACTTAGAATGTTCTATTTCAACTCGTGAATGTGTTGTATCACTATTCTCACCATTTAAACAAAAAATTTGGAGTTTTATTTATAATTTCCTGCATAATTCTTGTTTATTCTTAGCTGTATTTTTCTGATATTTTATTATGAAAACATATACATATACAGAAAAATTGAAAGAATTTTACATTACGGCATCCCTATACCACTACTTAGATTCTACCATTAACATTTTATTGTATTTCATGCTGTATTTTTGTTGAGTAGCAGATAGGAACATAGACTGCCTGTGTTCACCACTTGTAAGCCACATGATCTTGGCAAGTTATTCAACTTCTCTAAATCTCAGTTTTCTTATCTGTAAAGTGGGAATAATAATAGTACTTACTTCCAGTGGTTTCTGTGATGACAAAATAAGTTAAAATATGAAAGGCACTTAGGACAGAGCCTCATATTCTGTAACTATTATATGCTAGTGTATTCATCAGCTTGGGCTGCTGTAACAAAATACCATTGACTGGGTGGCTTAAACCACGGATATCTGGCCGGGCGCAGTGGCTCATGCCTGTAATCCCAGCACTTTGGGAGGCCGAGGCGGGCAGACACCGAGGTCAGGAGTTTGAGACCAGCCTGGCCAACATAGTGGAACCCCGTCTGTACTAAAAATACAAAAAATTAGCTGGGCGTCGTGGCGGGCGCCTGTAATCCTAGCCACTTGGGAGGCTGAGGCAGGAGAATCGCTTTAAGCCAGGAGGCGAAGGTTGCAGTGAACCGAGGTCACGCCACTGCAGTCCAGCCCTGCGGACAGTGCGAGACTCCATCTCAAAAAAACAAACAAACAAACAAACAAAAAACCGGAAATTTATTTTCTCAGTGTGGAGACTAGAAGCCCCAAGTAAGGTCGAGTTGGGTTCGTTTCTGACTAGGACTATATTCTAACCTTAATTACTTCCATAAAGGCCTTATCTCTAAATACTCTCCAAATACAATGGAGGTTAGGGCTTCAAGATAAATTTTGGGGAATCCAAACATTCGGTTCATAACAGCTAGCAAGTACTATAATTGTATTCTATTTCCTCATTTGTTGTTTTTGTAAACTGTTGATGTAGAAATGTATTTGGAGTGATGTACTCAAATTTTGTTGGAGGGAGAAAACTCAGCAATAAAACAGCATTACAGTATAATCGCTTTTGTGGAAAATATATAACAATGCATGAAATACGTTGTGTGTGTGCAGGAAAGGTTGTACACCAACTGTTAGCAAGGTTACCGCTGCTTGCTGAAATTACAGGCAATAATTTTTTTGTTTTTGTGTATTTTCTGGCATTTCAGAAATACAAGGTAAGCAATAAACATGAGAACTTTTATTGAATACTAGAAGAGAAAACTGTTGTGGTATTCTTTTAACAATATACCGGAATCCATTCAACTGTCTGCTGAGAATAAATAACTGGCATGTACATAATATTTAGGGAAAGTGCTATGGATTATTTTACACCAGTGTCGTTTCACCAAAAAACGTGATGCCGATGGCTCCCTTTTGTCACGGGTTTCAAAGGCTCACCCTAACGTTCACGTGCATTTTCCCAGCGGAGGAAAGATGGTTGTTCTTCATCAGAGTCTGGGGCCCAAGAACGCAGGCTCCATCTCCTCCCGCAGGAGCCAGGCTGATGATGCTCGCAGGGATCGGATACTGGGAGCCCCTGAACGCAGCCAACCCGGCGCGCACCGGTGGGGGCGTCTGCGCTGGCGGAGCGGCTCCCCGGGAGGACGCTGGGAACCATGCTCTAGCCAGCCGCTGCGCAGGCGCACTGGGCCCCGACTGCCCGCCGCAGCGCTACGTGGGAGCTTGGCCGCGCAGTGCCGGAACCCGGCTGCAGCGGTGGGAAGGCGGGGGCGTGCCGGCCCAGCGGGGAGAGGGTGAGCGGGTGGCTGTCCCGGGCTTGGGGAGCTGGGCGAGCCGGGAAGCGCGAGTTCCGCCCGCGGCCACCCTGTCGCGCGCGGTGCTCTCCGCAGCCCCGGAGTCGTGCTCAGACAAAGGCTGGGAGGCTAGGGCCGGGGGCGTTTTGCTTTGTGGGGAGGACTTAGCCTCTCATTTGGGGAGGAGGAGGCGGGGTCTAGCGGTTTCGCGGTTTGCTACAGCCGACTAGTGAAAGAGCTGGGATTCCAAATCCCCGGCTACTTTACACATAATTACTGCCCCAAACAAAGAATTGGGTTGTATTCGTCTCTTTGTGCTTCCTGACATGTGCGCGGTGCTTTGAATTTTGTGGGCTGTGTCTGCCCACCGTCTCCGTGTATCTTTTGGAAACATTTTACAGTGATCCATATATGTTCTAGCGTTCTGCCCTATGACTGAGCCTCCTTAGTCCTTTGCTGATTCTAATGTCTTCTGCTCAGCATCTGCAGGGGCTGCTGAGAGTAAATACTTGGCGCCTCCAGCTGCTGGCCAAGGAGACAGATGGAGCTCAAGTTGGGAGATACGCCCTGAGAGCCGATGATAGACACAAGTCCAGATCTCGGATTTTGATACTGTATGTTCCCTGGGTTCCTGAGAGAGGACATTGAGGAGTAGGAGTCGGCGATTAAGGAGATCGGTACAATTGGGAAGCCTCCTGTCAGAGCTTCCAGCAATTTCCTCATCAGAGGTGGACAAGCCCTATGGGCTAAGACAGAGGGTCCTCAGAAAGGAGTGCGGACGCCGTCATGCTGCAGCAGCTCCTGATCACCCTGCCCACCGAGGCCAGCACCTGGGTGAAGTTGCGTCATCCAAAGGCGGCCACGGAGCGGGTGGCCCTGTGGGAGGATGTGACTAAGATGTTTAAAGCAGAAGGTAAGAATAAACTGATGGGTGGGAGGGAGGAAAAGCAGTCCCCTCTAGTGTGAGAAGGAATGAGTCACTTGAGTGGAAGCATCTCTTAGGGAGACGAGTGGGTGGAGGGTTTCCGGAGTTGTTGATTGTGGCTCCTAGTCTGGGGTTTTCCTAAGTAGTGGTGGTCTTTTCAGCCTAGGACCAGTATTTCAGTGTCATGGTTATGTATATTATTTATTTTCATCTTTCCCATGGCCATGTGGGGCAGGATGGACTTAACCTGATTTTTCTTATTCTAACAGTGGGGAAATGTAAATCAAATGGGAGGCCTGCCCAGGGTCACACAGGAACTTGGTGGCTAGGTCAGAAAGAGAAGCAGCAGGGGAAGTACCAGGTGAGCCTGGAGTAACTTGTGCTAGAAAGCAAGGAAGAGCTTAAAGACTATGGATATGTGTCAAAAGAGGCCAGGTTTAAGGGTCTCTCACTCGACAGATTTGGGAAAGCTTAAGTATCCAAACTGATGGTAACACCTTGAATAAGTAAAATTCCACATGATCACCTTGACACTTAAAATAGAGAAAGACGTGGGGGGGGGGGAATTCATTTGCAAACATTGGAGGTAATTAATACACTGATTCCTTACTTTGAAAAATAGGTTATTATGGGAATGAATGTGCATTTACCTTGCCTTTTAGATCCTCTTCAGTTGGTGAGGGAAAGCTTTTTACAGAAAATGCGTGCCAATAATGAAGGTAGAAAGAGGCCAGGTGTGGTGGCTCATGCCTGTAATCCCAGCAATTTGGGAAGCCAAGGTGGGCGGATTGCTTGAGACCAGGAGTTTGAGGTCAGCAGTTTGAGACCAGCCTGGCCAACATGATGAAACCCCATCTCTGCTAAAAATACAAAAATTAGCTGGGCGTGGTGGCACATGCCTGTAATCCCAGCTACTCGGGAGGTTGAGGCACGAGAATCGCTTGAACTAGGAAAGGGGAGGTTTCAGTGAGCTGAGATGGCGCCACTGCACTCCAGGCTGGGTGACAGAGCAAGACCTTGTCTCAAAAATAAATAAATAAATAAATAAATGTAGAAAGAATGATAGAATCTTTTACCGTAAATAAAATAATTGAAAGGTTAATGGGGAACAGATACTCACATGATATCAAAGTATTATCCCCTCAAATTACTTACTAAATGGCAAGGAATGAACATAATTTTCCAATAGTGAGGTGTGGTGGTCACAGTTTTAATCAAATGTCTCAGTAATGGGATAGCCGGGCATTTTATACTTTGCAGATACTGTAATATAAAGCACCTGGTACCACCTACAAGGTATTCCTACCAAAAATGTTGAACATGATCCTAAATTAAGTTTAAAGACTGAACTGCTGGTTTACAGAAAATACAGGGGATGGAGAAATGAGATAAACCTCACATTGAGGATACAGTCAGACTGTTCTTGTATCTTAAAAAGACAACATCATGAAGAAAGGGGAAGTACTTATTCTAGAGTAAAAGAGACTAGAGGTAACAACCACTTTGAATGTGTGAGCCTTGATTAACTCCTGGTTTGGAAAAAATCCAGAATAAAAGTTGAGGAAACAGTTGAGGAAATCTGAATATGGACTGAATATTTAGATGATACTATGGAATTATTGTTAATTTTCATAGATTTAATAAATAGTACTGTGGTTGTACAAGAGAAGATCCTTATTTGAAATATTTAGGGATAAAGTATTATGATGCAGACGACTTTGAAGTGCTTCAGAAAAAATGTAGATAGGTAAAGCAAATATGGTAAATATTAACAATTGTTGAATCTAGATGTGGATGTATAGATGTTCAATATTCATGATAAAAAGTTGGAATAAAATACAAAGACAGTTATTCATGTGCCTTAATTCCTAGTGGTTTTTTTTTTTTTTTTTTCCTGTCACCCAAGCCGGAGTTCAATGGCTCGATCTTGGCTTATTGCAACCTCTGCCTCCCGGGTTCAAGTGATTCTCCTGCCTCAGCCTCCCAAGTAGCTGGGATTACAGGCGCCTGCCACCACGCCCAGCTAATTTTTGTATTTTTAGTAGAGACGGTGTTTTACTATCTTGGCCAGGCTGGTCTCCAACTCCTGACCTCGTGATCCACCCACCTCAGCCTCCCAAAGTGCTGGGATTACAGGCTTGAGCCACCGGGCCTGGCCTGTAGTGCATATTTTTAATACCTCAATTCAGCCAGTGTTACTTAAATTCTAGAAAGCTGGCAGTGTGTTATGTGTAGCACTTTAGCAGATGGAGAAAAATGAGCAAGGTACAGTTTCTATCCATACCCTCATTAATACTCAACTGAGAGAGATAATTAATTATAAAAAGCAACCTGAGATAGATACTAGAATAGATATAAAAACCAAGCTTTTGGGAAGCATAGGAGAGAATAAACTTTCTTCTCATTAAGGGTGTCTGGGAAAACTTTACTTGAACTGGGCCTGAAGGGTATCGCAGTTTTTCACCAAATAGGATTTGGGTGGGGTACTATCCACATGTATTCAAAGAATGGTACCAGGATTGTGTGGGTAGGTGTGTCCAGTGGATGAAGGATAATGTTTAGAGGAGATAATACTTGGAGAAGCCATGGACTGGTTGTGGAGGATCTTGAAATCTATGTTGATTAGTTGGGCGTGGTGTCACACGCCTGTAATCCCAGCTACTCGGGAGGCTGAGGCACGAGAATCTCTTGAACCTGGGAGGTGGAAGTTGCAGTGAACCAAGATTATGCCACTGCCCTCCAACCTGGGTGACAGAGCAATACTCTGTCTCAAAATCATAATAATAATTAAAAAATAACAAAAAAGAAATCTATATTGAAGTGTTTGCATTTTTCTTTCATGTCAGTGGGGAAACCTTTGAGGATTTTTGAACAAAAGATTGGCCTGAGAGATTACTAAGACCATTGGGAAATATTAATGGTGAAAGCAGCTTGCAGCAGGTCCTCCTTATTAAGGAGGCTTTGAGCTGCTCTTGAGTCCGTCTAAATGTCCCTGTTTGTGAACGTTTTTGGGGAGAAGCCACAATGAGTGGGTCTGTAGGCAGTTTCTCTGTTTGGGTGATTTGGGGAGATGCAAACCTCATGGCTCTTTTCCTTCCCCAGCTCTGCTGTCTCAGGATGCTGATGAGACCCAGGGCGAAAGTTTAGAGAGTAGAGTGACCCTTGGATCCCTGACAGCAGAATCCCAGGTGGGTTGGAGTTTCTGGTCACTTTCTTGACATTGTTTCTCAGATTTTAAGAGCGCAGGAGTTTGATTTTCTTTGACTCAACTTCCTGGATTGGCTTTTCTTTTTTTTTCTTTTTTTCATTATTTTTTGAGACGGAGTCTCACTCTGTCACCCAGGCTGGAGTGCAGTAGCGCAATCTCGGCTCACTGCAAGCTCCGTCTCCTGGGTTCACGCCATTCTCCTGCCTCAGCCTCCCGAGTAGCTGGGACTACAGGTGCCCACCACCACACCTGGCTAATTTTTTGTATTTTTAGTAGAGACGGGGTTTCACCGTGTTAGGCAGATGGTCTCAATCTCCTGACCTGGTGATCCACCCACCTCGGCCTCCCAAAATGCTGGGATTACAGGCATGAGCCACCACGCCCAGCCGATTGGCTTTTCTTAGCCTGTTCTTCCTCAGAAAACCAGGCCACATCAGTTGATTTCACAGGTAATCTCCCCACCAGTAGTAACCCTCCACAGGAAACCTCTTGTTTTTGCAAACCTCTAGCCATTTATCCAACAAATACATTGTGCTGAGGCCGCATGTGTGTGTGAGAGAGAAAAGGAAATAGAGAGGAGAAGAAGTAATGTAATGTAGTCCTAGCCCATGAAATTCACATATCATCTGGGAGAAAGACAAATATGAGTCATTTTAAGCAACATTTAAAAGTCAACAGAATCAGTTTCTGATATTCTTGGAGATGTATACACTTCATTGATGACCTTTAAGTGAGGATTTTTGGTCAAGTCCTAGAGCAGAACTGTAACTGAAAAGAGAAATGAGTAGAGAAGATACTGGCAGGTCATGAAGAACATGAGCTAAATAGGCTAAGCAGAAAAGGAAGGAAAACTTCTAATAGCAGTTTAACAGTGTGCCGTGTGTCCTAAATGAAGTAGTCAGAAAACTGATAGCATTGGCAAAGCTCTGCACTACCAAACCCCAGAGGCATAGGGAAACTCAAGAAAATTAGAGAGTAGTCAGAGAAACATAAGAGGGTATTATTAGAGAACAGAAGAGTTTAGAGTGATCTTGGCTCCCAAAATCACATGGTTTAATCATGTGTTTAAATCATAGGGTTTAATCCTATGTCTTCAACTTTTCTCAAATTCAGCTTTCTCATAGGTTAAATGTGGATGCTAACATCAGCCTAATAGGCCTGAAGGGCATTTCAGAATTATTTACAATACGAAACATTAAAATATTCTCTATACTTAGGGGATTTGTTGTTATTTCAGCCTTCCAGCTTCTGAATTCTCTTAGCTTTTGGGAGGTTTTTGTTTGTTTGTTTTTTGTTTGTTTGTTTGTTTTTAATTATACTTGAAGTTCTGGGATACATGTGCAGAATGTGCGGGTTTGTTACATAGGTATACATGTGCCATGGTGGTTTGCTGCACCCATCAACCCGTCATCTACATTAGATATTTCTCCTAATGCTATCCCTCCCCTAGCCCCCATCCCCTGACAGGCCCTGGTGTGTGATGTTCCCCTCCCTGTGTCCGTGTGATCTCACTGTACAACTCCCACTTATGAGTGAGAACATCCGGTGTTTTGTTTTCTGTTCCTGTGTTAGTTTGCTGAGAATGATGGTTTCCAGCTTCATCCATGTCCCTGCAAAGGACATGAACTCATCCCTTTTTATGGCTGCATAGTATTCCATGGTGTATATATGCCACATTTTCTTTATCCAGTCTATCATTGATGGGCATTTGGGTTGGTTCCAAGTCTTTGCTATTGTGAACAGTGCTGCAGTAAACATACGTGTGCCTGTGTCTTTATAATAGAATGATTTATAATCCTTTGGGTATATACCCAGTAGTGGGATTGCTGGGTCAAATGGTATTGCTGGTTCTAGATCCATGAGGAATCGCCAGACTCTCTTCCACAATGGTTGAACTAATTTACACTCCCACCAACAGTGTAACAGCATTCCTGTTTCTCCACAGTCTCCCCAGCATCTGTTGTTCCCTGACTTTTTAATGATCACCATTCTAAATGGCATGAGATCGTATCTCATCGTGGTTTTGATTTGCATTTCTCTAATGGAGTATTTTTAAAAAATAATTGTCAAACGGTTATTTTTTGTAGATCATACATAATAGACACTTATACTTCTTACCCCAGAATGTCTATCTCTGTCCAGACGTCTTCATTACTAGGCAGAATTCATGCTCCCTCCAAAAATGTGCTGTTCTCTCATACTTTTATTATTAACAGAAAAACCTAGGTAAACGTTATTTTACCCATGCTAAAGTATTCCTATTTTAACCAATTCTTTCAGCCCAACAAAAGTCCCTGTCTTCTCTTGTGGCCTTAGCCCCTTCTGAACTCCCCACTTTCCCAAATACTCCTGAACTTTATTGTCTTTAATCAAAATTACTGTACACTGTACTGTGACCTTCTTTAATATTTCATGAACATTTTCACTTCAGCCAGATTGTAAGTTGCAGAGGTAACTTACATGTTTTATGCATTGTTTTATAACCTCCATTTTATGTAATCTATAATCATTAGAATAAATTAAATGATTAGCAAGACAGTATCCAGGAAAACTTGACTAGAATCTCTTAGCATCTAGACAAAAGTCAGAACAACTTCCCAAAGTCTGGCTGAAAAGGAACGTATTTGATGTTCTAGGAACTGTTAACCTTCAAGGACGTATCTGTGGACTTCACTCAGGAGGAGTGGGGGCAGCTGGCCCCTGCTCACCGGAATCTGTACCGGGAGGTGATGCTGGAGAACTATGGGAACCTGGTCTCAGTGGGTAAGGATGGGCTCCTCTTGAAAATAGAACGTACCTATTGGATGAAAACCTTTGTTTCTAAATTAAGTGCTTTGTTTGGGCTTTCGGTTCTGTATTAGAGGTTTTGTGTTTCCTTCTGAACACCCAGTCAGGATTGCTATGCTCTTTTCTGCTCTGTTCTTTCTACTCTACTCTGCTTTCTTTAGAAGGCCCGAATACCAAAGAACCATATTTAAATTCTTGGGATGGCTCTGTGACCTCAGCATATACAGTCTTTTCTTCCCCATAAGCAGGATGTCAGCTTTCCAAACCTGGCGTGATTTCCCAGTTGGAGAAAGGAGAAGAACCATGGCTGATGGAGAGAGATATTTCAGGAGTTCCAAGTTCAGGTAAGTGCAAGGCAGGTGGGGCCTTTGTGATGTTAGCCAGAGAATTCCCCTCAAGGCCTTCTCCAAGTTGTGGGGAAGACTGAGGCCATGTGGATGGTACATTCAAGAAAGTTGATTCTGTTATCTCTGTCACCCTTTTCCCACACTTCCATCTTCTCATTAGTCTCTCTGGAGTCAGAGGAAAAGAGATGCCTTTCTCATCAGAGTTAACCTTCTTCATCATTTCTTTTGATCTGAGCTTCATGATTTTTACCTCTTTCTCCAATATTCTAAACCTTGCTCTGATCATAGTTTCTTTCCCATGTACATTTAGATTTACACAGGTCTCTCCTCATTAAACACAGTCCACTTCACTGGACTGTCATGTCATTTTACCATCGGTTTCACTGTCTCTCAATGATTTCATTTTCAATATTTTTCTAATCCTTATTTTGTGATCACAGTTTCAGTTGCAACTCTCTCATTTTAACTTGTGTAATTTAACTTTTCATGCCAGAAAATTTATGGCTCTTTGAGAAATCAACCACAGAATTCGTTCTTAGCAGATCCAGTGGCTTTTAACAGTCTTCTTTAACATTTAAGTACAGTAATAATGACAGGTATTTACCTGGGTTCTCTGTGAATGATAGCTGGGTTCTCTGTAAGTCCCACATTAGCTCTGTCTTACACATGAGGAAAAGGAGGCTGATTAAGAAATGTATACAGGGCAGTTAGCTACTACTTGGTGGACTCAATATCTTAATTCTAGTCATTCTGACACCACAGTTTGTGTGTTCTTATGGCACTATTTTACACGACTGCATTAGATTACACATGTAGACCTCGCCACCTTAATATCCTTTCCTCTATCAACTAGTTTAATAATTTTTGTCTCCTCTATTTCTCTCATTGCTTTTTCAGTGTTTCTCATCAGTGTCTTTTTTAATGCAGATACATGATTTCTGCCTAGGTCAGGATAGGCTAAACTACTGTAATAAATCGACTCCAAAATTTCACAACAGATTTTGAGCTGTAAGTTATCTCAGACAGAATATGAACTTATGCCTTGATCATACACTGATCTGGAGAAATTGTTTTTTTTTTTTTTTCTTTTTTGAGACAGAGTCTTGCTGTGTCACCCAGGCTGGAGTGCCGTGGTGCAGTCTCGGCTTACTGCAACCTCCACCTCCTGGATTCAAGCAATTCTCCTACCTCAGCCTCCCAAGTAGCTGGGGTTACAGGTGTGAGCCACTGTGCCCAGCTAATCATTTTTGTATTTTTAGTAGAGACGGGGTTTCGCTATGTTGGCCAGGCTGGTCTCGAACTCTTGGCCTCAAGTGATCTGCCTACCTTGGCCTCCTAAAGTGCTAGGATTACAGGCATGAGCCACTGCACTGGGCCCTGGAGAAATTGTTTAGGTCGCTGGACAGTTCCTCTTCATCTGGTGATTCAGAAAGATTCTTCTGCCTTGTGGCTCCTCTATCCACTAGGGTTTCCTCATCATCTGCATTTAGACAGCATAGAATAAGTGAGGAGTTAGGATAGAATAAGCAAAGGAGTTCATTTGGGAGGTTTTTATGGGCCAGTCTAAGGTGGTTCACATCACTTTCACTTTCATTCTCTTAACAGGAGAGACCTTTGTGACTTCACTCAATCTAATTCAAGGGAGATTGGGAAATATCATCTATTCGTATGTCCAAAATCGGGGTGAACAGAGTTTAGGGAATAACCAGCAGACTCTGCCACAATTTCTGAGGAACCTCTGTCTTTTTTACACTGTTGCTCCATTTCTGTACAAACTCCCACAGATGTTTTGTGATGGTTTCAAATATTCCTTCCCTGCCCATATTCTCCATATTTTCATCTTTGTTTTATACATCCATATGAACCCTATTCTTATGTATCTCTGGCATTTATGACATCTCCACATAGAAGCTCTGTACTTCAAACCCAGTACATCCAAAAACAGAAGCCATCTCATCTAAACAAGTTTCTCATCCTAACCTCCCCTGTTCTTTCAGTCTCTAGAAATCATGGTATCAGCAAGAACATTAAGCATGTTTTCTACTCTGTTTTTCCCTGGTTCCCCACAGCTTCTTCCTTAATATTACTTGTTAGATCCATTTCTACTGTTCATCTGTGTTGAGGCAACACTAAGGCACATTTCCATCATTTTATGCCTGAGTTACTCAACTTTCTAGTTGCATTTGCTGATGTCTTATTTTCTTTTTCTGAATCTTCTTGAATGTTACTGCCAGATTTGACCACTTGAAATACGACATTTATCTTGTTTTTACCTTAAAAAGAAAAACTAAACATCTCCCTAGTCCCTGTAATCAGTAATCTAAACATCTCTGCTTGCTTTTTAAGCTGACTCCAAAATTTATTAAGCTATTTCTGAGCACTTTTTATAAGTGAGGTTAGAAATACTAAGGAATAAGATTTTTTTGTGAACAGGAAGTATTGGTGCTTTAGGTTGGCAGAGCCCAAAATGGATGGATAGGAATAGTAAGGGTAAATATCAGAGAAACCCCTTCATCCAAAAATGTTATGCCAGGTATACAATGCATAAAATATATATTCTGTATCCTTAAAGATTTTACAGAGTAATCAACATTTTATCACAAATTGAGAAGCCATTTTCTACCTCTTATATTGGCAAAAATTATGAAGATTGATCAAATCCAGTGAGTATGCAGGGAAAGGCACCCATATTTGCTGAGTGTACACACATCCACAACCCATCAATTTCCCTAGTAAAGCCAATGAAATACTGACAGGAATATACAAGCATTTGTGTATAATGATGTACTATGGTGTAATTTTATAACAATGAAAAATTGGAGACAAGTGAAATATTTTTCAGTAGGGACAAGTCAAATTATGTTATGTCCATGCAGTAGAATGCAATGCAGTTGTAGAAAAAATAAGATAGCCTAGCTGGGTGGCTTACACTGTCTTCCCAGCAACTCAGAAGGCTGAGGCAGGAGAATTATTTGAGTCGAGGAGTTGGAAACCAGCCAGAGCAACATAGCATGATCCCATCTCTAAAATATAATAATAATTTAAATTTTTGTTAAATAAAGAATGAGATAAAACTTAATGTACAGATATAAAAAGAGGCCCTTAAAGATATAGACTTAAGGCCAAGTGTGGTGGCTCACGCCTATAATCTCAGCACTTTTGGAGGCCGAGGCGGGCAGATCACTTGAGGTCAGGAGTTCAAGACCAGCCTGGCCAACATAGCAAAACCCCATTTCTACTAAAAATACAAAAATTAGCAGCTGGGCGCAGTGGCTTAAGCCTGTAATCCCAGCACTTTGGGAGGCCGAGGCGGGCGGATCATAAGGTAAAGAGATCGAGACCATCCTGGCCAACATGGTGAAATCCCATCTTTACTAAAAATACAAAAAGTAGCTGGGCATGGTGGCGCATGCTTGTAGTCCCAGCTACTTGGGAGGCTGAGGCAGGAGAATCATGTGAACCCAGGAGGTGGAGGTTGCAGTGAGCAGAGATTGTGCCACTGCATGCCAGCTTAGCAACAGAGTGAGACTTTGTCTCAAAAAAAAAAAAAAAAAAAAGCCAGGTGTGGTGGCGCATACCTGTAATCCTCGCTACTCAGGAGGCTGAGGCAGGAGAATTGCTTGAATCTGGGAGGCGGAGGTTGCAGTGAGTCAAGATCGCCCCACTCCACTCCAGCCTGGGTGACACAGCAAGACCCCATCACAAAAAAAAAAAAAAAAAAGATATAGACTTAAAACAGATGTAGATATGTATACCATGATCTTTTTTTTTTAACAGATGTATATTTAAGACCATATATGTACAAATGCATACATTCACATATACATTTTGGTGGGAAATGTATGAATGGAGACATTTCAGAATCCTCAGCGACTGGAGGGAATTTTATCCCAGTTAGGGAGATGCTATCCTTTGTTAAAAGTCAGTGCATTCCTACATTATTCAGTGTTTTATTTTAGTGTTTAAAAGTATTTGAGATAACTTTTAAAATACTTTTTTTTTGGAAATAAAGAAAATTTTGTCAGAGAAATATGGGCTTGAGATGATATGATGTTAGAATCCTATCTTACACCCAGGCATGGTGGCTTACACCTGTAATCCTAGCACTTTGGGAGGCCGAGGCAGGTGGATTGCTTGAGCTCAGAAGTTTGAGACCAGCCTGGGCAACATGGTGAAACCCCATCTCTACAAAAAATACAAAAATTAGCCAGGTATGGTGGCATGTGCCTGAAGTTCTAGCTACTTGGGGGACTGAGTTGGGAGGATTGCTTGAGCCCAGTAGGTTGAGGCTGCAGTGAGCCGTGATCATGCCACTGCACTCCAGTCTGGGTGACAGAGTGAGAGACCCTGTCAAAAAAAAATTCTATCTTCCTTGATATTATCTTCTGATATTTGCTCTTATTGTCTTATTAGTTTATATCCTCTTGCAGTTCACATGGATGAGCTCCTCCTAATTTCTTAAAAATCATTTTACTTACTTTTTTCTTTGAGGCAGAGGCTTGCTCTGTTGCCTAGGCTGGAGTGCAGTGGCGTGATTACGGGCTGAGATGTGAAGTGATCCTCCCAACTCAGCCTCCTAAGTAGCTGGGACTACAGGCACACACCACCATGCCTGGTTTTTTTGTTTGTTTGTTTGTTTGTTTGTTTGTTTTGGTTTTGTAGAGACAGGGTCCCTTTATGTTGCCCAGGCTGGTCTCGAACTCCTGGGCTCAAGCAATCCTCCTGCCTCAGCCT
This sequence comes from Homo sapiens, assembly GCF_000001405.40. Classification (NCBI taxonomy): domain Eukaryota; kingdom Metazoa; phylum Chordata; class Mammalia; order Primates; family Hominidae; genus Homo; species Homo sapiens. The sequence goes on from NC_000001.11 coordinate 40,462,177, forward strand.
CCTAAAATGCTGGGATGATAGGCATGAGCCACCGCACCTGGTCCACCTTACATACTTCTGACAGCTTCTTTTCTCTACTTCTTCACTTGCATCCATATCAGCTCTCTAGACGGCAGAATCACATTTGAGGATGATCCAGAACTCCTGTACCTAGTATATATATTTTGTCCTTCCATTCTCACCGTGGCAATTAATTTTTTAAAGTGCAAGGAATATGGATCTTTTTTTTTATTATTTCTTTCAGACTTGAAGAGCAAAACAAAAACCAAAGAGTCAGCCTTACAGAATGATATTTCGTGGGAAGAACTACATTGTGGCCTAATGATGGAAAGATTTACAAAAGGAAGCAGCATGTATTCCACCTTGGGAAGAATCTCCAAATGTAATAAGCTAGAAAGCCAACAAGAGAACCAAAGAATGGGTAAGGGGCAAATCCCCCTGATGTGCAAGAAAACATTCACTCAGGAGAGAGGCCAAGAGTCTAATAGATTTGAGAAAAGAATTAATGTGAAGTCAGAAGTTATGCCAGGACCAATAGGTCTTCCAAGAAAAAGAGATCGTAAATATGACACACCTGGAAAGAGAAGCAGATACAACATAGATTTAGTTAATCATTCAAGGAGTTATACAAAAATGAAAACCTTTGAGTGTAATATTTGTGAAAAAATCTTCAAACAGCTTATTCACCTTACTGAACACATGAGAATTCATACCGGGGAGAAACCTTTCAGATGTAAGGAATGTGGAAA